>NC_000011.10:59373558-59676589 GCF_000001405.40 Homo sapiens | reverse complement strand
AGCCCTGTCCCTACAAAAAATACAAAAATTAGCCGGGCATGATGGTGCCCGCCTATAGCCCCAGCTACTTGGGAGGCTGAGATGGGAGAATGGCTTGAGCCCAGGAGGTGGAGGTTGCAGTGAGTCGAGATCGTGCCACTGCACTTGTTTGCCCCCTGCCCGCAAAAAGAACATTTGTGAGTCATAGGAAGGGGTCAAAGTATCAACATTGTCATGGAAAAACTTAAACTGCATTTGTCCTCTGCTCTCACACCACAACAATCAACACAGAAGACTTCTGTGACCAAATATATGGGGGATTTTCCCCACCAACAAGCAGTGGAGACCAGCTGGGTATCCTCCAATTCGATTCTGACACTACCTGGAGATATGTCAGTTCCCACAGGTAAAGGGCTCAGTCCCCAAGATTACTCCCTCCTCCCCCCAGACACCAGTTGCAAGTCCAGGTCTCTGGAACTTCTGATCAATCAGCTTCAAGTTGAGGTTCCCATGACCCCCTCTTTGGGTTCAATAATTTGCTGGAGTGGCTCACAGAACTAAGGAAACACTTATATTTACCAGTTTATTATAAAGGATATCACGAAGGATCCAGATGAAGAGATGCACAGGGAGAGGTATGGAGGAAGGGACACGGAGCTCCCATGCCCTCCCCAGGTAGCCATTCCCCAGAAACCTCCACTTGTTCAGCTATCAGGAAGCTGTCCTCTTGGATTTTTATGGAAGCTTCATTATATCAGCATTCCTTCCCCCAGGCCATGGGTTGGGACCCTCTCTGAAATGAGTCTTATGATCCACAATTATAAAAGCAGAAGATTAGAGTCCTGCTTTGGGGTAGGTGAAAGGAAGGCAGGTAAAAGGAAGGCAAGAGAAGGTCAAAGAGATTCTGTTTCCTGTGTATGAAAACCTATATGTATATATATTTCATAACACTACAAACATTAACAGGACTTTGGAAGAAGTTGATTCCAACCCTCATGGATGACTTTGAGAGGTTCAAGACTTCGGTGGAGGAAGTCACTGCAGGTGCGGTGGAATACCAAGAGAACTAGAATTAGAAGTGGAGCCTGAAGATGTGACTGAATTCCTGCAATCTCATGATTAAACTTTTAACAGGTAAGGAGGTGCTTCTTATGCATGAGAAAAGAGTTTCCTTAAGATAGAATCTTCTCCCGGTGAAGATGCTGTGAACATTGCTGAAATGATAATAAAGGATTTAGAGTATTACACAAGCTTAGTTGATAAAGCAGTGTTTGAGAGAATTGCCTCCAATTTTGAAAGTTCTAATTCATGGGTAAAATGCCAAACAGCGCTGCATGCTACAGAGAAACTTTTCCGTCATGAAAGGAAAAGTCAATCGAGGTGGCTTACTTCCTTGTCTTATTTTAAGAAATTACCATAGCCACCCCAACCTTCAGCAACCACTGCCTTTATCAGTAAGCAGCTATCAACATCGAGGCAAGACCCTCCATCAGGAAAAAGATTAAAATTCGCTAAAGGCTTAGATGATCATTAGCATTTTTAGCAATAAAGCATTTTTTAATTAAGGTATGTACATTGCGTTTTTAAAGACATAATGCTATTGCACAGTAGGCTATAATATAGATATCACTTCTCACCATTTTACATAATAGATTCTCGATAAATACGTATTGAGTTGAATCCCCTGCAAAAAAAAAAGTTTAATAGTTTGCCAAAGTATAACTTTCAAAAAGCTAAATAAAAATTATTCTCTTTCAATTACATTATGAGCATGTGTCAAAATATTTATTTATCTTATTAATGAAAAGAAACAGCAAGGTGGTGAAGCTGATTCAAAGGAGGACACAAGAAACTATGAACTATATAGTGGGGGAAATGGCTGAATTAAGACTCAAAAGTTAAATATATTATTGGTTAATGTCCTGTGTGGCAATAAAACTGTCTCCTTTGAGATGATCTTTCCCACCAAAATGAAATTATCTCCACTGGACAAAAATAATTTGCAACTTGTTAATCTTCTATAAACTAATATCTAACTTTACTGAGTCTGGGATCTCATTAATTAATAATAAACACTAAGTCAAACAAGGTTACCTCTCTGTAGAACTTTAAATGACCTTTAGGCAGGCTTGTTAGATAATGTTCTTATTACAACATTGCAAGGCACACAACAATCCTTTTTCCTTATTTCCAAGTTTTGTATAATTTTTCTAAACGGACACATTCCCACTATCTATTAGTGAGCAATAAACTACTCTAAAACTTTGTGGTTGAAATGTACATATATATATATAGCCACATGTGGTGGCACGTGCCTGAAGGCTTGGCTACTGGGGAGGCTGAGGTGGGGGAATGGTTTAAGCCCAGGAGTTTGAGGTAGCAGTGGGCTATGATTGCACCATTGCACTGCAGCCCTCTCAAAAAACAACAAACAAACAAAACAAACAATACAATTTGTGGCTTAAAACTACAACCATTTTATTTTATATATATATATATAATATATATAATAAAGTATTTTATATTTTATATATATATATAAAATACTTCTATGGGCCAGGAATTTTGGAGCAGCTTTGCTGAGTGATTCTTCCGCTCTTTATGGCATGGAATGGAGTCACAGTGTTTGGCTGGTAGCTGAACAGGTGTGAAGAGTCCAAGACAGCTTCATTCACATACCTGGTGTCTTGACTGGGATGGTTAATAAGCTAAATAGAGCTGGACCCACCTTCCTCTTTATGTAATTTCAGGGTCCTTCCATGTGATCTCTTCAGCAAAGCAGCCGGGTATTTTACATGGACTTACACTGCCAATCTTCTTAAAGGTGACCCAGAACTGGCAGAGCATCTCCACTTCCATATTCCATTAGTCAAAGCAGTCATAGCTCAGTCCAGATTCAAGGAAAAGGGAACATAGATCTTACCTCCTAATGGGAGAAGTAGCAGGGTGTGCTGGTTTGCGCCTGTAATCCCAGCTATGCAGGAGGCTGAGGCCAGGAGTTTGAGACCAGCCTGGGCAACATAGTGAGACCCTGTCTTTATAAAAATAAAAAATAAATAAGCTGGGTATAGTGGTGTGTGCCTGTAGCCCCAGCTATTCAGAAGGATGAGGCAGGAAAATCACTCGAACCCAGGGGTTTGAGGCTGCTGTGAACTATAATCACACCATTGCACTACAGCCTGGGCAACAGAGTGAGACCCCATCTCTGAAAAGTAAATAATAAAAACTAATCAGTTAATTATTAAATGGGAGAACTGTCAAAGAATTTGTGGCCATGTTTAGTCCATCACAAATTTTGCCTTGTAACAGTTATTTTTATTATATGGGTAATTCTTTTCCCCTAAGATTTGTTGCACTAAGGGGTCCCATTACTTTCTGGGAGGTTTGTCATAACTTTTTTCACTACATGAGAAATGACCCTGGGTGCAGCACCCTACTCTTTTCTCCCTCTATAACCCTGCAAGTACTAATGGACAATGTGGGGTTTCAAAGTGTAGTCACAGAACTAGTAGCGTCGGAATAATCTGGCAACTTGTTACAAATGCAAATTCTCAGGCCTGACTTCCCTCCTACTGAATGTGAAACTCTGGGGATGGGGCCCAGTAGTCTATGTTTCAACAAGCCATCTTGGCAATTCTAAATGCATGTTAAAGTTTGGAATCAGTGTTTTAGAGATGTAAGTTACTTGATGAAAATATCTGAAACCAGTCTCACAAGAAAGTAAATTGTACGTCATGTTTTTTTACATTTAGAAAAGAAACAGGCCAGGTGTGGTGGCTCACGCCTGTAAGCCCAGCACTTTGGGAGGCTGAGACAAGAGGATCGCATGAGACCAGGAGGTCGAAGCTCAGTGAGCTGTGATCATGCAACCGCACTCTAGCCCAAGTAACTTGTCAGGTTTAAAAAAAAAAAAAAAAAAAAGTAAAAAAGAAACATGTATACTCTGTAAATACTATAATGGCTTACAGAGCCTCCAGAAAGCATAGATAATGCCAAAGAAAGCTGGTGTGGTGGCTTTCTCTAATTGATGGCCTTCCTCAGCTGTCAATAACCTTTCCCATGTACTTGGCATGCAGGAGACACCTCCCTTCTCCCACCCACTCAAGGGACAGTTCCCAGAAACATCATACTTTATGTCTAAAGAATCACTTGTGAAAAGAACTTGTACCTTTTCCATCTTAATAATGGGCCTATTAGCAGCTCAAAAAAAACTATATATATATATATATATATATATATATATACAAAAAAAACCATATATATATATATATATATATATATATATATATATATATATATAGTTTTTTTTGAGATGGAGTCTCCCTCTGTTGCCCAGGCTGGAGTGCAGTGGTGTGATCTCAGCTCACCACAACCTCCACCTCCCAGGTTCAAGCAATTCTCCTGCCTCAGCCTCCCGAGTAGCTGGGACTACAGGTGGGTGCCACCATGCCTGGCTAATTTTTGTACTTTTAGTAGAGACGGGGTTCCACCGTGTTAACCAGGATGGTCTCGATCTCCTGACCTCGTGATCCGCCCGCCTCGGCCTCCCAAAGTGCTAGGATTACAGGCGTGAACCACCAGCACCCGCCTAAAAATACATTATTCTTTTAAAGGGACTTTCAATCTCCCTCACAGACAGGTGTTGTATAAGAGGAAATGGGAAATTTTGTTGATCCTGTCTATGACACTTTGTTTTCTGCTCCTTTAATTCCTGCTCTACAGCATTTCTTTCCTTGTACTTTCTTTGGGTTTATTTTATAGCTAATTTATATTCAGGCTTCCCTATTTTCGTCCTCAGTCTCCCGAGTAGCTGCTGGGACTACAGGCACAGGTGCACACCACCACGACCAGAAATAATGCAGAGCAGCTAATAAAACAACTAACCCAGCTAATTTTTGTGCTTTTTGTAGAGTCGCGGTTTCGCCATGTTGCGTAGGCTGGTCTCCAACTCCTGAGCTCATGCAATCCACCCACCACATCAGTTGTAACTATTTTCTGCTTTCCATTATTTAGTCATTGAATTGGAGGGGTTTTTTGGTTTTTGTTGTTGTTGTTGTTGTTGTTGTTGTTGTTTTTTGAGACAGAGTCTCGCTCTGTCACCCAGGCTAGAGTGCAGTGGCGCGAACTCGGCTCACCTCAAGCTCTGCCTCCTGGGTTCACCCCATTCTCCTGCCTCAGCCTCCCGAGTAGCTGGGACTACAGGCGCCCGCCACCACGCCCGGCTAATTTTTTTGTATTTTTAGTATTTTTAGTAGAGACAGGGTTTCGCCATGTTAGCCAGGATGGTCTCCATCTCCTGACCTCGTGATCTGCCCGCCTCGGGCTCCCAAAGTGCTGGGATTACAGGCGTGAGGCACCGCGCCAGGACTTTTTTTTTTCTTTTTTAATTTCTGAAAACTTAAGACTTTTTTCCTAATCTGTTTTTACTATTGATATCTTACATAATGATCAGAAAACATGATCTGCAAGATCAGGGATCAGCAAACTCTGTAAAGCGCCAAATAGTAAATATGTTACACTTTACAGGCCACACTGTATCCATTGTAACCACTCAACTCTGACTTTATAACATTAAAGCAATCAAAGACAATATGTAAATAAATAAGGTTGGCTGTATTCCAATAAAGCTTGCTTTACAAAAACGGGTGGCTGGCCAGATTGGACTGTGGGCCATAGTCTGCTAACCCTTGATCTACATGGCACCAATTCTTTGGTAATTATTAAGATGTACTGCTACTTAGTTTTTTTTGTTTGTTTGTTTGTTTTTTGTGAGACGTAGTCTTTGCTCTGTCACCCAGGCTAGAGTGCAGTGGTGCGATCTCGGCTCACTGCAAGCTCCGCCTCCCGGGTTCACGCAATTCTCCTGCCTCAGCCCCTCGAGTAGCTGGGACTACAGGCGCCCGCCACCACGCCCGGCTAATTTTTTGTATTTTTAGTAGAGACGGGGTGTCACTCTGTTAGCCAGGATGGTCTAGATCTCCTTGACCTTGTGATCCGCCCACCTCGGCCTCCCAAAGTGCTGGGATTACAGGCGTGAGCCACCGCGCCTGGCCTGTTACTTAGTATTTGATGTTTTATAATGTTCCATGCATGCTTGAAAACCAATAAATCATCTTGTCCCGACGCTCCACTTCTTTAAAGTTCAGGCCTGGCCCATGTCAACATTTGCTTTTGTTATTCTGGCACAGTGATTAAGACACTCGGTTTTTAATAATCAGACAAATCTCAGCTGCTAGCTTTACCACTTGCCATTGGGTGGTTGGAGGCAAACAATGTCGCTAATCCTCAGGTTCCTCAACTGTAAACTGAGAAAATAACAGTACCTACCTCATGGGGGGCACATAAGGAAGGATTCAATGAGATAATCCATTTTATAAAGCGCCTAGCAGAGTCCCAGGCAGCCTTCAATCGTTAGTAGTGTTACCATCATGAGGCAGGTGTAATTATACCCATTTTACAAGAAACTAAGGCTCAGAGAGGTTTAGGTAAGTTGCCCAAAGTTTCCTAGCCAGTGGCAAAGCACAAGCTCCCACCCAGAACTTTTCTTCACAAATTCAGCGTTTCCGATACTCAAACTGATCCAGACACACTAACATTTAGGGGATTTACTGTATGCCATTCCGAGACGAGGCTGCATTTTAAGACGCCCAGGGAAGAAACGGATTGCGAAACCCAAAAGAATTCATTCTTTGTGCTGCAAGTTTTGTCTGAAAGGAAAGGGGCAAGAAGGGCATGGAGCGTGCTAGAGGTAACAAACCACCCAACAGAATTCTGGAACCAGGGGGCCGAAGCTTCTAAGCTGGACACATTCCTCTGTGGGTTCGATCCTCTAAGGAAGTGGAGTCACCCAGCGGCGCACCACGGCCCGAAGACCCTGCTGCTGCGTGGCCAGCGGCCCACGGCCGTGCGGCCCTTCGAGGCTCTGCAGCTCCTCGCGCCTAATGAGCCTGGCGCTTAAAAATACCACCCTAGTTAAACCTCCCGGAACCTGTCTTCAGCATTTCAAAAAAAAAAAAAAAAAAAACGGGCGCCGTCATCACTTTGAGCCACATAAATCACAGCCCTGACCTGCTGTGGATTCAGCAGGCGACGAGCCGCTGAAAGTGGCGACGAAGTCCGCCCCTTTCGAAGACCAGCAACTTTCCATTCTTTTTTCCCTGCGCAAGGCGCAGATTGCAACGGGGAGACCCCCGAGCAGCCTGAGGAGTGAGTCGGACGTTGGAAAAACTGCCCGGGAATCTCATCTTTCCCAGCCCAGGCTAAGCGCAGGATTCTTCAAAGCTATATCCTGTGACAATCACAAGGGTTTTCTCCGCCCCACGGGTGACGGAGAACTCGTGACCGGCCCCTGAGCTCCAAGCCGAGCGCCTAGAGGGCGCGGAGAAAGAGGGGGCGGAGCTACAAGCCCAGATCACCAGGCAGCCGAAGACGGGCAGCGCGTGCGCAGTCTCTCGCCACGGGACCTCCTTCCCGCCGCTGAGACTAGGAAGCGGGACGCCAAATCTGTCCCTGCGCAGCCGCCGCCGCCGGGCGCCGAGCGGGGTGGCCGCCCTGCCTGAGGCGCGCCTGCGCACGTCCCCACGCACGCTCCGGCGTACGGCGGCGGCCAGGGGTCGCGAGCCGGTGGAGGACCCGCGCGCGGAGGAGCCGGGGAGTCAGCGCTTCTTCCCTCCCTCCCCCTCTCCCCTCCCCGCTCCCTGCCCCCCTCCCCAAGAATGTTCCGCTACGAGGTGAGCTGTTGCGACCGGAAGTGACCCCTCCCTCCCTCCCGCGCCCCTCTCCCTCACTCTCTCTCCGCGCGCCGGTCCTGTGTTCCTGCGGGGCAGGGGGCGGGCTGGGGGAGTCGCAGGACTTAGCTGGACGCGACTGGTCTGGGGTCGCGGGTCTAATCCTAGGGCTGGGAGCTGGCTTCATGGGTCGAGACAGTCCCATTAGTTGCCGCTGGGGAAAGTTGGCCTCCGTTTTGGGGTGGGGAGGGCCCGTTAAGTGCTGTAACCAGACCACACCCCCGCCCCCACCCCTAGAGGAGCCACGGAGGGTAGAGCACTGCATCTCCCCGGGTGCTTTTCTTAAGTAGGTGTCACCCGGGAATTCCCAGAGCCGCGTTTCCCGCCCTGGACCCGGAACCACCCCCCACCCACCTCCACTCGAATTACACTGACACACATCCCATTCACACAGGCTACCTTCAGGTGAAGGGGGCCTGGGCTTGCCGTTGGATTAGGGCCCCAGCCCGTTTACTAAAGAGGGCTCCGAGTTGGGAGGGGGGCGTGTCCTGCAGAAGTTCCTTCTGGGCTAGTGCTGGGAGACGCGGGTTTGGAGAAGGTGCCGGGAATGTAGCAATAGCAGCAGACAGTACTGACCCTGTCACCAACTCACTGTGTGACCTTGAGTGACTCCTAATCTCTGGACGTAAACTTTCTGAATTTGTAGCATGAAAGAACTGATGTAAATGATCCTTAAGAATTTTTAATTTAAAAAAGCAGCGATTTGGTAAAGTAGATATTTGTGATTTGGAAGGGAGTACTGCTGGAAGTTGCCTCTGATAAGGAGGCAGTGGCATGCCTATTGGCATGAGTTTGGAAGGGCTCTGGGGTAAGAAGAACGCCCTTTGACCTAATCTTTCCATTGTAAACAGGGTAGCTAAGAGGTAGCCAGGCAAGGTGTATCACAAACGTACCTACTGATAGAATATGGAATTCTGATTCTGAATTTTTGAAAATTGAGGACAGGTATACTTGATAGGAATGATCTAAGACCAAACCAAAAGGAAAACTTGGAGAATAAATCAGTTGAGTAAGATTGAAGTAAAGGGGGAAAATAGAACACACCTAGGATGTGGTGGCCTCTAGCCTTTGTTCGATAATCTGTAATCTTTGCCCACTTTGATCATCACAACTCTCTGCCATAGTTGGTATTGTCCCTGCATTACAATGTAAGACATTGAGCCTTACAGCCTAGCACAGAACCTTAGACGCAATAGGTCCTTAAAAGGTATTTGATGAATTAATTAGAAATTTTCTGAGTTGCCCATGTTCACACTGATTGTAGGAATGGAGCCAGAACTTGAACTTGTCATACCACAGCTTTTCCAGAGTTCATTTTATTGTGGTTGAAGACCTAATTTTCTGTTTCATCACTAGAGTTTAGGCCTATAGGGAAGATAAGAAAGATGGAAAATGAAGACAAAGCTTTAAAACGGAATAATAGTTGAAAAGATGACATGAATATAATGAGAAAGATGAGAATTTTGCTGGAAAAGATACATAAAGATACAAGAAAATAAAGGGTTCATTATTAATTGTCATCAGTATTCCAACCAGTGATGTAAGGAAAGTTGTGGGCTTAATTTCTTGGTTGCATGAGGAACTGCTGTTCGTGGATTCTTGATAAAATAGAGAAATGGAATGCTGTGAGGTGGGGCAAGAATTAAATGAAATAAGGATTAGGAAATAGAAAGTGAAAGAAAGATGATGAAATCTTCCAGTGTCAGGGAAATTGGGAAGTAGAAAAAAAATGCCATCTTTACAAAAAGTCATAATGAAGCAATTATGTTCATTGAGAAGGTAAGATGAACATTTTTAGAACATTTTTAAAATGAGGGTGTGAATTTCATGAATAACTAATGTCTTTTCTTTTTTTTTAGTCTTTGGAGGATTGTCCTCTGGATGAAGATGAAGATGCATTTCAGGGACTGGGAGAAGAAGATGAAGAGATTGATCAATTCAATGATGATACATTTGGGTCAGGTGCAGTTGGTAAGTGACATCTTTCGCTTATAATATCATCTTAGCCTCCTGCTCTTTTCAAGTGCTGTCTTTTAGAAGTGCTTTATCTTATTAGGGGTAACCTTATTCACTAACTTGGCAAGATATTCTTCTATTCCTCATCTTAGAATAGTTCATTCTTCACTGGAAACAGCACCTATCCTGCTCCTCTGGGTCTCTTTTTGCCTTACCTATAAAATCAGGTATTCTGTAAGCCTTGCCCCTTCCAGCTATATGATCGATGACTACAGGTTGCCCCTATGAGGGATTCAAATGTTTAGAGAAGTAAACATTTAAGAGAGATTTAAATTAATCCTAGATGAGAGGAATTTTTATTTGTATAACATATAACTTATGGAAAACTAGTGTACTAGTAGAAAATTCAGATTCTAGGATGTGGGTATATGTGTTTCAAAATTTAGTCTATCACTAGTATATAACTTTGCAACTTATAGTATCTTCAAAATATAAAGCTTTTTATAGCAAGAATTTTGGGGGTCAAGAAAGGACTCATAAGTTAGAAAAGTATGCACAGATGAAATTTTGTCCATCCCTGGGTATAGATACATATTATTTATTTATTTATTTATTCTTTTTCGAGATGAAGTCTTGCTCTGTCACCCAGGCTGGAGTGCAGTGGCACGATCTTGGCTCACTGCAACCTCCGCCTCCTGAGTTCAAACAGTTCTCCTGCCTCAGGCTCCCGAGTAGCCGGGATTACAGGTGCCCGCCACCACACCGAGCTAACCAGGCTGGTCTCAAACTCCTGACCTCGTGATCCGCCCATCTCGGCCTCCCAAAGTGCTGGGATTACAGGCCTGAGCCACCGCGCCCAGCCTATAGATACATATTTTAAGAGTTGGAAAAAGTTTAAAAACTGAAGAGCCAAACTAAGGTTACAGGCCACGGGGTTATAAATGCCAAGATGGAAAATTTAGGAAGTAAGCTTATATGATAAAGTTTGAGAACACATGTTACTTAGAACAGGTGTAGAACAAGTGGAGTAATAAATTGAAATTTAAATTTTTAAACTGTATACATACACATATATTTGTTTTGAGACAGAGTCTTGCTCTGTCACCTAGACTGGAGTGCAGTAGCATGATCTCGGCTCACTGCAGCTTCTGCCTCCCCAGTTCAAGCAGTTCTCCTGTCTCAGCCTCCCAAGTAGCTGAGAACACAAGCGCCCGGCTAATTTTTGTATTTTTAGTAGAGACAGGGTTTCTCCATGTTGGCCAGGGTGGTCATGAACTCCTGACCTCAAGTGATCCCTCCTCAGCCTCCCAAAGTGCTGGGATTACAGGTGCAAGCCACCACGCCTGGCCAAAACTGTATATTTTTAAGCAAATGAATAGGTAAGAGTCAATGCAGATATGTTTGCTTAGACTTGGTGCTGGAAAGCAGCAATAACAGCGTTTATGTTCAAATGTATAAATGTGTGTGATTCTTTTGTAGTCGCAACACTTCTGTCTGTGCAACAAATACTCCAAGTTAAGTCATAAGGAAAAAGAGAAAATTTAGCAATAGTCAGTAATCCCAAGATGTTGAATATCAAAAACAAATAAGAGGCCTTAAAGTATTATAATGGTCACTGGTTTTGCAGTGACCTAATACATTTATTAAAGCTTAGACTGACTTGAATAAACTGGCAAAAATGAAGGTGTTTTAATATTGTCAGTCATTTGTAAAATTCATTAGAGAACTAAAACTTTGTTATGATTAGAAGCAGCAAGAAAAGTGTTGAAAGTAGAAGCTAGACTCATGATGGAAAGGAATCAAAGACCTTTTGGATTATAGGCATGGGTTAGGAGATGAGATTGTCCAGGAGGATAACATGATCCAAGATGCTATTATCTCTCTCCATGGAGATCACAGGCAAAGAGATGTAGAGTGGAATTACAAAAGCAGGAAACTGATGTGAATTGCAAATTATATTTGGAAGATAGTTTAGTGATAATCAGTAGGACACAATAAGCTATTTGTGGTGGTTCAAGCCCACAGCTCTCAGCACTTTGGGAGGTCAAGGCAGGAGGATCACTTGAGGCCAGGAGTTCAAGACCATCCTCGGCAACATAGTGAGACTCTTTCTCCACAAAATTTTTTTTGAAAAATAGCCAGGCATGATGGTATGTACCACTTAGGAGGTTGAGGCTGAGGCTGGAGGATCCCTTGAGCCCAGGAGTTCAGGGCTGCATCAGCTATGATGGTGCCACTGCATTCCAGCCTGGGTAACAGAGCGAGACCTTGTCTCTAAAAAGTTAATTAAATACTTTAAAAATAGAATACCATAGAAGCTACCAACATGTGCTTGTTTCTAGAACTCTTTTTCTATTAAAATACTGTACTGAATGTTAACCATTTTTTCAACAAATTCTTCAGTATTAAAATGAATTAGCTAGAATTGATTTATAGACATTAAAATGAGGCAGCATTGTACCATGTTCTCAGTTTTCAACCTGGACAGAAGAGGAAGAGTCATACCTTCTCATTGACTTCCAGAGTGCTATGGACAGTCTTTTTTTCCTGAGTTTCTATTTTTTCTCATAAGATGGGAATAATATTGCCTTAAAAGGATGTTAGAGTGTCCGGAACGGTATTTTATATGATGGGAAAGAAGAAAAGTGTACACGTGCTGAAAAAGCCATTAGGTTTACACAGTAAAAGAACAGGTAGTACAAAGTTAAGGCAATTAAATAGCATATGATTAGCCCACTTTGTACCTTAGGGCCAAAGGGTGATTAGAAAGGATTTTTTGGCCAAGAAAGTTTATAATAATATAGAGAAAAGATTTCCAAAGGTGAGCCCTTTCCCTTGAGAGTGTAATGTACTGGAATTGTAAAGTGAAGATCTTAATTCCTCATAACAGCTTGGTGTAAATACTATAAAAAGAAAATTGTTTTCCAAGTCAACCTGTGACTTCTTTGATACTCCTCTGCAGGTTGATATAAAGCTGGTATAGAGAGTTTAAATCAAGAGGTGAAATGTCAGACCTTTGACATTTGTTTTGATTTTATGATTTTTAATTCATATAGCGGGCATCTGGAATAATACCTGCTATTACAGTAGACATTTTAGGTCACTGGCTACAAATGGTCACCTTTCCTTAAGAAACTAGTCTTCTGCATGAAAAAATGTTTGCATCATCTTAGAGCAATAAATAGTGTTGCAGTAATCCCAACTCCTTCTCTAAAAATAAAAGCTTACACTTAACATGGTGCTTATTATGTGCTAGGCACCATTCTAAATATTTTACATATATTGTTAATCCTCATAGCAGCCTTGTGAGATAGGTACTATTATTATCCTCATTTTAACAAATGAGGAAGAGTGACGGGTTAAGTAACTATAGACACAATTACTGTAAACTACTAGTTATGTTTAATAGTTTTGGGGGAGTCTTTGGAAATCTCCTGCCTCCACTTGGAAGGAATCACCCTCCTTCCTACCTCCCTTTTATTGATAGCTACTATAGTCTTTAGAGATTGAGATTGCCTTAAAATTAAATCACTTCTTCCTTTTTATTTTGTTTTCATTCAAAACTCCCTGAGACAGGCTTCAGGGGTTATTACAAGTATAAGTTTATAGAAGCAGCCAGGAATTCAGTAACCCGTATCAGAGTATAGGTTAGTTCGTTATTACGGATAATCTCTTTCCCTTCATTTGTCTGTTATTCTTTTGCCTACCTTTTATCATTTTGACCAATAATGGACTCAGGTCAAGCACTGGCATATCTAAGTAACTATATTTTTAGGTCATTTGAAAAAGATACAGGGTGAAATATTGTTTTATAGTAAGGGCACAATATCTCTAAAATACTACTTCAGATAATTTTTTACAAGAGTAAGAAAAATCTAAAATGATGATGATGGTATTTTATGGCATAGATTCCTCTGGTTACATGTTTGAAAATGTAACAATCAATTCACCAGAGATCTATTCTCACAGAATATGGCGACTTAACCAATATTTTTAAAATATTATTATTAAGGGGAAATAGATTATCCATATTTGATAGGATTTGGTAAAGTTAGCAAGCATGAATACTGGAAGTAGTGATAGAAAAGCATGCAAATTAGAACTCTACTGCATTAGAACAAATCCACTAACAAATTAACTTCTTAAATTTGGGAAGTAAATGTTTTTACAAATCCCTCAATTCAGGATGATAGATTCCCACTCTTGTGGCATTGCTAAGTTAGTAAAGTTGCAAAAAACAATTTATCCTGTCCCAGCTTACTGTTCCTTACCAAGGATGACACAAATATGAATGTCACATTTGGTTTTTAATTACATTATTCTTTAAATATTTTCTTTCATATGACTAGTCATTTAAATTAACACTGTAATTTTCATTTAAAGTGGATTTTTCCATTTTTTGGAGCACATCAGGATAGGCTTATCAGAGACCATCATCATAAAATGGCTACCTTAAATTCTTTTCTGTAAGATGACAGTTTAGAGGAAGAGTGCCACCTGACTAGTCACTCAGGTAAGAGGAAACTATTGGGTGGGAAAGAAAATACCACATAATTATAAAGAAGACCCATGTCCCGGAGGCTTAAGTAAGGATATTTTTATAGCTTTTGCCCACAGTCTTTATCCCAGTGATGGCACAGTGATCCACAACTTAAGGAATCCCTTACCACAACTAATACATAAATCAACCAAACTAGGCAGTGGGTCCTATGATACCAAAATTATATATTTGAAAGTCCCACTTCCCTCACTCTTTGGATCACTAGTATTATGTGATACATCGTTGTATGATTAAAAATTACATATATATAGCAAATTTTAACTGTTAATGTAATCTGATTCTAAAAGGAAATTAGTTTATTTAAATAGTCACATAAAATGCTAAGATATGTATGATGTTATTACAGTATTAATTATTATATTGGAAAATTGTAAATAATCCAAATGTTTACCAGTAGGGGATAAATTACATTATAGTTTAGCAATAAAATGCAATCTTATGTAGGTATTAAAAAGAATGAGTTACTATCAGTAGTTATGCCTGTGTGCATGCATGAAAAGATGTCCAAGACATATTGCTTAAATAAAAAGAAACAAGTTAACTTTATAAACTTAACACAGCTTAAAACTGTTTAAAACTTAACACAGCTGTGGAATTGTGGGGAACTTTCACTTAAGTTACATGTGTTTATGGTGTTTGAATTTTTTAAACATGTATTTTCTCTGAAAGCAGAAAAAAGAAAGTCTCTGTTTCTGTGTTGGTTATAACCTGTTATCCCTGTCTGTTGAATTTTATAAAACATATAAAGGATGTAACTAAAAAAAGAATACCATATAACATATACAAAATAATACTTTTTGTGGGTTAGAAAGTAATGCATATAGAGATGAGGTAAAGGAAGAAATAAAATGAAAGGATTATTTAGGAGTAGCTCCATTGAGGAGGAGGAAGAAGTTTCACATTTGAATACCTGAAAAGAAAGGCCAGAGGCAGTGGCTCAAGCCTGTGATCCCAGCTCTTTGGAAGGCTGTTGCAGGTGGATTGCTTGAGCCCAGGAGCTTAAGACCAGTCTGGGCAACATGGGGAAACCCCGACTCTACAAAAAATATAAAAATTAGCCTGGTGTGGTGGTACAAACCTGTAGTTCCAGTTACTTGGGAGGCTGAGGTTGGGGGAATCACCTGAGCCCGGGAGGTTGAGACTGCAGTGAGCCAGATCACGCCATTGCACTCCAACCTGGACGACAGTGAGACCCTGTCTCAAAAAATAAAAATAAAAATACTGAATGGAGCAAAACTGTGAGTACAGCTTTCATGATGGAAGCAGAATGGAATAAGATTGGAGAGAACTGGAGTGAGATGCGTTGGAAGTAAGGTCTAGCTCCAGAGCAGCTGATAGAGGGTTCTGAAGATTGTAATCTGTGCTGTAATGGGATTCCAAAACAGAAAAAATGATGCCAACATACCAAATGCAGAAACAACCTTAATGTCAGTGCTACAGACTTTATAGTAGTGTGCAGTAATAGCAGACATAGTTAAGATAAAAGAGGAAATGCCCCTTCCTCTTCCCTAGCCTGTTTTCAGCACAGCAGCCAGAGTGATTCTTTTAAAAGTTAAGCCAAATGAAAATTTCCATTGGCTTCCCATTTCAATCATAGTGGCCCAGAATGAGCTCCCTCCTCATGACTTCTTGACCTCATTTTCTTCTACTCTCCCCACCCTGCTCATTCCATTCCAGACACAGTCCTCCTTGCCGTTTCTCAAAACCATCAATCTCTCACCTTAAGGCCTTTCTTTATACTGACTGTCCCTCTGCCTGGAACCCTCTTCTCCCAGATATCCAAATTGCTAACCCTCTTACTCTTTAGAATCTTTGCTCAAATGTCATCTTCTCAATGAGGCCTACCTCTGACCATCTATTTAAATTTTCAATCTGCCTTTCTTCCTTTATATTCCTACAGCAATTTCATCTTCTGGTATAGTATCTAATCATTATGCTTATTGTCTATCATCTCTCTCTTTCCTGCTTGCATGAAAGTGTTATGAAGGCAGAATCTCTGTGTCTTTTTGTACACCAATGTATCCCATGCGTCTAAAACAGGGCTTGTCACATAATAGATGCTTACCAAATATTAATTGAATGGAACGAATGGATTCAAAAGCATGTAAAGAATGTGGCACTTAAAATCTAAGAGGAAGTTGTATGCTAATGCTATGAGTTTTAACTTCCCTTTAAAGTTTTTGCTTGAAATGTCATAGAATCTCAAAACCAACTAGTAGTACTATACATATCTATCACCAATTTGGGAAACAGTTTCAGAATATAGTTTGGACATTATTGATAATGTTTTAAGCTATTAATTCACATGTTTGAATTTTATTCCTGGTATAATGTTATTTGCTTTTACTTATAAAAAGCATGCTTTACGTGTCCCTTAGTTTAAACCTTATTTCCTGTTTCTAAGTGTAAACTTAACTTTCTACCTATCTTCTGGAATTATTCATTTGCTTAGCAGAAGAATTGTGTAGGCCGGGCGTGGTGGCTCATGCTTGTAATCCCAGCACTTTGGGAGGCCGAGATGGGTGGATCATTTGAGGTCGGGAGTTTGAGACCAGCCTGGCCAGCATGGTGAAACCCCACCTCTACTAAAAATACAAAAATTAGCCAGGTGTGGTGGTGGGCGCCTGTAGTCCCAGCTACTCCAGCTACTTGGGAGGCTGACGCAGAGAATTGCTTGAACCCGGGAGGTGGAGGTTGCGGTGAGCCGAGATCACGCCACTGCACTGCAGCCTGGGCGACAGAGTGAGACTCTGTCTAAAAAAAAAAAAACAATAATTGTGTAAAACTTTTTTGTACCACTATGAACTATTTCTTACATGAACTGTGTCATCTTATAGATGATGATTGGCAGGAAGCACATGAGCGCCTGGCTGAATTGGAAGAAAAGCTACCAGTGGCAGTTAATGAACAAACAGGCAATGGAGAGAGAGATGAAATGGACTTGTTGGGTGACCATGAGGAGAATCTGGCAGAAAGGCTCAGTAAGATGGTGATTGAAAATGAACTAGAAGATCCAGCTATTATGAGGGCAGTGCAGACCAGGCCAGTTTTACAAGTAAGTAAGTTACTGTGATTTGAGAACTATAGCAGACTAAAAATTAAAGTGAAGTATTGAACTTTGCCATTTTATTTTATCTATTATAATGAGAGATTTACATATACCATAGAAAATTGATAATATATTTCCTGATGATAGAAGTTCTAGAGATAAACTTGGGGAATAATGTATATTCTGGAGCCCTATAATTTCGTATTCTAAAGCAGCTTGAGGCTCTTTTGGAACCTTGTTCCCCAGCAGCAGATAAGTCACCCAGAGAGTATACAACATTTCAGACTCTGTATGTTTTCCTTTTTTGTTAGCCCCAACCAGGAAGTCTGAATTCCAGTATCTGGGATGGATCTGAAGTTCTGAGGCGAATCCGAGGACCACTGCTTGCTCAGGTATTAAATATTTTCTCTTTACATAAAATTTATAATATCCAAAAATTTTAAGTTCCTGTCGTCATCCTTTCCTTACTGAAGGGGTTTATAGGTCTTTCATTTGCTAGAATTATGTCGACTACTGCATCCAGCACTTAGCTATGCCTTTCTTTAGCCTCCAGGGTAAAGGTTGCAAGGGAGCCATTGGAATTTAAATTTGTTAGTGTATGATTGTGATTTGAATCACTTAAAAAGTCATATCTGAGCCAGGCGTGGTGGCTCACGCGTGTAATCCCAGCACTTTGAGAGGCTGAGACAGGTGGATCACTTGAGGTGAGGAGTTCAAGACCAGCCTGGCCAACATGGTGAAACCCCATCCTTACTAAAAATACAAAAATTAACCAGGCGTGGTGGTGGGCACCTGTAATCCCAGCTACTCAGGAGGCTGAGGCAGGAGAATCACTTGAACCTGGGAGGCAGGGCGGAAGTTGTAGTAAGGCAAGATTGCGCCACTGCACTCCAGCCTGGGCAACAGAGTGAGACTCTGTCTCAAAAAAAAAAAAAACTCATTTCTATGCAAAACTATAGGGACAGAGAGGTCATCAGTGTTTACTAGTGGTTGGACATGGCAGGAGGCGTTAACTACAAAGGAACAATACAATGGAATTTCTGGGGAGTGATGCAACTGTTCTTGCTCTCTCTTTCTTTCTTTTTTTTTTTTTTGAGACCAGGTCTTGCTGTGTCAACCAGGCTAGAGTGCACTGGTACAGTCATAGCTCTCTGTAACCTTGAACTTCCGGGCTCAAGTGATCCTCCCACCTCGGCCTCTTGAGTAGCTGAGACTACAGGTGCATGCCACCATGCCTGGCTTAGTTTTTTTATTTTTGTATAGATGAAGTCTCGCTGTGTTGCCCAGGCTAGTCTCAAACTCCTGGCTTCAAGTGATCCTCCCACCTCACCCTCCCAAGGCGCTGGGATTTCAGGCATGAGCCGCTTACCAAACTCAGAGAACCATATACCAAAAAGTGAATTTTACTATATGTGAATTAAAAATAAATAAAAAGTTAAAAAAATTTCTTAAGGTATTTTTGGCATCTGTAGAGATTACTAAAACATACCAAGTTAGTTAATTTCTATTTTATTTTACCACTTCCTCAATTAGGAAATGCCTACAGTGTCTGTATTAGAATATGCTTTGCCTCAGAGGCCCCCCCAGGGTCCAGAAGATGATCGGGACCTTTCTGAACGAGCATTACCAAGGCGGTCAACTTCACCTATCATTGGCAGTCCTCCTGTTAGAGCTGTCCCCATAGGCACCCCACCTAAACAGATGGCTGTACCCAGCTTCACCCAACAGGTACCTCTCATTAACAAGCACACAGCCCAGGATATTGGGAATCTGGGCAAAATTATTTGGAAAATTGGTGATGTTGGGTGGAGGGTGGAAATTTTGGGTAGGCATTAGATTAGAAAGAAAAATAGCTAGTTAGAGGAGAAATTAGTACAAATAAGAGACACATTCCCTGATACCCTTTGCTGCTGCTATTGCTGCTGCCTTTTAATTGGGGGAGAAAAAAGGGTAGTTAGCCACATTTAGCACATATATCCTTTTTGAAGTGTTTTGCTGGCTGCCCAAAACATTGTCAGAGAGATAACTGAAAGCCGGGGGGAGTGGGAACACACAGCATTGTCCACATCCCTTTTTACCTTTAAGATATCCCTGCTTTCCCTAGAGCCTGTGCAGTCCTGTTCCATAGACTTTCCTCCACCTGAAACCAGCAGCTGAAAAGGAAGGCCAATTTGGAAGGTATGGGGGGAGGGTGGTGTTGGTATGGCCTAGTTAGGCTCAAATCCTATGAAATGGTGGAGTCACAATGTATCACAAAAGTGCTGAGCATGGCGGCCATATCACAGGGGCTTCAGAATAGGACTTAGTTAATCCTCCAGCTTTCTTATCATTCCTTCTCCCTCAGTGCTACCAAAATATATCCTCTTGGAGAGAATTTGCAAGTCAGAATATCTGCTGGTATCTCCCTCAGACAGCATGGAAGGGTGGGGATAACTGGAGAATTAGCTAAATCTTCCTCAGTTAATGCTGACACTTTACTTGATTTGTGAGAGAAAGTGGCCCAAGGTTCTGTATTTGAACCTGTAGCCATAGCAATTTGCTTAGAAGTAGGGCTTTGCATTGAGTTCGTGTCTCTACCAGTACTTGAGGGGAGGGAGTGTAGGTGGAAGAAAAACTGATTTCATTGAGTGTAGTTGTATATATGTTTGTCCTGATAGATTCTGTGTCCGAAGCCTGTCCATGTTCGGCCCCCAATGCCACCTCGTTATCCTGCTCCCTATGGTGAGAGGATGTCTCCAAACCAGCTCTGCAGTGTCCCGGTATGTCACTTTAAGCCTAACAAAAATGTGCAGTATGTATTTTCTGATCACTATTTGTAAGATCACTGCCAGTATTTAGATTTGCTGACATCTCCTAAATTATACCTATTTTTTATAATCTCCTTACTTAAATTGCTGGATCTAATTGTCCCCAGGTCAGAGGACAGTTGTTTCTTACATCAGCTCTTTTCTTACCTTTAAAAATCTAAACTCATTGTGATCATCTGGTTCCTACCATTTCAGTCCCATGTTCTACTGCTTCTTTTTCATGTCACATGGTCATGGTGTTTTTATAATTTCTAGCATTACTCTTTTTTTCTATTCCAGAGCTTGACTCTGTAATTTGAGAGTTTTTATATCCAAGTTTATACTGCATTTCTGCTGAGTTTCCTTATTATGATGTACCCCCTGTTTTATAGCATATTCTTTTTTTTTTTTTTTTTTTTACCTTAGAACTCTTCCCTCCTGGGTCACCCTTTTCCTCCTAGTGTTCCTCCTGTTCTCAGCCCCCTCCAGAGAGCACAGCTTCTTGGAGGAGCACAGGTAAGCCTGTGATTAGCCCTACCCATAAAGAACTCTCCTACTTTCCTAAAGTTCATTAGATAATAGCCCCTTTTTTTGCTGTTAATCACTACTTTTATTTTTGCCTTTACTTTTTCAAACAAAGTTATTGATGGAAAACCGTATTCACTTTTCTGTAGACAAAAGCAAGGGGACTTGCTGATTGTCTAAATCTAAGATCTTCTTCCTCTTTGTAGCTACAGCCTGGACGGATGTCTCCCAGCCAGTTTGCACGGGTCCCTGGATTTGTTGGTAGTCCACTTGCTGCCATGAATCCCAAGTTGCTACAAGGGCGAGTTGGGCAGATGCTTCCCCCAGCACCAGGCTTCCGTGCCTTCTTTAGTGCTCCACCCTCCGCTACACCACCTCCACAGCAGCACCCTCCTGGCCCAGGACCCCACCTGCAAAACCTAAGGTATACAAAATCAACGCCACTGTTTATCAGTTATCAGCCAAGTCTCTTGATTGTGGATGTGTAGTTTTATAAGTCTCTTGATATTTGCTAACTATAAATTTTAAGATGTTATTGGATCCTCAAGTTGGCAAACATGGAAATGTTTGACAATCTCCAGGCTTTCTTGTGAATCACATTTTTCTCACATTACCAGAGGGTATGGAATACAGTGACAGATGCCGAAAAGTCAGCTAATCGTCACACTAGCTAAGCTGTTTGCTTTTATCCTCTGGTTTTATGACAAAAGGGGTTCAAGTTCCTGTTTCAGTGAAGTTGTGTTTTATTACATATCATATTGTGGCAGTCAGGATTTTCAAGAGACACACGAGAACCAGTAGAGGAAAGAGAGCAAGAATGTTCATGTGAGCAGGTTTTATTTTAAGAAATTGGCTCGTGATTATAGAGGCTGACAAGTTCGAAATCTGTAAGACAGACCAGCAGGCAAGAAACAGGTAAAAGCTCAAGTTGCAGTCTTGAGTTTGAAATAAGTATAGCAGGTCAGCAGTCAAGACACTCAAGCAGGATTTCTGTGTTCCAGTTTTGAGGCAGAATTCCTTCTTCTGGGAAACTTTAGTTTTGTTCTTAAGGCCTTCAACTGGCTGGATGAGCTCCACCCACATTATTGAGGGTAATCTCTTTTGTAAGGTCAACTGATTATAAATGTTAATCACATCTTTACAAAATACCCTCACAGCAACATCTAAACAGTGTTTGACCAAATAACTGGGTACTAAGGCCTAGCCATATTAACTGTCACACATATATCTTTAATGACATTCCCACATAGTTGAAGCTGAGTACGTTAAACCTACTTAGAGACTTCTGTTAAACAGAAGCAAAAAGAAAAAGAATTATACTGCTTTACTCCTAATTCACTCAGATTTCATGATCACCCTTTTAGAACTTGGTCTTTGTAGAAGATATGTAAAAATATGACTATCTTTTGCTTCTAAAAGGTCTCCTTAGAATAGACTCTTTTTTTTTTTTTTTTTTTAATGTTTTTGAGACAGAGTCTCACTCTGTCTCGCAGGCTGGAGTGCAGTGACCCACACGATCTCGGCTCACTGCAACCTCTGCCTCCCAGGCTCAAGCGATTCCACTGCCTCAGCCTCCCAAGTAGCTGGGACTACAGGCGCCTGCTACCATGCCCAGCTAATTTTTGTATTTTTAGGAGAGACAGGGTTTCACCATGTTGGCCAGGCTGGTCTCGAACTCCTGACCTCAAGTGTTCCACCTGCCTTGGCCTCCCAAAGTGCTAGGATTACAGGCGTGAGTCACCGCACCCATCCCGAATAGACTTTTGTAGTCCCTTAAGTTAACCTGTATGAAGTTATCCTCTACTGACAACATTCTTTAAAATTTCAAGTCATCAGGATGACCAAACTGAGAACCTCTTTTCCGTTTTTCTTAGATCTCAGGCCCCAATGTTTAGACCGGACACAACTCACCTCCATCCACAGCACCGTCGACTCTTGCATCAGAGACAGCAACAGAATAGAAGGTAAGTACTCATCCGATTCCTTTATGGCTTCTTAATTCAGCTTTTAATTTTAACAGTGTAACAACATGCTATTTAGTTGTTTTGTTTTTTTTAGTAAGTTTACTTCATATCCATAAACCTGGATGTATTATCAACATGTAAATATGAAAAGCATAATATTGAGTAAAGAAGCAAGGAACAGAATTATATGTACCATTTATGTAAAACTAAAAGGCACACGGAATAATACTGTGTAATATTTAAAGACAGACACACAAGTAATAAACGTAGAAAAACATTTCAGGGAGGATACATCCATACCAAGGGCATAATAGTGGTTCCTCTATGAAGGAAGAGAAGCTGGAAACTGGGTCTAGAGGGGTACAACAGGGCCTCTGTCAGTGTAGCACTGTGTTATTTTAATATTACTTTAAAATATTTGAAGCAAATTCAACCAAATACATTTTTTTCTATTGGGTCTTGGTGATGGGTAAATGGATATTTATGATAGTATTTGCTGGGCTTTTTCTCTGCATTTGAAATATTTCGTGATTTTTAATGAGTTAAAACAATTTATGTAGACTTCAGAGCTAAATCGCCTGTGTTAAAATCCCTTAGTCCACCACTAGATGTATGGCTTTGGACAAATTACTTGATCTCTCTTGGCATCGATTTGTTGTCTTAAGTGGGGAAGAGAAAACTACCTACCTCACAGAGTTATTCTAGAGCTTATACAAAAGTCCATAGGTGAATATGCTTAGCATATGGTAAGGTACTCAGGTCTTAGTTTTATTTCTTCATTATTTATTACATAGCTCTTTCCTCTTAAATTCTATTAAGACTTAGTTCTTTTTCACTCCCCTTTTAAGAAAAGCAAACGGGAATCTTTAAAAAAAAAAAAAAAAACTGGCCTGGTTTATTCCTCTGTTGTTAAAAAGCGTAATTAATTTGCCCACATGGAATGAATGTGGTGTATGTTTTTCAGTCAGCATCGGAATCTCAATGGTGCGGGAGATAGAGGAAGTCACCGGAGCAGTCATCAAGATCATCTCCGAAAGGATCCATATGCCAATCTCATGTTGCAGCGGGAAAAGGATTGGGTCTCTAAAATCCAGATGATGCAACTGCAAAGCACTGATCCCTACCTGGATGATTTTTATTACCAGGTAAATACTCTGTGCTAGTTTTGAGGATAATAGTTTGGTCCCCTACACTGGTGAGGGTATTCATTTAAATATTGGTACAATTAAATATTTGTAAAATTTTCTTTTGAGGTACTTAGCATCTTGCACTATTCACTATCAGTATATTTCTAGAGCTGAACTTGTGTTACTGTCACTGGCATAAATTATTTGATGGTAAACAACAGTCGTGTTCTGTGCTTGTGTTACAACTGAAATCATCTTCTCGTGGTAGAATTACTTTGAAAAACTGGAGAAACTGTCAGCTGCTGAAGAAATACAAGGTGATGGCCCTAAGAAGGAGCGCACCAAGCTTATCACCCCTCAGGTGGCCAAACTGGAGCACGCCTATAAGCCAGGTAAGGTCCTCATAAGAAAAATGCCCATAATAAAAGAAATTTGAGAAGCTGCTGATGTGATTAAATATAGACAAGTGTATATGTGGAAGGATATGCAAAGATGTTTCAAAGTGATTTTAAAAGTACCATTGTTCTTAATAAATGCAAAAATCAGCCTTTATTCACGTCTGGACTGAACGCTTTGACATGTGCCTTTTTAGGTCCTTTTCTACTTGAGATTTCATGATTTTTTAAATGTGTTATAATTTTCAGTACCCCTAAAATAAATAAGGGGGAAATACTTCAGATTTTTATTGTGATAATTATTGTAACAGAGAGAAAGGATAGATTTTGATAAGGGGTTGCTTTAAATAATACATTGATTTTTTGTCTTTTTTTTTTTTTTTTTTTTTTTTTTTTGAGAAAGAGCCTTACTCTGTTGTCCAGGCTGGAGTGCATTGGTGCCATCTCAGCTCGCTGCAACCTCCACCTCCTGGGCTCAAGCGATTCTCATGTCTCACCCTCCTGAGTAGCTGGGATTACAGGCGTGTGCCACCACATCCAGCTAATTTTTGTATTTTTAGTAGAGACGGGGTTTCGCTATGTTGGCCAGGCTGGTCTCGGACTCCTGGCCTCAAGTGATCTACCCCCCTCGGCCTCCCAAAGTGCTGAGATAACAGGTGTGAGTTACCACACCCGGCCTAAATGATACATTGAGTTTTGCAGTAAGTTATTAGACTATGAGTAAGGGACAGAGGAAAGTAAAAATCTTCTTTGAACACTGCCTGCCTGCATTGCTGACTTTTTATTTTGTTGGAATTTTTTTTTTTTTTGTCTTTGCAGTGCAATTTGAGGGCTCTTTGGGAAAGCTTACCGTTTCTAGTGTGAATAATCCCCGAAAAATGATTGATGCTGTTGTGACATCTCGGAGTGAGGATGATGTAAGTGTCAACACAATTGTCTGTTTAAGAACGTCTGATTTGTGACCACTTCTTTTGGGGTCACCATGGAATGAGATCAGGCATGGTAGAGTTGTTTGTAGTCTAACCCGGGGCCTCCCACCTCGTCATGCATTCTAGTTTTCCACAGATGTGCTGCAGTATTAACACCTTCATTTCTAAGGCAGCCAGGCAGGGACTAGGGTGGCAGGAGTCTTTGGATTGGGTAGCTCTGGCTGCAAACAGCATGTATTTACTCCAGTTTGATGTTAAAAAAATTATCATTTTCTATGTGTTTTAAGATTTTCAGGAAGAGGATCAGAAAGAATAATTATGGGGCACTAGGCTTAGTACCTGGGTGATGAAAGAATTTGTACAACCCCCATGACATAAGTTTACCTATGTAACAAACACATGTACCCTATAACCTGCACGTGTACCATTGAACCTAAAATTAACGTTTAAGAAAAAAAAAAGATTTTCATATTTCATATGATTTCCTTATCCTCTACTAAGGTTGCCCTTTGCCTATCTGTGAATGGAATTTAATAGTTTGTGGATTGATTCAGTCAACTTTGACCTTTGTTCATACTAGGGTTGTTTTAGATTATTAACTTTCAGAGAATCAATTATCTTCTCAAAGTATTGTCACAAATGAACCTACAAATGCGCACTTGGTAAATTATTTTAACAGAGATAAAGAATTTGCATTGAATAGTCTTCTCTTTTTTAGGAGACAAAAGAAAAACAAGTTCGAGACAAGAGGAGAAAAACCCTTGTTATAATTGAGAAAGTAAGTTTAGAATTTGTTGCTGTAGTTAGTTTCAAATACGGAACTGTCAAATGTATGTATATACTAGAACTGAAACAGTGAGCAATCAGTCAATGTTCTTTGGTTTTAATTCATGAATATATTGCTGGTAAGTGACTATTGTGTACCACATAACTTTGGAAAGGATTATGGTATGTTTCACCTATTGGCATCATGGAAAGAACACTGCAGTTAAAGTTGGAAGTGTATTGGGTTTTTGTCCAAGCTTATTCAGTTAACAGCTGAGTGTCTGGGCAAGTCACCTTTCTAAGCCTGATAAAATGGGAATGAAAATTACATTGTCCTACCTGTGGATTAATTTAGTTCACAGATATTTACTGGGCACTATTCTGGGTGCTGAGGAAAATAATGGATATTAATAGTTGATTTGTAAAATGTAAATACCACATTGTAAGGCCATACACCATAGTGGTTGAAAGTATGGACTCTAGAACCAAGCTGCAAATCATGTCTTTTTCCATTTCTGAGTCTGTAACTTAAGGCAAGTTATTTAACCTTTCTATGCTGTCCTCAGTTTCTTTATCTGTAAAAATGGAGATGATAGTAGTAGTTTTCTCTTTGGATTGCTTTTTTTTTTTTTTTTTTTTCCTTTTGAGATGGAGTTTCACTCTTGTTCCCCAGGCTGGAGTGCAATGGCGAGATCTTGGCTCACTGCAACCTCCGCCTACCGGGTTCAAGTAATTCTCCTGCCTCAGCCACCTGCGTAGCTGGGATTATAGGCATGTGCCACTATGCCTGGCTAATTTTGTATTTTTAGTAGAGATGGGATTTCTCCATGTTGTTCAGGCTGGTCTTGGACTCCCAACCTCACGTGATCCGCCCATCTCAGCCTCCCAAAGTGCTGGGATTACAGGCGTGAGCCACCGCGTCTAGACTATTTTACTGTCTTTGCCTGCTAGAATAGAAGTCAGAGAGAGACAAAGAATGGTGGTTTGAGGAATTTTTTAAGTTATTTCATATGGTTTTCTACATTAAAAAAAAAAAAATCTCAGTCTTTCTATAATGAGTTTGTCTTTAGCTAGTAGTCCTAAACTGTGAAATTGTTTAACTAATACTGTGGTTCTGACCTAGCATGCTGTGGCCTGCTTTTGTCTCCCTTCTTAGACCTACAGCTTACTCCTTGATGTGGAGGACTATGAAAGACGTTATCTCCTAAGTCTGGAAGAAGAGCGACCTGCCCTAATGGATGACAGAAAGCACAAAATTTGTAGCATGTATGACAACTTAAGGGGGAAATTGCCTGGACAAGAGAGGTAAGCATCGTGCAGTTTGAGGAAAACATTAACTGGACTCCTTCCTCTGTCATAACTGGATTTCATACATTTTTGCCTTTTAGGTACACTTCCCTACCATCTCTGTAAGCTCAGAATCTATCCTTTTAGCCTAACTCAAATGCCACTTCATTTAAAATACGAATTATCTTTTCCAGTGAGGAAAGAAAAAAAAAGTCTTTATCCTGAATTTATTCATTCAACAAATACATAGTATCTGCTGGGGACAGTGCTAGGCACTAGAGATATAGTGGGTAACGTTATTGGGTTTTTGTGCTTACAGATTGCACCTGATTTATGATTACTAGCATGTTTAACCTTGTAATCTTTATATATTTCCTTTATTACTAAGATCAGATGTACAAACATTTATACTTCCTGGGATTTCCACAAAATATTTATATCCTATCGAAACCCTTCAGTCTTCCAATGGGGAATCCCTCACCTACCCCATTATCTGCAAAAGAATCTTGCTGATGTTAAATGTTCTGTAAATCCTGAATACTTATTCGATGTATTCAAGAGAACTACAACTTCTAACAACTCCCTTTCTTTTTACCCGTTCAAGAGAATTACTTATCCTTCTAAGCCAGGACATACACAAAACCAAACATAAGAATAAGCACTTTGTTTTCAACACACCGTGTCTGGAGTTAGGCTGACAGGGAACTGGTTAAATAAATGGTTTATCCATAGATTGGATGTTATGCAGCCATTAAAATGTATGTAGTTGAAATATATTTATTGACATGGAAATAAGTTGTTGAGTGAAAAAAGTCAAGGTACAAAACCATATGAATTATATGGGCCCATTTTTTTATGAAAGAAAAAATATATAATACAAAGCAAAATGTTGTTTAAAATGGTAACACTAATTAACTCTGAGTTGACGAATGTTTTTATTTTCTTTTTTCTTTTTTTTTTTTTTAAGCTGTTGCTGTTAACCATATGGTATTTGTGTGGTTACTTAAAAGTTAAGAGAGGAGGCCAAGCACTTTGGGAGGCTGAGGTGGGCAGATCACTTGAGGTCAAGAGTTCAGAGACCAACCTGGCCAACATGGTGAAACCCTGTCTCTAGAAAAATATAAAAATCAGCTGGTCATGGTGGCGGGCATCTATAATCCCGGCTGCTCAGGAGACTGAGGCAGGAGAATCACTTGAACCCAGGAGGTGGAGGCTGCAATGAACCAAGATAGCGCCACTGCACTCCAGCCTGGGTAACAAAGCGGGACTTCGTCTCAAAAAAAAAAAAAAAAAAGAAAAAAAGTTAAGGAAATTAGTGCATACAGTTGGCCAAGTTTTTTTTAACCATATAATTTGTGAAATGATTATTTTCTACATTTGTAAGACCTGAAAATTTACTTTTTATTTGGTTGAGATTTGGAGAAGTGATTCCTACTGTTTTATAGTACAGGTTATTAGAGAATGAAAATGAATGCAGTATATTCATTCAGTAACATCTAAGAGGAAAAAAATGAGGGTTTCTTAATTGTTCTTGCTGACCTAAGCTGGCATTTTTCTTCCTTGCAGGCCTAGTGATGACCACTTTGTACAGATCATGTGTATCCGAAAAGGGAAGAGAATGGTTGCCCGTATTCTTCCTTTCCTCTCCACAGAGCAAGCAGCTGACATTCTCATGACAACAGCCAGGAACCTCCCTTTCCTTATCAAGAAGGATGCACAAGATGAGGTGACTATGCAAGATGGGACATCTTTCTTTTGAGTCTTTATAAGTGATAAGATTTCTAGAATGCAAACTTATTTTCCTCTCCTCTTCCCTTTTGTATTTTTGTCTAATCTTTGGCTGTGTGATTTGATTATTTAAAACAAAACCTTTAGTATTTCAGGCCTATATTTTTAATCCCATATTTGATGGAACAGACTATGTTTCTAAACATGAGAAAAACAACAATTCCCTCTTACTTGACATAGTTGTAAAGATGTGGTCTGTATCAGAATTACTTGCGTAGATAATTCAACTCCACCCCAAACTGCTGAATCAGAATTTACAGAAGGATTAGGGTTTTTGTATCTTAGTCTCCAGCTGAATCTGATGTTCACTGAAGTTTGAAAACTTATAGTCTTGGTTATTTTGCTAGATATGAAGTATCATTCATTGTTCTGTTATCAGTAGCTTAACATTAGCCTGTAGACTTAGTTAAATGGTATCCCACAGCAACTGAGCTAGTCCCCTTTTGGTTTTTTTTTTTTTTTTTTTTTTGAGACAGAGTTTTGCTCTGTCACACAGGCAGTAGGGCAATGGTGTGATCTCGGCTCACTGCAGCCTCCACATCCCAGGCTCAGGTGATTCTGCCACCTCAGCCTCCTGAGTAGCTGGGACTACAGGCATGCGACACCATGCTCGGCTAATTTTTTTTTTACCTTTTGTAGAGACAGGGTTTTGCCACATTGCCCAGGCTGGTCTCAAACTCCTAGACTCGTGCAGTCCTCTTGCCTTGGCCTCCCAAAGTGCTGGGATTACAGGCTTGAGCTACTGTGTCCAGCCCGAGCCAGCCCTTTAAATAATTTTTATCATGATCTAGACTAGGCTGGAATTTTAACATGGTTATCACATGTACAAGTTAATTCTTGGTTAGAGTTTTTCTCTCCTTATCCTTGTCATAGCACACCTGAAAGATGAGCAAAATTTAGAATAGTCTTAAGAAGTTCAAAATAAGAAACTGATAAAAGTGGGACAAAGGATGAATATTAGTACAAGATTCAGAATAGTAGAATATATGGGAGTGAACCTGTTATAGACTACAAGTTGAGTAATAACGATCTAAGTAATGAGTCCCCAGAAAACACAGAATACCTTATAAATGGTATGCTATGAAAGGGAAATTATTCTTTCATAGATCCTTGAAATGTTAGCATCTGCAGAAGAAATGAATGAGAAGTTTAGGTCTCATTGAAAAAAGTGAAGTGGGTTGGGACAAGTATATATTTAAAAGATTTGGCTGGGCACAGTGGCTTACGCCTATAATCCCAACACTTTGGGAGGCTGAGGCAAGTGGATCGCTTGAGGCCAAGAGTTCAAGACCATCCTGGGCAACATGGTGAAAAACTGTCCCTACTAAAAATAGAGAAAAAAAAGAAAAAAATGAGCTGGACACAGTAGTATATGCCTGTGGTCCCAGCTACTCAAAAAAAAAAAAAAAAAAATTCCACAAATGAAAAATGAGTTAGGGAAAAGTTCCAGTATTTGAGGTTTATCCTAGAAAATAGAAGACCAGACTAAAAAAGTAACAGCTACCTTAGAGCATATAATTTGTAAGCAGTGTAATGGGCACTCATAATCCCACCAGAGCTCTTGTGTGGAAACAAGTTTGGGAGATAATTTGCTGAATACTTCTATGTGCCAGGCATTATTTTACCTCCTAGAAATACAACACCTAGTTCTAGGTGCTAAAAGATAAGAATGCAAAAATGCCTGCTTTCATGGAGCTTACCTGCTAGGAGGAAAGCTTGGCTAAATACCTAGGCTGATTTTTACCTGTATGTTTTAAGGAGTAATAAACCACATCTCTAAATACCATTTTCTTGAAGTAATAGCTGGTTCTAGGTCTGAATCATGAAATGTACAAGATATCCTGGAATATCTAGTGCCAGAAAGCAAGGAAGTTAATAGATTACTAGAGTCCTGTCTAAAGGATACACAAACCAACTTCAAGAGACTCATACTGGCCAAAAGTGGAATAATTTTCATCAGAAAGAACAGTTACAGCAGTAGATTGAAATATATCAAATATATTTAATGAGGTAATAGTGTTAAACATATATTGATCACCTTTGGAGACTACTAGGCCATCAACCCACTATTCAGAAAATTGGTAAATAAAGGAAAAGCATTTATCCTACCTTTCCATTACAACCAAATGTCATGGTAATCAGAGAGTTGATAATACAAAGTTCTTTGTAGAAGAATTTTAGCTAATAAATACAAAAGAAATGATAAAATTAGAAAATAACTGTTTTTGCAAGCCTCAACAGAGAAGCAGTCAATCTAGACAGCACTCATTACTGGCTGCTAAAAGCAGTAGGTAAAAAGTGGATGGGGGGGGAAGTGAGGGGCACCTCTGCCTGGCCGCCCCTACTGGGAAGTGAGGAGCCCCTCTGCCCTGCCACCACCCCGTCTGGGAGGTGTACCCAACAGCTCATTGAGAACGGGCCATGATGACAATGGCGGTTTTGTGGAATAGAAAGGGGGGAAAGGTGGGGAAAAGATTGAGAAATCGGATGGTTGCCGTGTCTGTGTAGAAAGAGGTAGACATGGGAGACTTTTCATTTTGTTCTGTACTAAGAAAAATTCTTCTGCCTTGGGATCCTGTTGATCTGTGACCTTACCCCCAACCCTGTGCTCTCTGAAACATGTGCTGTATCCACTCAGGGTTGAATGGATTAAAAAAAAAAAAAAAAGTGGATGGGGAACTTTACAGTGGTTGGAGCAGCCTGGCAACACCTGAACCCATTAATGAACTCTTAACACCTCTAAGAGTGGGACAACCAAGCACTGTGCTTTTTTTTTTTTTTTAAAAAAAAAAAAAAAAAAAGGAAACGAAGTCTCCCTATGTTGTCCAGGCTTGTCTCGAGCTCCTGGGCTCAAGCAGTTTTCCCATCTCTGCTTCCTAAAATGCAGGGATTACAGGCATGAGCCACCATACCTAGCTCTTCTTGGCATAATGCAATGGAAAATACACAGTTCTATCCATGACGTTTTCTCACATGTCCCTCCCACATCCTACTGAACCTGAATCAAATAAACCTGTTATTCTAACTATCTGTTTAGGAGGGAAACAGAGGATAGCAGAACCTGCTAAGTGACACTGCCAACATGCAGTTTGCCAAATTCAAACTATAGAACAAATGACCCAGTTTCTTTAACAGATAAATAACAAGAGAAAAGGGCCAGTGGCAGAAGACCTGTTAGAGAGATTTTAAAAACCTTACCAGGCAAATGCAATGTGTGGATCTTGTTTGAACCATAATTAGCACAATAATGGTTCTAATACAAAGTTCAGCTGCTAAAAGATATTTTTAAAGGCATTTGAGGGAATTTGAATTTGAAACAGATACTAGATGATATTTTAAAATTCTTTCCTGAGAAATGGTCTATGAAGAAAAATTATTGTTTATTTTGTTAGGTATGATATTGTGAGAGATTTTGTTAGAAATACAAACTGATGTATTTTGGGATGAAATGATATGATACAGAAGGAACATAGATTTAATAAGATTGGCAAAATGTTGATAATTTGGTTGATGTTGAAATTGGGTGGTGAGTACATGAATGTCATTATGCTGTTGTTTGTATTTTCATGTATGTTCTAAAATGACCATAATAAAAGCTTTTTTAATTTATAGTAGACCACAAAAAATATTTTATTCCCCATTTGCAGTTGCCATTTAAAGTAAAACCAGCCATCACTTTATACCATGTGCATTGATTGTCTGGAAGCACTCTTGATTTCCTTTGTTGTGTTATAACCTAGTTATTTATATTAATAGTTCTTTATTTTAACTTTCCAGTTGGCTACATGACAAAAAGAAATAAATGACTAGAAGGCTGGAATTCAACAGCCTTGGGTTCTGGCTCTAGCTGTGGCTATGTAACTCCAAACACTGAGTTTCTGATCACTTTATAGATTCTCTAAAAATCTATAAAAATTGGCTAATTATTTCTTTTCTTCCTCATTGAGCTTTTATAAAAATAAAAGAAAATACATTAAATCTGAAAACACTTCTTTTGAGACAGGGTGGGTCTCACCCTGTCACCCAAGCCGGAATGTGGTTGTGCAATCATAGTTCAATGTAACCTTGAACTCTTAGACTCAAGCAAACCTACCACCTCAGCCTATTGAGTAGCTGGGGACTACAGGTGAAACTTTTTTATTTGTTGTAGAGATGAGGTCTCACTACGTTGTCCAGACTAGTCTTGAACTCCTGGCCTGAAGTGATCTTCTGCTTGGCCTTTAACCTATCTTGGAGTGCTTCTCACAGTATATTGAAATGGCCAATTAACCCATATCTTCTCCGCTATACTTTAGATCCCTGAGGTTCTGTGTCCTTTTGCCATTTGTTTTTAGCCCATGGTGTAGTGTAAGCATTTAAATATTTATGGAATTAGTTAAAATATTGATGTTTTAGCATAACTCTTGGTATGTATTTGGGAGTGATTTTTTTTTACACCTTTGGTTCACACAAGTCATGGTGTTTCCAATGCAAATTGAGATGAAAAAGTTCTCAGTAGATAGCTTAGAATTCATTATTAAGACTCTAGTCATATCTGCCAGACTTGTGCCTTAAGTGGTTGAATATACAAATGAACATCCTTCCATCCATGCCCCTGGTGGGGGGTAACTGAAGTAACACGTGCCAGGATATAATGCTTTTATTTGTTTTTTGTAGGTGCTGCCATGCTTACTGAGTCCCTTCTCTCTCCTTCTCTATCATCTTCCATCAGTGAGTATCACCAGCCTTTTGCGACAGCTAATGAACCTACCTCAAAGTGCAGCTACACCAGCACTCTCCAATCCTCACCTCACTGCTGTGCTCCAGAACAAGGTGATCTTGCCCTTTTAACTCCTTGAACTTTGTGAAATGTCTTAATTTGCGTTATAGATTAAAATAATGGCTGCTGTATCTCTAGCAACTTGGGAAAAAGGCTTCTTTCAGTCAAGAGTTACATTAAGCTCCTAGTAACCGGCTAGAAATAACAGTGTTTTCAACAAAATGGGATTTTATGTGTCTAGTGTGAAATAAATTTGATTTAGTAGCTCGACAGAGTCATCAGGGATCCAGGCTTTTTCACTTTTTTTCCTCTGCCATTCTTACCAGTGGCTTCCATGTTCATTATTCCTCATGGTCCAAGATGGCTGTGGAATTCATGATTCAGCTTTACATCAAGAAGGACAGGTGGATGTGGAGGGCAAAAAGATGTGGACCAGCTGTCCATCTTCCTTATTGAGACCTTTTCCAGGAGTTCTAACCAGAAACTTCTACTTACTGTTAATAGCCAGGACATTGTCACATGGCCACACCTAAGTGCAGGGAAGGCTGGAAAATATCTTTTAGTTTATGCCATTGTCATGACACATAAGAGTTCTGATAATGGGTAGGAAGGCATATTAGGCAATTAGCAGTCTCTGTCATAACACTATGAATAGTAGAATCATCCATTTCATATTTTATTTGCATCAAGTTTAAAGATTCAGAGATTCCTAGGGGAAACATAATATGAAATAAAGAATATGAATTTTTAGTCCTTCCCTGCTACTGTCTAGCTTTGTGACCTTGGACAGATGATATCACATTGCTGAATCAGTTTCCTGGTCTATAAGATGGAGGTGATGATGTAGACTTCATAGAGTTGTCCTGGTACTTAAATGAGATAACAGTTGTAAGTGGTTCGATATAATGCCTGGTACATAGTAGTTACTCATTAAGGGCCATTCTATGTACAGTAGAGATGAAAAAGTGGTCTCAAGGCCTCTTGCTCCTTTGCACCAGAAAACCTACCAAAGCATGACTCTAAAGGTCAGTGTATCAGAGGAAGAAGAGGTGACAGTGCCTCTGGGGTTCTGGAGTGATCCGGAATGTGCCTTTCTGTTATTTGGTCTCTTAGTTTTAATTTTAGTAAAGGCAGTAGTATTTTTTTTCTGAGAATAACATGAAAAGGGATTTTTTTTTTTTAAATCAGGGTCTTCTCTGTCACCCAGGCCAGAGTGCAGTGGCAAGATCTCGGCTCACTGCAACCTCTGCCTCCTGGGCTCAAGCCATCCTCCCACCTCAGCCTCCCAAGTAGATGGGACTACAGGCACATGCCACCACGCACAACTAATTTGTGTATTTTTTGTAGAGGTGGGGTTTCGCCATGTTGTCCAGGCTGGTCTCAAACTCCTGAGCTCAAGCTATCAGCCTGCCTCGACCTCCCAAAGTGTTGGGATTACAGGTGTGAGCTACTGCAACCGGCCATGAAGGGAAATTTTGTGGAAAAGTGAGTGAGTCTAGAAAGTTGGAATGGAATCCCAAAGTACTGCCAGCCTTCCTTTTATGATCCATTTATAGGTATGAGTCATACATTTAACCTAAACCTTCTTGTCCCTATTTGTATTTTCTTTTTTGAGACAGGATCTCACTCTGTCACCCAGGCTTCAGTGCAGTGGCACAGTCACAGCTCATTGCAGCCTCAACTTTCTGTACTCAAAGCGATCCTCCCACCTCAGCCTCTTGAGTAGCATGTGCCACCATGCCTGATTGACTTTTTTTTTTTTGAGACAGAGCCTTGCTCTGTCACTCATGCTGCAGTGCAATGGCGATATCTTGTCTCACTGCAACCCCTGCCTCCCAGGTTCAAGCAGTTCTCCTGCGTCAGCCCCCAAGTAGCTGGGATTACAGGTGCCCGCCACCATACCAGGCTAATGTTTGTGTTTTTAGCAGAGACAGGGTTTTGCCATGTTGGCCAGGCTGGTCCGGGGCTCCTGACCTCACGTGATCCACCTGCCTCAGCCTCCCAAAGTGCTGGGATTACAGGTGTGAGCCACCACACCCAGCCTCCGATTGATTTTTATATTTTTTGCAGAAACAGGGTCTCACTATGTTGCTCTGGCTGGTCTCGAACTCCTGGACTCAAGCAGTACTGCCTCCACCTCCCAAAGTGCTGGAATTACAGGCATGAGCCACCATGCCCATCCCCAGCCCCCTGTTCATTTTTTTTTTTCTTTTGAGATAGAGTCTTGCTCTGTCACCCAGGCTGGAGTGCAGTGGCGCGATCGCAGCTCACTGCAAGCTCCGCCTCCTGGGTTCAAGCCATTCTCCTGCCTCAGCCTCCCGAGTAGCTGGGACTACAGGCACCCGCCACCACGCCTGGCTAATTTTTTGTATTTTTTAGTAGAGGCAGGGTTTCACCGTGTTAGCCAGGATGATCTCGATCTCCTGACCTCTTGATCCACCCGCCTTGGCCTCCCAAAGTGCTGGGATTACATGCATGAGCCACCACGCCCGTCCCATATTTTAATCCTATGCCCCAAAGACTACATTTCCTGATTTTACTGTCCACTAAATAAAACACATTTTTATATGTTACTTTTTTTTTTTTTTTTGGAGATGGAGTTTCACTCGTGTTGCCCAGGCTGGAGCGCAATGGTGCGATCTTGGCTCACTGCAACCTCCAGCTCCCGGGTTCCAACAATTCTCCTGCCTCAGCCTCCCAAGTAGCTGGGATTACAGGCATGTGCCACCGTGCCTGGCTAATTTTCTATTTTTAGTAGAGACGGAGTTTCACCATTTTGATCAGGCTGGTCTCAAACTCCTGACCTCAGGTCATCCACCCACCTTGGCCTCCCATAGTGCTGGGATTACAGGCATGAGCCACCACACCTGACCATTTTTATATATTGCATACTCTAAAGCATGTTGCTGAATTTTAATTATAGATACGGTGTATACATCTGTTTACCCTTTCTCTCTTTTTATTTTTTAGATTTTTATTAACATTCTGTCTAAGACTTTGTATTTCCAGATAGAGATGTGCTTTTTAATGGAAAGTTTCTCTTTATACCATGTTTATTTCAGTTGTGTTTATTTGTATATTTTCCTACAGTTTACACCTTGTTTCTTAATTCAAAATATCTTACTGTAATGCTTTTTTCTTATTTTTTCCTGATTTTTAATTTCTGTACCAAAATTGGTCTTCATTTACTTTCTTTTTTAGCCTATTTCTGTTCTCATAAATAGGAGAAAAGTCAAATTCTACATTATCCATGGCAAGGAAAAACCATCTTTTAACCTCAGCATGGGGAACAGAGAGGCGTGTTGGACACCATGACTTTCCGTTTCTGTTGGCTGCGCCTGGTCACTGCTATGGCAGAATAAAGCCTGGAGAGAGACATAGCCTTTCAACTCATGCTTGTCTGATCTTTACCTGGTTTTACAGAAAAGCACAGTAGTGAGGTTATTTTGATTTAGAGCTGTTCCCCATCTGATGCCAGGATCCCTTCAACAGTGGTGGAGGAGGTTTAGACACAGTGTTGAGTTTGATTCCCTCTGTCTTTTCTCGTAGTTTGGCCTGTCACTGCTCCTCATCCTCCTGAGCCGTGGTGAAGACCTACAGAGTTCAGACCCTGCTACAGAATCAACACAAAATAATCAGTGGTCAGTGTGGACTGTTTCTTCTCTTATTTTAAGTTCTTTGAGGTAATCTTTTAAATTTTTTTCTCCTGATATTATTATGGGTCTTCCCTGTCAGGACGGAGGTGATGTTCATGGCAACACGAGAACTTCTGCGGATTCCCCAAGCAGCCCTGGCCAAGCCAATCTCTATACCTACAAACCTAGTGTCCCTCTTTTCTCGCTATGTTGACCGGCAGAAACTGAACTTGCTGGAGACAAAACTGCAGTAAGTTTGAAACAGGAGAGTTTCACATCTCACTAAAGTTGGGACTTTAGAAGTTATGGTTGGGAGGCTGGGTACGGTGGCTCACACCTGTAATCCCAGCATTTTAGGACACCCAGGAGGGTGGATCACTTGAGGCCAGGAGTTCCAGACCAGCCTGACCAAAATGGTGAAACCCTGTCTCTACTAAAAAAATACGAAAATTAGCCAAGTGCGGTGGTGCATGCCTGTAATCCCAGCTATTCGGTAGGCTGAGGTATGAAAATCATTTAAACCCGGGAGACAGAGATTGCAGTGAGCTGAGATCACGCCACTGCACTCCAGCCTGGGTGACAGAGCAAGACCCTGTCTCAAAAAAAATAAATAAAAAGAAGTTATGATTGGGGTGGAGGGGGGAATAAAACTGAATTTGGTGGAAGAGATTGACTTTTTATTAACTATTTGTGTATCTGTTAGATATAAAACACTGAACTGGGTACAACAGGGCCTTCATAAAAGATGACCAAATGCTAAGGGTAGAGAAATAATCTCGGGTATTTTGTTATGAGAAGTCTTACAAAGATGTAACTGTAATATGAAAGATTGCCTTCTGTTTTAACTCATTTATACAATTTTCCTTTCTCTCCTTTGTACTCCTAGGCTAGTTCAGGGGATACGATAAAAGATCTCCAAATGTGTCCTGTACCTCCTTTTGGCTGCCACCTGCACTGCTGCCATCACCAATGGAGTGTTTTTAATGAGGGAAGGAAGGTAGCTTTTTCCCCAAAGCAAAGTCTTGTGGGATCGATTCCTGTTTACAGGGGTTGTCTCTCTAAATGTCAGATATTTCCCCACTGCTCTATGAAATTTGGCTGGGTGATACTTCTGCTGGTTTCTTTACCTTCTGTGTTACAGTTCTGCATGTCCTACTTTTACTCAGTTCTGTTTTGCATTTTCTTTGCCCTAGAGACACAAGTGTAATCTCTCCCTTTATCCCTCCACTACTCCACCTCAGAGTAGATTGTAGCCTGCCAAAGGATTCCTTCCCTCATCCTATTGAAGTTGTTTTTTCATTGCCCCATATTAATATGACTATAGAAGAGCCAATTAAGTAGAAATCAAGATATACACACACACATAGATACACACACACACACCCCATACATGTATTTATGTGGTCTTCAGAGGGTCCTTAAAGAATGAATTTTAGATTGAAAAATATTTAGTTGTCTCATTACCTCTTCTAAACACAAACCAGCTGATGTATTTTAATCTGTTTCTGTTCTATCTTGTAATTAATTTGGTGGGTTCTACTTGTTTTAACATAAATAAAGAGTATGCAGCACGTTTAATAAAATCAGAACTCTTAATTGGCTTATGCCCAGGTCTAGGCTGAGAAGTCCTTTTTCTTCTTCCCACCTTTATTTCCTTAGTTTCTGTCCACCTTAATCGAAACAACACATGGTTATGTCTTTTTCCTGCTACAACTACAGGGTACTTGAGCCTTTCCCCTCAAGTGCATTCGAAGTCACCCAGGATGATCCTCACTAGTAGCCTGCTTTGGCAGTGTGGCTTTTTGCACACTTGCCCTGTCTTCCTGAGACTACTTCAGTAAGCCATGCTTCCTTCTTCCCCACTTTTATTTGGTGTCATGAATAGAAACTTCCAAATGTAACCATGGAAGCTAAGTTTGGCCTGCTTTGCTTTTTAGTCTCCACACCATGGGCAGAACTGCTGTCTTTACTACTTCATCTCACCCAAGTCCCGTTCCCAGGCAGCCAGGGGCCTGGGTTTGAATAATTGCAGGGCCAGCCTGCCATGATCTTTCTCACTTACTCCTCTCCCATTCAGCAATCAACCAGACTAAGGAGTTTTGATCCCTAGTGATTACAGCCCTGAAGAAAATTAAATCTGAATTAATTTTACATGGCCTTCGTGATCTTTCTGCTGTTCTTACTTTTTCGAATGTAGTTGGGGGGTGGGAGGGACAGGTTATGGTATTTAAAGAGAATAAACATTTTGCACATACATGTATTGTACAACAGTAAGATCCTCTGTTAAAACCAGCTGTCCTGTTCTCCATCTCCATTTCTTCCCATGCTGTAACCCCAGGCTCCACCAGCTGTTCCCCAGTGATGTTACCTAGCTTCCCTCTACCGTTGTCTACTGACCATTTCCACTACATGCCTTTCCTACCTTCCCTTCACAACCAATCAAGTGAATACTTGATTATTATCTCTTCCTTACTGTGCTTTATCTTTTTTGTTTGGATTGGTTCTAATTAATGAAAATAAAAGTTTCTAAATTTACATTTTTATAGGGTATTGTAAATAAAAACAAATTGTATACTTAAAAATGAGTGCCTGCATTTCTACTTTGTTACCTCTGAATATGATTTTTATGTTTCTAGCATATTTAGATAGACTGTCAACTTCTTGATGTAGGGGATTAAAGATATTATTACCTATATTTTTACCTTTTTAATTTTGTTGCAAAGAAGACAAATATTTTTATATAATAACTTGTCTTTAAAAATCTAAGATGCTTTCAGTTTCTCCTCCCCCCATTTTAACTGTACGACAAAATTATAAATTGTAGTAGATAAACTGTAGTTTGTCTTCTCCATCCTGCCCATCTCTAGGCATTGAGGAATCTGTCCCCCTTTAAGAGACTCATGTAGCCCAATGAGGCATTCAGCTGCCTTCATGGATAGTATTTACTTAGTTCTGAGCATATTGTATTTCAAAACTCATCTCTTCAAAGGAGATGGGAAAAGGTTGGTCATTCTTTATAGTGAATTTATTTTTATTATTTCAGACTTGAGTATCATTTTTACTCTAAAATGCTCAAGATAAAAGATTCAGCAAACACATAGAAAGGGGCAAAAAAAAGTGGGGTTTTGTTTTCAAGACAGGGCCTGTGTCACTCAGGCTGGAGTGTAGTGGCACAGTAGCACAATCACCACTCACTGCAGCCTCGATCTCCCAGGCTCAAGTGATCCACCTCAGCCTCCCGAGTAACTGGGACTACAGGTGTGCACCACCACACCTGGGTAATTTTTATACTTTTTGTAGAGTCGGGATCTCCCTATGTTGCCCAGGCTGGTCTTGAACTCCCAGGCTCAAGTGATCTTCCCACCTTGGCCCCCCAAAATGCTGGGAGTACAGGTGTGAATCACTGCACTCAGCCTGAAGGTTTTCTTCTTTTTCTGAGATGAGTTTCTCTGTCACCCAGGTTACAGTGCAGTGACACAATCATGGCTCACTGCAGCCTCTACCTCCCAGGCTCAAGCAGTTCTCCCACCTCAGCCTCCCAAGTAGCTGGGAATACTACAGGCGGGTGCCATCATGCCCAGCTAAATTTTTTGATTTTTAGTAGAGATGAGGTCTCGCTACATTGCCCAGGCTGGGCTCAAACCCCTGGCTCAAGGGATTCTTCTGCCTTGGCCTCCCAAAGTGCTGGATTACAGGAGTGAGCCTCCAAAGTTTTAAATGATAAAGAGACAGGAGATAATTTAACATTATTAGGTGCCTACCTACATAAAGCTTATTTTTTTTCCTGATGAGGAGATGGGTTCCTTGAGGTTCAGTAGCTTGTGGAGGTGACGCAGGTAATGGGCAGCAGAGCAGGAGGCTCATACAGCATATTATCGCTGTAAGGAAATAAAATTATCTTCCAGTAAAAGATTTATTCACACCTCTTAACATGAAACACTACAGGTGTTATTAGATAGCCCTGCTTTGTTAGAGTGGACTGGCCCAAGGATGCCCCTACTTTTCACGGAAGACAAGATTCTAAATGTCAGACATGAAGAAATCCCTAGAGATCATGTAGTCCAGTCCTCACAATTTGAGGAAGCCAAATCTCTGAGAGTGCAGTGACTTGCCCGAGGTGCCACAGCTGGCTAGTAGTAAAGCCAAGAAAAAAACTCATATGTGAGGCCAGGTGCGGTGGCTCATGCCTGTAATCCCAGCACTTTGGGAGGCTGAGGCAGGCAGATCACCTGAAGTCAGGAGTTTGAGACCACCCTGGGCAACATGGTGAAAACCCATCTCTACTAAAAGTACAAAATTAGCCGGGCATAGTAGCACATGCCTGTAATCCTAGCTACTTGGGAGGCTGAGGCAGGAGAATCACTTGAACCCGGGAGGTAGAGGTTGCAATGAGCTGAGATTGCGCCACTGCACTCCAGCCTGGGGAACAAGAGCAAAACTCCGTCTCAGTCTCAAAAAAAAGAAAAGAAAAATTTGTACATGGGATTTTACTATGTTGCCCAGGCTGGTCTTGAACTACTACTGGGTTCAAGTGATTCTCCCGACTTGGCTTCCCAAAGTGTTGGGATTACAGGCATGAGCCACTGTGCCTGGTCACAAATGACTTAAAAGTCATCAGCCACTATACCTGGCCCTGGGCAACATAATAAAATCCCATGTACAATTTTTTTATTATTATTTCTTAAAAAGTAATTTGTAAACCTCAGAGTAACTAATGAGGACAATGTTAACTTCAAAAAAAATTAAGTGATGCACTAAAATAATTTACAAGAATATGGCACAGAGTTGAAAACTGATACTAATGCATGTAATGTCCTATGTAAGAAAAAGAAGAACCTGATAAATAATACATAGGTAATAAACTCTAATGGGTAATAGGTACAGCCTTGTGAATAAACGTTCACAAAATAAAGTGCAAGTGAATAATATTAAGAACCTCACCCCGACTGGTAATCAGAGAAGTAAAAAGTAAATGTTTTTATCCTACCAAATTAATAAAAACTTTAAAAATAATGTTAGTGAGAATTTGGGGCTGCCACTCACTGGTGGGGGTAAATGTCTACGTTTCTGGAAAGTGCTTTCACAGTGTGGAGCACTTCAAAGTATTCTTAGCCTTTGAACAATTACTTTGGCTTTAGAAATCTAAGAAAATATAACAAAGCAATGGTACTTACCACAGCTTTCCTTATTTTTATTTTTTGAAGACAAGATCTTGCTCTGTTGCCCAGGCTTTAGTGCAGTGGTGCAATCATAGCTCACTGCAGCCTTGAACTCCTGGCCTCAAGCAATCCTCCCACCTCAGCCTCACGAGTAGCTGGGACTACAGACACATGCCACCTTGCCCAGCTAATTATTTTATTTTTTGTAGAGATAGGGTCTTGCTCTGTTACCCAGGCTGGTCTCAAACTTGCCTTGGCCTCCCAAATGATTCATTAGAGGCATGAGCCATTTCACCCAGTCAGCTTTACTTAATAGAAAAATTAGAAATAATCTAAATGTTCAATATTACAATAATGGCTAAGTAAACAATGATCCATGTGTTGTGGATAATTAGGCAGAATATTGCGCTAGGTGCAGTTGCTCATGCTTGTAATCCCAGCACTTTGGGAGGGAAGACTTTGTAAGACTTTGTCTCTGCAAAAAAATTTAAAAATAAGCCAGGCATGGTGGCATGTGCCTGTACTCTCAGCTAACTCAGGAGGCTGAGGCAGGATTGCCTGAGCCTAGGAGTTCGAGGCTATAATGAGATTCAGCCTGGGAGACAGAGCAAGACCCTGTCTAGAAAAATTTAAAAAGGCAGAATATTTAATCATGGAAAATATTTTATATAGTATGGGGAAAAAACATACATGCTTTGAATCCAATTTTTAAGAAAATGCATGTATGAAGAAAATATTGGAAAGATATGTTTCTAAAGATTACTGGTATCTGTAGGTGATGGGATTATGGAGAACTTTCTTTTCCTTTTGGCTTTTCAATAATTTTCAAATTTTCTATAGAGAAAATGTATTGCTTATGTTCTTAGAAGAAAAAATATTTTTCAAGAAAAAGTTGTTTTTGAAGAATTTAGTTACATAGGAAAATGTAAGAATATAATGCTAAGTAAAAAATAGGTTCTGTATATGTACATGACAATCTGTGGAGTAAAAAATATATGGGAGGCTAGGCATGGTGGCTCACGCCTGCAATCCTAGCACTTTGGGAAGCCAAGGCAGGCAGATCACATGAGATCAGGAGTTCGAGACCAGCCTAGCCAATATGGCAAAACCTCGCCTCTACTAAAAATACAAAAATTAGCTGGGCGTGGTGGTGCGCACCTTTAATCTCAGCTACTAGGGAGGCTGAGGCTGGATAATTGCTTGAACCCAGGAGGTGGAGGTTGCAGTGAGCCAAGATTGTGCCACTGACCTCCAGCTTGGGCAACAGAGTGATACCCCGTCTCAAAATACATATATAGACAGATACAGATATAGATATTTTACATATATATGTCTAGATATATATATAGATATATATATAGATATATATAGATATATATATAGATATATATCTATATATATGATATATAGATATATATAGATATATATAGATATATATATATAGATATATATATAGATATATATAGATATATATATATAGATATATATAGATATATATAGATATATATATAGATATATATAGATATATATATAGATATATATATATAGATATATATGTAGGCAAGAAGAGTGAAATCAAAAATGACCAAATAGTGGTTGCCTTTAAGGGAAAGGGCTGTGGAGGATTTTGTGTTTAGGTGATTGTTCCTGCTTTTTCATATTTTCCCAATTTGTCTTCAATCAGCGTGTATTATAACCTTAAAAGGGGGATATTATCTTAAAGCTGCTAAACATAGTAGTTATTTCTAGTGAAAAAATAAGTCCTAACTTTTTAATGATCACCATTCTGACTGGCGTGAGATGGTATCTCATTGTAATTTTGATTCGCATTTATCTAATGACCAGTGATGAGCAGTTTTTGTTTTTTGTTTTTGTTTTTTTTAGACAGAGTTTCACTCTTGTTGCCTAGGCTGGAGTGCGATGCATAATCTCAGCTCACCACAACCTCCACCCCCTGGGTTCAAGCGATTCTCCTGCCCCAGCCTCCTGAGGCATGCGCCACCATGCCCAACTAATTTTGTATTTTTAGTATAGACGGGGTTTCGCCATGTTGGCCAGGATGTTCTCGATTTCCTGACCTTGTGATCTGCCCGCCTCAGCCTCCCAAAGTGCTGGGATTACAGGCCTGAGCCACCGCACCTGACCTCTGCTATGAACATTTAAGGTGATATACCAAGTGTGGGATCAAAGAACCACTTTAACAAATCCCAAATACAGCTTCCACATTTACACTAAATTGCATTTTTTCCAAACTGTGGCTGTTAAATTGCCCAAGTTGCCCTGCTAAACATTAGGAAGGACAAGACATGACTTTCTGAACTTTTTATTTTTTTTAAGACAGAATCTCACCCTGTCGCTCAAGCTGGAGTGCAGTGGCACGATCTTGGCTCACTGCAACCTCTGCCTCCTGGGCTCCAGCGATTCTCCTGCCTCAGCTTCTCGAGTAGCTGGGATTACAGCTACTGAGATTACGCCCAGCTAATTTTTGCATTTTTTTTTTTTTTTTTTTTTTTTTTTGAGACGGAGTCTCGCTCTGTCGCCCAGGCTGGACTGCGGACTGCAGTGGCGCAATCTCGGCTCACTGCAAGCTCTGCTTCCCGGGTTCAACGCCATTCTCCTGCCTCAGCCTCCCCAGTAGCTGGGACTACAGGCGCCCGCCACCGCGCCCGGCTAATTTTTTGTATTTTTAGTAGAGACGGGGTTTCACCTTGTTAGCCAGGATGGTCTCGATCTCCTGACCTCATGATCCACCCGCCTCGGCCTCCCAAAGTGCTGGGACTACAGGCGCCCGCCACCGCGCCCGGCTAATTTTTTGCATTTTTAATAGAGACAGGGTTTCACCATGTTGGACAGGCTGGCTTCGAACTCCTGACCTCAAGTGATCTGCCTGCCTTGGCCTCCCAAAATGCTGGGATTACAGGCATGAGCCACTGCGCCTGGCCAGCTTTCTGAATTTGACAGCCATCTACTTTTGGGGGGCTGTGAAGTTCATTGTGTGAGAAGCAGAACTGGGAAGACTGAAGGGGTCTTATATTTTTCCTCCCCTCCCAGCTGTGCTTAAATACATTTAATATTGTGGTCCCTGAGAACTTAGTATTTGGGTTTTTAGGAAATAAGTCTTAGTCTGGGAAATCAGTATCCTAAAATCACCTAATAGCATTTTTACCTTCTTCCTTCTTGCATCAGAAGCACAGTTGTGAATAGATTGCAGGTCTCATGACAGCCTCTGCTTTGCTTCTTATTTTGCAAATGTTGCATGTAAGGCTGTTCTGAGGAGCTTGTTTATTATTCAGCATGACTCTCCAAGCTCCCAGTTCAGCCAAGTTCGTTCCCCAAAGCAATATTAACCAAAATCAGACTTGAGATCTGTGAAATATCTAGCAGGGAGCTAGGTAATCAGTGACACGAGTACTTTGCCAGTTGTGAATATAAAATTTCTTAAATTGCTTAGATTGCACTAATCTAGCAAATGAGAAACAAATCTGCATATAACTAACAAAAGGAAGTTTTCTCAGATTTGAACCCCCAGAAAAAACACTGCTAACAGTTTAGTGTATTGTTCCCCAAGTGATGTCTGCATGCACATGCATACATAGATAGAATTATAGTTTTACTGTTTTCTCTCTTAATAGATCATGGGCATCTTTCTGTGTTGGTATATAGAGAGCTACCCTGTTCTTTTCTTTTTGATACAGGGTCTTGCTCCGTTGTCCAATCTGGAGTGCAGTGGTGTGATCATGTCTCACTAGACCCCCAACCTCCATCTCAGCCTCCTGAATAGCTGGGAAAAAAGGTGTGCACCACCATGCCTGACTAATTATTTTATTTTTTGCAGAGACAAGGTCTTGCTTGTTGCCCAGGCTGGTCTCAAACTCCTGGGCTCATTCAGTCCTCCCAACCTGGCCTCTCAAAGTGCTGGGATTACAGGCATGAGACATTGTACCTGGTCCCCTGTTCTTTTTCATAGTTGTATAGTATTCCACTGTGTGCCATTATGCCATCATTTATCTGATTGTTCTCCTGTTAATAGGATTCAATCTTCAAATACTTTTTTTCAGTTACTGTTGTTCATCTAACAGTAACAAAGGTAAACCCACAATGTCACATTTCCATAGTTATTTTATAGTGTACAAAGAACACATTCGTGTTCCAATTCAGTCTTCTCTATAACCTTTTGAAGTAGGATGGGCAACTATAATTGTACAGTACCAAAACTAGATCAGCAAGACCTTCCAGCTGGTAAGGTCTAAAACTGGGATTTAAACCTTAAGTTTTGAGCTCCATTTCTAGTGTCTTGGCTGCAAGAAGGCTCCTATTCCTGGACCCAAGCTTCAGAGGAGCAGCTGAAAAGCTGTGAGGCTTTAACATTGCATCTGCAAACTCTTCTGATTGGATTTTAATGCCTTCATTTGCAGTAAGCAGATTAGACAATTGCCTCTCAGTAATGTCAAAAAGGGAGCAATTCAGGTTGTAATTATCAGAACCAATTGCAATATATAAGGATCAGAGTCACAGCAATGCAACTGTCAGGCATCTCTATGGTCTTTTTTATTTAAACATCATCTAGGGAGGGAAAAAAAAGAGCTCCTTGCTTCCACTCTTCCTCATTCCCAGTATTTTGAAAGGTATTTTTTACATTAGATATATTGTCACAGCAATTGTTTTTTTCATAAATTCACTGCATTAATATGGGAGCTTCACAAATACAGAAATAGTCTGTCTTGTTCATGGCTGTACCACAAAGCCCAGCACAGAGTCAACACCTAGCAGACATCCAACAAATACCTGGTCATGAAATAGTTTTGTTATTGAGAAACAAAGCTGGCCAGGCACAGTGGCTCACACCAGTAATCCCAGCACCTGTAATCCCAACTTAAAATTCAAGGCTGGGCACAGTGTCTCATATGGGTAACCCAGCACTTTGGGAGACTGAGGTGGGCAGATCACTTGAGGTCAGGAGTTTGAGACCACCCTGGCCAATATGGTGAAACCCTATCTCTACTAAAAATACGAAAATCAGCCAGGTATGGTGGCTTGCGCCTGTAGTCCCAGCTACTTAAGAGACTGAGGTAGGAGAATCGCTTGAACCCGGGAGGCAGAGGTTGCAGTGAGCTGACATTGCGCCACTGCACTCCAGCCTGGGCAACAGAGCAAGACTCCATCTAAAAAAAAAAAAAAAGAAAGAAAAGAAAACGAAACAAAGCTTAGCTGGGTGCAGTGGCTTACCCTTGTAATCCCAGCACTTTGGGAGGTTGAGGCAGGAGGACCACTTGAGCCTAGGAGTTCAAGACCAGCCTGGGCAACATAGTGAGACCCCCATCTCTACAAAAAATTTTTAAAAATTAACCAGGCATGGTGGCACATGCCTATAGTCCCAGCTACTTGGGAGGCTGAGGTGGGAGGATCACTTGAGCCCAGGAAGTTGAGGCTGCAGTGAGCTGTGATTGCTCCACTGCACTCCAGCTGACAAATGAGACCCTATCTCACAAAAACGAAGGAAGGAAGGATGGAAGGAAGGAAGGAAGGAAGGAAGGAAGGAAGGAAGGAAGGAAGGAAGGAAGGAAGGCAGGCAGGCAGGCAGGCAGGCAGGCAGGCGGGTGGGCAGGAGGGAGGGAGGGAAGGAGGGGAGGGGAGGGGAGGGGAGAGGAGAAGGCTGGGCATGATGGCTCACACCTGTAATCCCAGCACTTTGGGAGGCCAAAGCGGGTGGATCATATGAGGTCAGGAGTTTGAGACCAGCCTGCCAACATGGTGAAAACCCGCCTCTACTAAAAAGATAAAAAATTAGCCGGGCATGGTGGTGGCACCTGTAATCCCAGCTACTTGGGAGGCTGAGGCAGGAGAATCGCTTGAGCCTGGAAGGTGGAGGTTGCAGTGAGCCGAGATCGCGCCACTGCACTCCAGCCTGGGTGACAGAGTGAGACCCTGTCTCAAAAAAAAAAAAAAAGAAAAGAAAAGAAAAGAAAAAGAAGCAAACAGAGCCTAAACAGATTATTCAGAGAATAGAGCTTGATGTAATAAATTAGTCTGTGTTTACAAGACTCATTTCAAAATACATTGTCACTCATTTTATCACAACAACCCCTAGGTCAGGAACAATTTGATAATATAAATCAGTTAAGGTCTTGTATGTCCCACATTACTCCAGATACAGTGGTGACAAAGACAAACTAAACCCGTATTCTGATGCAGTTTGCATTCTGAGGGGGATACTTACAATGATAAGTGCTAAGAAAAGAACAAAGTGATTTGAGTGGGGGAGATGTACTTGTACTGTAGACAGAGTAGCAAGGAAGTCCTTGATAAGCAGGTGACATTCAAGCAGACATCTGAATAATGAGAAGAGACAGATGTGCAAAGGTCTAGGAAGAGCATCCTAAGCAAAATAAAGAAGGTAGCCAAGCCCCTGAGATGAAAATGAGTTTGAGTTCAAGGAACCACAGAAAGTCAATGTTGTTAGAGTTAATGGAGTGGGGCAGAGAGTAACCACACATGGTCTTGAAGGGATTTATTCTTATTGCAATGGGAAATCTTTGCAGAGTTTTAAGTAAAAAACACAAAACGTCATATGACTTATACTTTTAAAAATCACTCTGCTGTATGGAGATGGAAATAAAAAAAGGGAGCACTTATCAGAGAGCCTCATATTATCACTGGTCTACAGGATGAATCTGGGCCTTTAAAAGGCAAATCGACTGAGGGAACAATTTTTTTAAACATAGATTTAGCAACAAGCAAAAAACAAATATTCCAATTTAAAAATGGGCAAAGGACATGAACAGATACTTCTCAAAACAAGACAGAAAAATGGCCAACAAACATGAAAAAATGCTCATCATCACTAATCATCAGAGAAATGCAAATCAAAACCACAATGAGGTACCATCTCACACCAGTCACAATAACTATTATTAAAAAGTGAAAAAAAATATCAGATGCTGGCGAGGCTGTGGAATGCTTGTACCCTGCTGGTGGGAATGCAAATTAGTTCAGCCACTGTGGAATGCAGTTTGGAGATTTCTCAAAGAACTTAAAACAGAACTACCATCTGACCCAGCAATTCCATTACTGGGTATATACCCAAAGGAATATAAATCATTCTACCAAAATGATACATGCAAAAAAGGGCTTCTGTCGTGAGTGGCACACGTAGGGCAACTCGACTGCTCTGCATGCGGAATCGACATCAAAATGATACATGCACACATATGTTCATCTCAGCACTATTCACAATAGCAAAGGCATAGAATCAACCTAGGTGCCCATCAACAATGGTAGACTGGATAAATAAAATGTGGTACATATACATCATAGAATACTACACAGCCATAAAAAAGAGCAATATGATATCCTTTGCAGGAACATGGATGCATCTAGAGGCCATTGTCCTAAGTGAGTTAATGCAGAAACAGAAAACCAAATACTGCATGTTCTCACTTATAAGTAGGAGCTAAACAATGAGTACACATGGGCATAAAATTGGAACAATAGACACTGGGGACTTCCAAAAGTTGGGGGAGGGGTGGACATGGGTTGAAAAACCATTGGATACTATGCTCACTACCTGGGTGACAGGATCATCTATACCTCAGACCTCAACATCACACAATACACTTGTAACAAACCTGCACATGTACCCTCTGAATCCAAAATGAAAGTTGGGAAAAAATACATTTAAGACGAGTTACTTTTGGAAGTGTTTAGGGGCATGGTATTGGGATAGGATGTAGAAAACTGGTCATTTTGTATTTCTTATGTTGAGTGGTGCCTTGAGCAGTATTGGTTTGACTATTGTGCTTTGTAACTTTCACATATCATATGTATCCTCTGTATGTTATGGGCTAAATTGTGTCCACCCCCAAAACTCTTATACTGAAGTCCTAACCCCTGTACCTCAGAATGTCACTCTATTTGAAAATAGGTTCTTTAAAGAGTTAATTCAGTTAAAATGTAATAGGTTTGTGTTTGAAGGAAGGAAGAAAATAAGAGAGAGAGAACATGTACATGTGTCCAAGATTGCAGTGAGTGAGCGGTAGACAAAGAAAGCCTGATTACAATCATTTTCCATCATTTCTCTATCCCACAGAGAATAAGTAGACATGTCGTGTGTGACTTCCAAAAATTCTCCCTAAGGGGAAGGCACTACACTTTTGTCCTCCTTACTTCCCTCTTCTTGCTGCTTCAAATGCAGATGTAATGACTGAAGCTCTAGCAGCCACCCTGGGGCAAAAGGTAATAACAGAAACAACATACAATGGAGAGAAAGAAGTCTGTGTCTGGCGGGGCAAGGTGGCTCAGGCCGATAGTCCCAGCACTTTGGGAGGCCAAAGCAGGTGGATCACTGGAGTCCAGGAGTTCAGGACAAGCCTGGGAAACATAGCAAGACCCCATCTCTACTAAAAATACCAAAAAAAAAAAAAAAGAATAGCCATGAGGCTGAGGTGGAGGATCCCTTGAGACTGGGAGGTCGAGGCTGCAGTGAGCCAAGATTGAACCACTGCACTCCAGCCTGAGCAACAGAGTGAGACCCTGGCTCAAAAAAAAAAAAAAAAAGTCTATGTCTCTGAAGACTTCATTGAGCCACCATTCCAACCTTGAGCTTCCTATCCTGGGATTTCTTTCCTGTGTGAGAATAAACTATTATGGGTTTAAACCAATGTAAATTGGGCCTCTGTTACTTCCAAATAAACCTAATCCCAATTATTATGAAGGACTTTTTCAATCATTTGGTACAGGTTGAGCATCTCTAATCTGAAAATCTGAAATCCAAAATACTCCAAAATCTGAAAATTTTTGAGTGCTGACATGATGCTCAAAAGAAATGCTCATTGGAGCATTTCAGGTTTAGAATTTTCAGATTAGGGATGCTGAACCAGTAAGCACTCTATATATAATGGAAATATTCCAAAATCCAAAAAATAAAAATCAGAAATCTGAAACTCTTCTGGTCCCAAGCATTTCGGATAAGGGCTATTCAACCTGTATTAGAGTTCATTAAGTGTAATTAGACAAATTTTTTTAAATTTAATTTAATTTTATTTTATTTTACTTTATTTTGAGACAGGATCTCACCCTGTCGCCCAGGCTGGAGTGCAGTAGCGCGATCTCAGCTCATTGCAACCTCCACTTCCCGGGTTCAAGCCATCCTCTCACCTCAACCTCCCAAGTAGCTGAGACGATAGGCACATGCCACCATGCCCGGCTAATTGTTTTTTTTTTTTTTTTTGAGATGGAGTCTCGCTCTGTTGCCCAGGCTGGAGTGCAATGGGGCGATCTCAGCTCACTGCAACCTCCGCCTCCCGGGTTCAAGCAATTCTCCTGCCTCAGCCTCCTGAGAAGCTGGGATTACAGGTGCCCGCCACTGCACCCAGCTAATTTTTGTATTTTTAGTAGAGACAGGGTTTCACCTTGTTGGCCAGACTGGTCTTGAACTCCTGACCTCAGGTGATCCGCCCTCCTCCATCTCCCAAAGTGATGGGATTACAGGCCTGAGCCACCGCGCCTGGCCTAAGTTTTGTATTTTTAGTAGAGACAGGGTTTCACCATGTTGGCCAGGCTGGTCTCGAACTCCCGACCTCAAGTGATCCACCCACCTCAGTCTCCCAAAGTGCTGGGATTACAAACATGAGACACTGTGCCCACCCTTGAATTTTAAGTTATTACAAATTCTAGGGAATTCTAGAAGCTCTAGCAGCCACCTTAGGGCAAAAGGTAATAACAGAAACAATATACAAAGGAGGAGAAAGAAGTCTGTGTCTGGCCAGGCATGGTGGCTCAGGCCTGTGGTCCCAGCACTTTGGGAGCCTGCATTTTCTCTGTGAAGTGCAAAGCATGATAATCAGTTGTGAAACAGAAGGGTTTGTGTGACATTTGGTTTAATTTTGATGACAGAAAATATAATACATCTCGACTCCTAACTTAACTATTTGAATTGTTTTGCTTGTTTTGAGACGAGGTCTCACTCTGTTGCCCAGGCTGGAGTGCAGTGGCATGAGCTCGGCTCACTGCTGCCTCCAGCTCCCAGGCTCAAGAGAGCCTCCCCCAGCCTCCTGAGTAGCTGGGACTACAGGCGTGAGCTACCACACCCGGCTAATGATTTGTATTTTTGGTATAGATGGGGTTTCACCATGTTGCCCAGGCTGAGCTTGAGTGATCTGCCCACCTCAGCCTCCCAAAATTCTGGGATTACAGGCGTGAGACATTGCACCCAGCACCTCGAATTGTTTGTTGTTGTTTTAAAAATGGCTCCAAGGCACAAGTAATATCGGACTATAGCCCTATTCATATCTGTGTTTGAGTGTTAGCTTCACCTTTGCAAGTTACTTTATTCATGAATCTCAGTTTCTCTACCTGTAAAAGGGGTGGTAGAACAAGTGGGATTATGACAAAAAATCAATATTTGTGAAAGTGCTTAACACTCAATAAAAGCTGGCATCCATTCATTATATTATTTTTACCTCATATAAAGTCCCAGTATTTCCAGGTTTTTCTACGGTACGTCTAATGCCCTCAAGAAAGACATGTCGGTCCTCTTAGGGTTAGTTATGTTGTGCTACAAAGATAGTCTTGCATAATTAGTAATTACAGTCAGCATTTATGATTTACCATATGCCAGACACATTTCATGTATTTTTATTTAATCCTTCCCCAAAACCTTGAGAAAAAGATGCTGTTAGTATGGTCATAAGGAAACTGGTGAGAGGTTAAGTAAACAGCACAAGATTGCATCACTTAGCCAAAACAGGATTTGAAGCGAGGTGGTCAAGATCTGTGGTACATCTGTATAAGGCAATACATAAAGGAAACTTAAATGCATACTACTAAGTGAAAGAAGCCAATTTTATTTTATTTTATTTTATTTTTTAAATGGAGTCTCTCTCTGTCGCCCAGGCTGGAGTGCAGTGGCACGATCTTGGCTCACTGCAACCTCCCCTTCCTGGGTTCAAGCGATTCTCCTGCCTCAGCCTTCTGAGTAGCTGGGACTACAGGCACGTGCCGCCACGCCCAGCTAATTTTTGTATTTTCAGTAGAGACGGGGTTTCACCACGTTGGCCAGGATGGTCTCAATCTCTTAACCTTGTGATCCACCCGCTTCAGCCTCCCAAAGTGCTGGGATTACAGGCATGAGCCACCACGCCCGGAAAGAAGCCAGTTTTTAAAAGGCTTCTTTTCAAACTACAGTCAGCCCTCCATATCTGTGGGTTCTGCATCCACGATTTCAACCAAGTATCAAAAATATTCTCCCAAAAAGAGATGCTTGTGCCTGTACTGAATATGTACAGACTTTTTTCCTGTCATTATTCCCTAAACAATATAGGATAACAACTATTTACATAGCATTTACATTGTATTGGGTATTAGAAATAATCTAGAGATAATTTAAAGTATAAGAGAAGATGTGTATAGGTTATATGCAAATACTATACCATTTTGTATAACAGACTTGACCATCTGTGGATTTTGGTATTTGCAGAGAATCTGGGAACCAATTCCCCATGGATACTGAAGGACAAATGTATGTGTGTGATTCAAACTATAAGACATTCTGGAAAAGGCGTAACTGTGAAGACAGTAGAAAGATCACTGGTTGCCAAGAGTTAAGGAAAAAGGAGGAATGAATAGGTGGAGCAGAGAGGTTTTTTCGGACAATAAAACTAATCTGTATGATATTTAATCCTGGATAAATGTCATTATACATTGTTAAAACCCATAGAATGTACAATGCCAAATAAACACTAATGTAAACTATGGGTTTTGGGTGGATAATGATGTGTCAGTGTAGATTCATCAATTTTAACAGTTACACCACTCTGGATGTTGATAGTAGGAGAGGCTGTGCATGGAACTCTCTGTAATTTCAGCTCAATTTTGCTGTGAATCTAAAACTGCTCTAAAAAAATATAGTTTATGTAAAAAAAAATCATGAAAGCAAAAATATCCAATATATTGGAGTCTGGCAGGTAAACCAGTATGGACTGAAAAGAGTTGTAAAAAGTGGGACAGGAAAGCAAGATTAGGACCTGGTAGGGTAGGGCCTTAGATGGCAAAGTGAGCTATCAGGACTTTATCCTGTAGACCAGAGGGGGGTCATTTGAGGATTACGGAGCAAGAAACTCAGGTAAGGAACAGACTATTTTAAGAAAATCCTGGCCGAGCATGGTGGCTCACGCCTGTAACGCCAGCACTTTGGGAGGCTGAGGCAGGCAGATCTCTTGAGCTCAGGAATTCAAGACCAGCCTGGGCAACATGGCAAAAACCTGTCTCTACAAAAAATACAAAAATTAGCAGAGCATGGTGGCATGCACTTGTGGTCCCAGCTACTTGGAAAGCTGAGGCACGAGAATCACTAGAACCAAGGAGGCAGAGGTTGCAGCGAGCCAAGATTGTGCCACTGCACTTCAGCCTGGGTGACAGAGAGAGACTCTGTCTCAAAAAAAAAAAAAAAAAAAAAGAAGATCCCTTTGGCAGTTGTGAGGAGAATTCTGGAAGATAGACTAGGGGCAAATAGACGAGTTTAAAAGTGAGAAGAAAGCACAAGAATCTAGGCCAGTAAAGAAAGGGGTGCATAAAAGATCATCAGTTTTTTGTTACTGACTGGATATTGGGATGAGGACAATGACTTCATGAGAAAAATAAAACACCAATTTTTTAAAGTTGTAATTATTTCACACATTAAACATTAACTGAATCATTATCATGTGCCCGGTCCTATCAGGTATATCTCCAAATATATGTGGAATGTATCCACTTCTCTCCATCCCTGTTTCCACCACATTCAACCAAGTCATCAATATTTCTCTTCTAAAAGATGGTAGAAGGCTGGGTGTGGTGGCTCACGTCTGTAATCTCAGCACTTTGGGAGGCTGAGGCGGGTGGATCACATGAGGTCAGGAGTTCCAGACCAGCCTGGCCAACATAGTGAAACCCCATCTCTACTAAAAATACAAAAAAATTAGCCTGGCGTGGTGGCAGGTGCCGGTAATCCCAGCTACTCTGGAGGCTCAGGCAGAAGAATCTCTTGAACCTGGTTGCAGTGAGCCGAGATGGCACCACTGCACTCCAGCCCAGGTGACAATTTGAGACTCCATCTCAAAAAAAAAAAAAAAAAAATGATGGTAGAAGTTTCCTAATTGCTGTCCCTCTCCACTCTTGTGACTCCACACATCAGCCAGTGATAATTTTAAACAAGAATTGAGGCCAGGCACGGTGGCTCCACTCCCAACATTTTGCGAGGCTGAGGCGGGAGGATAACTTGAGGCCAGGAGTTTGAGACCACAGCAAGACCCTGTCTCTACAAAAAATAAAAAGTATCTAGGCATAGTGGTGCATGCCTGTAGCCCTAGCTATTTGGGAGGCTGAGGCAGGAGGATTGCTTAAGCCCAGGAGTTCAAGGTTGCAGCGAACCATAATTAATTACATCATTGTACTCTAGCCTAGATGACAGAGCAAGGCCCTGTCAAGAAAAAAGACAGAGAGAAAGAAAGAAACATAGAAAGAAAAGAAAAGAAAGAGAGATACAGAAAGAAACAAAGAAAGAATGAATGAACTGGGGTCACTTGCTCTAATCCCTTTGATTGCTTCCTGTTGCAATGAGAATAAAACTTGGACTCCTTATGAGGTCTTACAGCCCTTTGGGGTCTTCACTCTCCATGCCTTATGTACCCACCTCAGTTACTTCCTCTCTTTTCCTCCTCATGCCTTCGCAGGAAGATGACTGATTTTAGCTATGGAGGAAAAAAAGAGAAAGGAAAAAGAATGACTGATTTATTTCCTTTGCTTACTCCTCCCCAGTCCCCAGGTGGCAACTTAAACAGTTTATCCCTCTTTGAAACAGGTTAGGGCCGGGCACAGTGGCTCAAGCCTGTAATCCCAGCACTTTGGGAGGCCGAGGCGGGTGGATCATGAGGTCAGGAGATCGAGCCCATCCTGGCTAACACGGTGAAACCCCATCTCTACTAAAAATACAAAAACAAAAAATTAGCCGGGCGTGGTGGCGGGCGCCTGTAGTCCCCGCTACTCGGGAGGCTGAGGCAGGAGAATGGCGTGAACCCGGGAGGTGGAGCTTGCAGTGAGCCGTGATCGTGCCACTGCACTCCAGCCTGGGCAACAGAACAAGACTCTGTCTCAAACAAACAAACAAACAAACAAACAAAAAATAAACAGGTTACACCTGTTGTCCTCCATATTACTGTGCATATGTGTATAATTACTCTACATATTTTTTCACTACGAATACTGTGTATATCCCTAAGATCCTTTACATTTCATGAGGAGCCAGAGCCTATTTGTACATTCACTACTTTGTCCCTAAGACTTGGCTCAGGCCTGAAGATATATAATAGATAATTGATAAATATTTATTAAATAGATGAATATGCTAGGTTGCGTGCTGTCATGGGGGAAACAAAGATGAAATAGATACAGGTTATACATTAGAGAAATTGACCCTCTAGTAGGGGAGATATGATTGAAACATAGATAATTATAAGGCAAGACAATTAACCTCACAGGAAACTCTGCAAGTCCTGAGGAAGGGGCATTACGTCTAGCCAGGAAAATTCGAGGAAATTCTGTGGAGGGAGTTCACTGGGCATTTAATGGAGGGAAAGCATACACAAAGGCATCAGTTTGAGAAAGTGTAGGGTGAATGTGGAAAAAAATGTGTGGATCAATTTAATTGGAACACAGAGTACACCAATACAAAAGAGAGAGGCCAGGTGTGAGCCTATATACTTACCACATAGATTTAACAATTAACATTTTGCCATATTTGCTTGATAGGTAGGTAGGGAGGGAGACAGACAGACAGATAGATGTGTGTGTATGCATTTCAAAGCCACCACTTGGTGGCTCACATCTGTCATCCCAGCACTTTGGGAGGCCAAGGCAGGCAGATCACCTGAGGTCAGGAGTTTGAGACCAGCCTGGCCAACATGGTGAAACCCTGTCTCTACTAAAAATATAAAAATTAGCTGGGTGTGGTGGTGCATGCCTGTAATCCCAGCTACTCCAGAGGCTGACACAGGACAATCACTTGAGATTGTGCCACTGTACTCCAGCCTAGGTGAGTGAGATTCTGTCTTAAAAAAAAAAAAGGACTGGAAAGGAGAGGTGACATCAGATTGTCATGGGTCTCATTTGCCAGGCCAAGAATTCTGTTCTGTATTCCGGAGGCAGTGTTAGGTAACAACAGTAGGTCAAACTAGCCTCTCAAAACCTTTTTTAAAATTATTATTCCAAATATACAATAAAAGTAGAAATAATAGTACAGTAAACACCTATATACTTACCACATAGATTTAACAATTAAGATTTTGCCATATTTGCTTGATAGGTAGGTAGGTAGGGAGGTAGACAGACAGACAGATGTGTATGTATGCATTTCAAAGTATTTATCTTTCCTTGGCTCTGTGTGTGTGTGTGTGTGTGTGTGTGTGTGTGTGTGTGTGTGAGAGAGAGATAGGGCCTCACTCTGTCAGGCTGGAGTGCAGTGGCACAATCACAGCTCACTGTAGCCTCGACCTCCTGGGCTCAATCAGTCCTCCCACCTCAGTCTCCCAAGTAGCTGGAACTACAGGCACAGGCCTCCATGCCCAGCTAATTTTTTTGTTTTGTTTTGTTTTGCTTTTGTTTTTAGTAGAGACAGGTTTATTTATGTTGCCCAGACTGGTCTCTTATCTTTCTTTTTTGCTGAACCATTTCAAAGAGAGTTACGGATATCATAACTCTTCACTCCTACGTTTCTCCAAGTTGTAAAGATGTTTTCCCCCATGTCCAGCATACCATTATTACAATGAACAAATGTAATAACTAACAACATCTGATACCAGTCCATTTTCAAATTTCCCCAATTGTCTCAAAAATGTCTAAAAGCCTGCTTTTTCAGAACCAGAATCCAATTAAGCATTTGATTGTATCTCTTTAAGTTTTTTTTCAAATTTAGAACAATCACCCCTGACCATTTTTATGACATTGATTTTCCTTGATCTTTATGTCTTATCTTCTATAAAATAGTTGTCTTATAGAATGCTTCACGTTCTTGATTTATCTGATTATCTCCTTGGGGTTATGGTTCAACTGGTTCCTCCAGCCCAGTAAACTGGAGTTTAGATCCAAAGCCTTGATTAGATTAACTTTCAGTATTTTGGCAAGAAAACACCATTAAGTGATGCTGTATACTTTATGCTGCAGCACACTGGGAACTTCATAAAAATGTTGGTTGTCCAAGGGTTACTGATACACATTGGATAACTGGGTTAAGGTGGGGACTGCCAGATCTCCCCATTGTAAAAGTATGTTTCTCCTTTGTGATGGCAAGTAACCTGTGAGATGTGTTTGGCAACACAACTCACATGTTTGTAGCTATCTACAGTTTATCAAACACATTCAAACGCACTTAATCACAACAGCATCCCTGTGAGGTTTTATTCCTGTTTAACATAAGTGAAAACTGAGACTTGGAGTGCTTAAATAATTTTCTCAAAGTAATAGACCCAGTAAGTAGCAAAAGCAGGACTCAAGCCTAAATGGATTAACTCTAGCTCAGTTAAAAAAAAAATTAATCCCAAATAGCCTACATCTAATAGCAGATTTTATTTTGCTCTACACATTCAGAGAAATTCACTAGTAATGAGCTATACAAATGATCCCTGATAGTAAAAATTGCAGATTTTTAAAGAGTATTCTCTCTCCAGAATTCAATAAATACTTCGCTTCTTTTGAAACGATTTTCTTAAAAAGGATACTTTAATTTATTGACACTGGGAAGCACATTGGCAAAGAAAGTCAATTTCTTTTACAGTATCTAATAGCTATTTCTATTGCCTGTTCAAACTAGCAAAATGTAACAGATGCTAGATTCCCTAAAGTACGGCGCTTTAGGTTACATTTGCAACAATAGCTTACATCTAAATGTTACATTAGTTACTGAATTTGTAATCTTCACAAATGTGTGAATAGTCAGTTGATCAAAAATAACGATTTCCTGCTACAAGAGAACGCATAGCAGAAAATGTTCCCAACACAAAGATAATGTTTGAGATGATGGATATCCCAATTACACTGATTTGATAATTATACATTGAATACATGTATCACAATATCAGATGTATCCCTGAAAATATGTACAACTATATCAGTTTAAAGATATAAAAAAAATTTTCTGTCCAAAGTTAAATATGTACAACTACGATATATCAGTTTAAAGATACAAAAAATAATAATTTTCTGTTCAAAGTTAAGCATATACATGGCACCTATGATGCTAAAACCAAGGGCCTTTAGGTCTGGAAGAGACACATAAAGTCAGGTCCTCGCGAATCTACTTCTGAAGGGGACAGAATCGGTATAGGCATATGACAGTCTAGAATCAAGACACAAGGGGTGTGGAGCGATAAAGAGCAAACAGGGAAGGGAACTAGGGGGACCATGGATCCAGGAAGGGGCTGGAAAAGCTACTTCTGGGCACCCCTGGAATCTGGGTATCCAGCTTCGAGTTAGAAGGGGGTCCTTCAAGAGAGCCTCAGGCGGGGGCTGACTGCCGAGAGTTACTCTGTCCTCCAGGTTCTTCCTAACAAGAAGCTACGAAGTTCTTATTCAGAAAAACGGAACACGACATCACACCCACGTGAAAAAAACGCTTTTAAGAGGCCAAGTCACTTTCACCTCCCACCAACTTGCCAAAGGCTGAAAGCAGGCGGACACGCCCCCAAGCGCTCTTCTCCGATTTCATTGGTTGCCCCGGCCTGCTCCTCATTAGGTCTCTCTCACTGGTCAGCAATGCCGCTTTCACAGCCAATTCTCAGAACCAATCATCTCCAACTATTGCCCCGCCTCTCCACCACGTGAGTGGCATAGGTGCCAACCAATAAAAAAAGAAAATAAGGATGTAAAGACGAGACTCCTTCCCTTTTTCCTCAACTCGTTCAGTAAATGGTAGAAAAGGTGGAGCAGCTGATACCAACCACCAATCCATGAGGGCGGAAAAGGATGATGAGAAGAGCGATGGGAGGGGGTGACGTGGCAGTGACAGGCGCATAAACTGAAATGAATGGCGGAAACAGCAGCCAATCGGCGATCAGATTGGCCGGGCATTCCGCATTCTCCCGTCCTCCCTGAGCGCTGGAAACTTCAGGAAAGCACCAATGAGCTTCCCCAAAAGTCTGATTGGCCTTTATCTGAACCAATCAAAGGTGGGTCTGGCGGACGCGTCCCACCCCAGGCTCTCACTGGGCGCTGTAGAATGACAGGCCCGAGAGAAATGCCAATATCCGCGGGGTCTTCCTCAAGTGACACTCAGCGGCACCAATCGACGTCCTTCTTCCCGGCGGCCGAGCCCTCCTCCCCGCGGCTGGCCGGGCGGGGCGGGGACGCTGCGCGGCGGTGGCTGATGCGGTAGCCGTGTGGGGCGCTCCGGGCGGCGACGGCGGCTCTCGTAGGCGGTTCCGGTCTTGTATCTCCAGGCGGCGGCGGCTCATGGCGGCGACGGAGCTGAGAGGAGTGGTGGGGCCAGGCCCGGCAGCCATTGCAGCACTTGGCGGCGGCGGCGCCGGTCCCCCAGTGGTGGGAGGAGGCGGCGGCCGCGGAGATGCGGGGCCAGGCTCCGGGGCCGCGTCAGGGACGGTGGTCGCGGCGGCGGCGGGAGGCCCGGGCCCGGGGGCCGGGGGAGTGGCGGCGGCTGGCCCGGCCCCTGCGCCGCCGACTGGGGGCTCGGGCGGCTCGGGCGCTGGGGGTTCGGGCTCGGCTCGAGAGGGCTGGCTCTTCAAATGGACCAATTATATCAAAGGCTACCAGCGGCGATGGTTCGTGCTGAGCAACGGGCTCCTGAGCTACTACAGGTAACTGCTTCCGGGGCGCTGTCGCTCACCTTGCCTCCCCCATATCTGCCAACAGTCCCAGCTCCGGCATTACCGCCAGCCGGCACCGCAGCCAGGGTTGCCCCAGGCCCCTTTTCGTCATCTGTGCGGATTGACAGCCCAGGGGTCGGAGCCCACTGTCACGAAAGTGAAAAGCCCCTGGACGTACACCTCCCCTCCCCTCGGGTTACCCACTCTTGGTGCCTTATCTTCCCTTCGCTCCCGGCCTTTCCAGTCATTAGTCGTTTGGAGAGCGTCTGTGCTTCCATTGTATTTCCACCAGCACATGGGTGCAATTATTAATTCTGCAAGCAAGGCACTGGTGTAGGTACTAAGGGAACACATGCAGCAGAACAAACCCGAGGCACTCCTCCCAAGGAACTTACAGTGGAAGTCCCAAGTTGTAGCTGTCAGTGCCCAGTCTCCAAAACTCAAGGTTATTCGTAGCTCTGGATGTACCCGTCCTTGCTCCCTTCACATTCAGACATAAGGGCATCACACACACAGGGTGGCTTCGGTATTCCGTCCCCTTTCTGCCTTATCTCTCCAAGACTTTGCATGTGCTTTGGCCTCTGGACAGCCCAGAATGGAGATGTGCACCCCAGTGCTGCTTTTATTTTTGCTTGCCCCACCTCCTCCCGTGGAAATGATTAAGTGTTTTATCTGGCATTTCTGTGATTTTTTGGTTAGTTAGGATTAACTTTTATTAAAAGAAGAATCCATGTCTTTGGTGTGATTACTTCTGTTCAACAAGGTTTATTTTGGACTGTTTAATATATATTTATGGTGACTCATAACCTGGCCATCACATGGCACGCTTTTGGGCTAAAAAGGATAGAGGAGTTAAGATAGGTGATTTGGGGACAGGGCGTAAACATTTCCTGAGGGCTGGACAATGTGTCTAGGTGTTTTATATACAGTATTTCATTATAGTATTTTGTTGACTCCCAACAACAACCCTAGGAGTTGGGAAATATTCCCATCTTACTGATGAGGAAAACAGACTTAGCATGGGCAACTTTCCCAAGGTTTTTGAGCAGCTGGGATTTGAAACTACTTCTGTTCACACTAATCTAACCTAAAACTCAGGTTAGTGTGAAATGAATCGGTCAGTTACAGAGATAATTGCTTATCAATAGCAAGTAATTTTATGGATCATGCTTACTATGTGTATTTTATGCAAAAAGTATAAAAGTCTCCTTTAAGGGATATTTTGCTTAATGACATTCCAATTGAAATATTTTTTTCCAGAGACCATCCTCTTTGAGACCCAAAACACTGATGTTGAAGAGCAGCTCACTCTATATTTCTTTTCCTTCACCAGGAATCATTCTGCTACCCAGAGAGTTAGGCTGAACAAGTCTCTTTTCCATCAACTCCACTGTATTGGCTCTTAGAGAATTTTGAGGAGAAATTGAAGGTGGGAGTTGGAGGTTGTTGGCAGGAACACATTTTTACCTGTCCTCTTACAGGGCAAAATGCCTTAGATAGCTCATCCTCACTGCTTAATCAACAGTTGTGAATAATTGTATATTTCATTTGCATTACTGTATTCAGAATTGATTTTAATTATGACCCTTTCGAACTACTTATCCAGGACCATCCATTTAAACTTAGATTACAAATCTAAAATTTTAATTTCCCCAGATTTTTCTCTCATTCAAGTTCATGTTTTCCTGTTATTATTGACCATCATTTTAATGTTTAATTGATTTATATCCTGACTTGTGTCGCAAGTCAATATTAATACTGTTTTTGCATTTTCAAAAATTGTATATCACCTCAGGGCCTTCGTATGTGGTCATTTCTCATCCAAGTTCTTACCGGATCCACTTTCCAGGCCAGTTGATTCTTTGATCAGTACTAGTGTTGATCAATAGTGATCTTAGACACTAATAACTTACATGTTGCTGTCTCTTTAAGTATTTGTTACCACTTTTAACTTCTCCCTTACAAGAGCTAGTGGTACCTGTCTGACTACATATAAAACTCCTTCCAAAACATACCAAACCACATATTGGGAAATATGCCATAGGCCTGCCCTAGTCAACTTAGGTGGTCCCACCCATAAACAAACCAGCGGGATCCAGAGTTATCAATCTGTGCACTACCCTCAAAATTGCACTGAAATACCTCCTATCAAGTATACTGGCAGTTTATTTTTTCCTGCAGGATTCTTCTGGTCCTCATCTTCCTCCAAGAATTATTTAGACAAGTTGTCATTCCTCCTGCTTTTCATACCTCCAAAACCTGCAGTTTCTTATATATGCTGTTTCCAAAATACTGTTTTCCTTTTAAGTGGGATTGTGTACTTCCTAGACCCATCCTCGGATGAGCTGTCCTAATAGGCCTTGGCAAACCACTTCCTTTACCTATCCTGGGCTTCCTTACGTACCCAGTTACTTAGATGTCCCATTACTTAAAACCTTATATGGAATCCCAACTCTCCCAGAAACATTGTGACAGGCCATAGTATTAGTTCTCCTGGCTAGCTTCTAGAGATTGAATTACTATTTCAGCTAGCCTTTTCAGGGAAGAACTTTCTGGCCAGAAAATACCACCTAATATTGTAGTGCCTGAAGAACCTATCTTGTACCCTGAGATTCATGTCTTTCCAGCTTCTGCACTAATCATTTATAATCATAAGTGTATCTGCCCAGACTCAAGAGCTCCGAGATCAAGTCTGCCTTACTCCCAGAGTTCCTTGGTATTTTTTAAACTGCTACAGACTTTTTGTAATTTGAGAAACTTCTTTAGTTTACAATGATGACCCAGGCAGAAGAGATTCCTACAATGATGACCCAGGCAGAAGAGATTCCTAAGAAGTGGTTTCCAAAAAGCTCCAATAAGGAGGAATGTGGAGGAAGGTCCAAGTAGTATACTTGGAGTAGAAAACATGAGCGAGCTGGCCTGTCAGCTGTGCATCTGTAATTCAGCCTGCATTATTCATAATGTAACTGAAGCTTGGGGGTGGGGAGGTAAGAATAGAAAAAACGGATTCATGTTACAGTGTGGCAGGTGCAGGAGATGGAAAATGGCCCAGTTCATTGAGACCCTTCTGGCCTTCCCATACTATTTGAGGAAGGAAGAGCAGTTCATGTGAAAAATTGAACAACAAACCTGTCTTCCAGACTTTCTCAAACATACCAAATCTTATGGGGTGTGTGCCATTTCTGGCATGCAGGAATTCTGGATATGCCAGGTGTGTTTGGCTGCTTGACTCCACTGAAAGGGAAATGGCTCTGCTTTGTACTGTGGCAGTTGGCAAAGGACTTTGACCTCTGTGTTCCAATTTGGACAGGGAAAAGTGCAGTCTCAACATGCAGGTTCCTGGGCATAACCAGCGGGTGGTAGGGAAATGACACAGTTTGTGTTAGACACTCGATTGTGCTAGAAGCTTGATATTTTATGTGAAGCTTGGTATTCTATGTGAAGTGTCTTATAGCTTGTTGTCACCAAGTAATGCTGTAAAGTTCAAAAGTTAGTCTATTAATAGAACTGTCAGTCACTAGAGATCGGGAAAATTTTTACACCCAGTTCTCTGAGAGCAGATCTGCTGAATCTTTCCTAGCTATTAATAGACGGCTTAGGAGTTCCCACCAGTAGAGTATGGTGGACCTTAGGAATGAACATATTCCAGAAAGATTAAAACACTTGGTGATTCCTTTTTACTTCCCCAGAAAGCTAGTTATTCTTATTTCATATCATTTGAACCATAGCCAATATTTAATACTCTAAACATTTAAGGGTGCTTTTTTTACACTTCTGCGATATAACTCTAAGCATGATGTAACATTGGGCTGAGTTCTCATTTGGGCTGAGTTACAGTCGGGAGCGAGATGGTTTGGTATATATAAAATAGAGCTATTCTTAGGAAATGAGATTGTTGCATGAGGTTATAGGGCAATTTATAATTACAACTTGCTAAGTAAAAGATAATTCCTGACTGCAAAAGGGCATGAAGGAACTTACTGAGATGATAGAAATGTTCTACATCTTGATTGTGGTGGTGGTTATGCACTTGTGTACATTTGTCAAAACTCATTCAGTTGTACCTTTAAAATTGCTAAATTAACATTGCATGTAGTTATACCTCAGTATAGCCTATTTCTTTCTTTCTTTCTTTCTTTCTTTTTTTTTTTTTTTTTTGAGACGGAGTTTCGCTCTTGTTGCCCAAGCTGGAGTGCAATAGTGGGATCTCAGCTCACTGCAAACTCCGCCTCTCAAGTTCAAGCGATTCTCCTGCCTCAGCCTCCTGAGTAGCTGGAATTACAGGCACACACCCGCACGCCTGGCTAATTTTTTTGATTTTTAGTAGAAACAGGGTTTCACCATGTTAGCCAGGCCGGTCTGGAACTCCTGACCTCAGGTGATCTGCCCACCTTGGCCTCCCAAAGTGCTGGGATTACGGGTGCCCGGCCTGTAAAGCCTATTTCTAAAAGGAAAATGGTAAGAGGGACAGCAAAGCAAAAAAAAAAAAAAAAAATCTGACTCAGAAACAACACTTATAGGCTCTGAAGGGAAATCCCCACTAATTGTTTCGTGAATTTTAGGGACCCGTTTGAGGGACTAGAACTTGCTGATTCCTAAGACTGTCATATTTTCAGGGAGCTCAGAGTTATGAAAAGAAATGGAATGTGATAAAGGATAAACCGTCAACTTTCTGTTTAAATTGTCTTTGTCTTGTTATTACAGATCAAAGGCAGAAATGAGACATACCTGCCGTGGTACCATCAACCTCGCCACAGCCAACATCACCGTGGAGGACTCCTGCAACTTCATCATTTCCAATGGGGGTGCTCAGACCTACCATCTGAAAGCTAGTTCAGAAGTTGAGCGGCAGCGCTGGGTGACGGCCCTGGAACTGGCCAAGGCCAAAGCTGTGAAGATGCTGGCAGAGTCAGGTCAGGAACAAAGAACACCTGCCTGGGGAACTTTCTTTTTGCCCCTTTTATGCACAGATTTTGTTTGTCATCATTATGCTGTGTCATTTGATTATCACCTATTTCCTAGAGGTCTCAAGCTTCTCGTCTTCATGCAGTATTTCTGCTGGAGTGATGGTTCTCAACCAGGGTTGATTCTCCTCCCCAGGGGACATTTGGCAATGTCTGGAGACATTTTTGGTTGTCACAGCTGAAGGGAGGGAGGTGCTATGGCATCTAGAGAGTAGAGGCCTGGGATGCTGCTGAACCTCCTATAATATACCAAACAGCCGCCAAAACAAAGAATTATCTGGCCAAGGTTGAAAAATTCTGTCCTAGAGGCGTAACAGTTGTTCTTTTGCCTTTTAATTGGCTACCTTAAAATTTTGAGAAATAATTATTTTATTGGTGGGCCAGTCTTGGGAATATTATTCCTCAGAATTTGGATCTATTCGTGCTTTTTCTCCTGATACCTTCTTACTTAACTCTTTGTTAGTTAAGTTGAAACAATTTTAGTAGACTGCCAAAAACTGTATATGTGATATTTTCTATGAAAAATCTTCATTTTGCTGCATTGGTTAACTAAAAGGAGCAATCAAGTTAAGTTTTGATTATTCTTCAAGGAAAATGGTACGATTTTCTCCTGATATATTGATAGTTTAATCATACTGAGCTTGTTTACCTAGAACTGACCAAGATGGTCATCTGCTGACTTTGTTATCTTATCCCCTGTCATTTCCCATACTGTATGTTCATTCATCAGTGAAAGGAGAATTCACTGGTTTGTAAATTGTTTGGTAGTAAGTTATATTTTGACTTTGGCCCCGTCTCTCTGTCTAGCAGAAAGGACAGGTCTTTTGTCTTTTTTTTTTTTTTTCTTGCTTTTAGTGCCGATGTTAGCTCCTCCAAAGGAAGTGACACTGCTAGAAAAGCACTTTGCAGTTACAAAGTGTTGAGTGTGAGAGGTACAACATAGCTTCTGTACTTGACTTATTATTGGAGAGCTATTTAAAGTGAGTTTTTGCATTCTTTTCATGGTGGCTTTAGTCATAAAGTTTCTGAGCTCTCTTTCAGAAGACAAATTAATGGCCTTTTTTGTAATGTGGACTTTGTCTACAAAGAGCTAGACTGTGATTCTCAACTCATTTAATACAGGTCCCATCAGTCACCTATCAGATGATAGTGGAGTTGCAAAAATAGTTAGCTTGGACTAGATAGGAATCATCAAGCTAGAGTTAAGGAGCTCAGTAATTAATTCCCAATTCCAAGAGCCTTTCAGCTTTTCCATTCTGTATTGTAGGTCAGTGGTTTTCAAACTTCAGTGTGTGTCAGTTACCTGGGCAGCTTATTAGAAAGGCAGATTCCTGGGCTTTGCCTCACACCAGCTAAATTGAAGTCTCTAGGGGTGGGCCTAGAGACTCTGCCCCTTTGAGAAGGACCTGGGGTGTTTGTGGTGCAGGTGATCTGTGGACCACACTATAGAGAAACCATCTGGTAATGGCAAGTTTTCAGTGAGTCAGAATGCACACAGCATGAGGAATGTTGGTTTGTTTCTGGACAGAGTAGGTAGGGTTCCAACTGTCACTCCTGGTTCTGGAATCATATAACCTTTCTTTTCATTCCTACAGATGAATCAGGAGATGAAGAGTCTGTCTCACAAACTGACAAGACTGAGCTGCAGAATACCCTTCGGACCCTCTCTAGCAAAGTAGAGGACTTGAGCACGTGCAATGACTTGATAGCTAAGCATGGCACAGCTCTGCAGCGTTCTCTCAGTGAGCTGGAGTCCCTGAAGTTGCCTGCTGAGAGCAATGAAAAGATCAAACAGGTCAACGAACGAGCCACACTCTTTAGGATAACATCCAATGCCATGATCAACGTGAGTGCAGATGGTGTCTGTGTTGCTTTTTGATTCATTCCCTCTTTGAAACATAATTCTCCCCAAATGCCTAAAAATTGTAATTGATAAAGCACAGAACATTAGGGCCTGCTTCACTGGTCAAGGGCTTTAAGTTACATTGTTTACTGCATGAAATAGAACAGGCTGTACAGATTGAATGACTTTCATGCTCTGCTTAAGTGATCAGGAGGTCTTTGCTGCAGCTGGGAATCAGGAGTCCAGGGTTCCTTCACTGACTGCTCTGCAACCACTAGGACATCTGATCAGTATTAGCTGAGTCCCTTAATTTCTCTAGGTCGTGATTTTATGTATGTATGTATGTATGTATGTATGTATTTATTTATTTTTGTCTCATTTCATCTGTTGGAACTAAAAGATCTCCCTGAGTCCCTTCCATTGTCATGTTCTTTGAGCTTTGAGTTGGAGTCATCTCCTTACTTTACTAACGCATTCAGGCATAAAGGGTGGTAAGTGGAGGCTAGATCAGGTACTAGTGAGAACCTTATAGTACTAGTTATTCCCATCTTTAGTCCTTGAATTCGAGGATAATTTCGATGATAAGACAAAATATTCAACTTTGGGCACTTTTCTTTAAAAAGAGTGGTAAAACTTCAGCCTCCTTATGACTCCTAACTTGGGTGGCTGTTGTTGGTTTGCAGAACATTTTAGCTGCTTGGGTGCAAGACTCTGAGTAAACAGAGCACCCATGGCATTACCGATGTATTGATACGTATGAAGTGAATACATGGTTTAAACAGTGCTGCTTTTCCTCTACTGATTCTTGCCTGGCAGGTTGTTTTAGTTACCTTCTGCATAAAAACATTCAAAGGCATTTCATAAGTGAGAAGAGTACTCTGTGAGAAATTATGTAGGGTAGATTTTTTTTTTCCTAATTAAATGGGATGAAATTACCTCTCTAGTGCCAGACTTTCCCATGACCATGGGAAAGTATCGTTTTTCTCATTTAACCCCTTTCTTACTTAATAGATAGTTGGATAACCTTTATTTTAACATCATTTTTCTGATATGTTTAACACTATCTTCAGTGCTGTGATTCACACAAAGTAAAAAGACAAATTACATTCTCCACTTAGGGACTGCAGGAAGATTATCTCCTAGGACTGACCAGTCAGCCAGTCAGGGTGCTTGTGTTTCTGATGTCTGGTCGTGTATTCCTGGAGACTGTGTGCCTGGTTTTCCAGTCCCCTTGTGATCAGGAAAACCTCATTAAGTCATACAGTCAATTAAATAGTAAATACGTATACTTTTTAAATAAAACAACTCGGCACAATGGTCTCCTGAGAGTGAATGCCACCTTTTATCCAAATCAGAGGAACACCCCAATCCATAATTTTTTTTTTACCTTGATGTAAAAATTTTGCTAAGTAAAGCATCCCTTTATAAACCTAAACCTTTAGTTTCAATTTTTCTCTTGAAAATGTACTCATCTTTGTTCCTTGGGGAAATTCTTCCCTAAGTTCTAAGTGTCCAGAGTTTGTGTTAAAGGGAATGATCTCTTGGAAGTCAGAGATGAGTTCTGTTTTCATTCTTTACTCTCTTGCTGCACTGCCTGTGCCCTTTTCCTAGCCAGTTATTGCTTAAAATACATTTTTTATCCCTGTGTTGTTTCCTTTGTACCTTTTAGTATGATACTAGCAAGGCCTTAAGTATAATACACGTGTTAAAAATTAACATGCTAGAGCATCACAGCTCTAAACGGGCAAAGTTATATCAAAGGAAGAATATGTTTCACTCAATTACTTCTTTAAAAATTAATTTAATTTTTGATTCAAGGGGCACGTGTGCAGGTTTGTTACATAGGTATATTGCGTGATGCTGAGGTTTGGGCTTCTAATTATCCCATTGCCCAAGTAGTGAACGTAGTACGCAACAGGTAGTTTTTCAACCTTTGGTTCTCTTCCTCCCCACTTTTGGAATCCCTAGTGTTTATTGTTTCTGTCTTTGTGTTGGTGTGTACCCAATGTTTAGCTCCCACTTATAAGTGAGAAGATGTGTTTTTTTTTTTTTTCTGTGTCTGCATTAATTCAGTTAGGATATTGGCCTCCAGTTGCATTCATGTTGCTGCAAAGGACATGATATTGTTTTTTTTTTATGGCCGTTTCAGTTTCTTGACTGCTTAGGATAGAGCTTTTCTAACTGTCAAAGTGAATCTGATCAGAGAATTAAATTTGACACTTTTAGTATATTCATCTGCCATCTATTGAGCATGAGCTGTGTTCCACGAACTGTGCTAGTGGATATTGCTGAGGGCAGATATGGTCCGTGTCCTCAGGAAGATCACTATTTAGTGAGGGATGGAGAATTAAAGGGATCATTATGGACTATGTTGAGTGACTTGATAGAAATGAGCACAGGCTGCTATGGTATAGCACTTTGGAAGTATTTGGCTCAGACTAGGAAATTTCTCTAATTTCCTCAACTAAATTCTGAAGGAGCAGTGAGAGTCTTCCTATGAAGAAAGGCAAGCTAGAGCTTGGGGCCTGGAGTCCAACTGCCTTCATGACCTATCTCTGTAACTTGAGGCAACCTGCATCCCGTCCAACTGCCTCTATGACCTATGTGTATAACTTGGGGCAACCTGCATCCTCTGTGACATCAATTCCTTATCTGTAAATGGTAATGATACTAGCAGATACTTCAAAGGCTTGTTGAAAGGCTTTTGTCAGATAATTGATGTGAAGTGCTCGGCAAAGTGCCTGACATATGATTGTCTCTGGCAAATTTTAATTACAGTCAGTATTACTAAAAGGGAATGAGGCCAGGCATGGTGCCTCACACCTGTAATCCCAGCACTTTGTGAGGCCGAGTCGAGTGGATCACCTGAGGTCAGGAGTTCGAGACCAGCCTGGCCAACATGGTGAAACCCCCATCTCTACTAAAAGAAATAAAAAAATTAGCCAGACATGGTGACTGAGGCATGAGAATCACTTGAACCCAGGAGGCGGAGGTTGCAGTGAGCTGAGATCGTAGCACTGCACTCTGTAGCCTGGGTGACAGAGCGAGACTCTGTCTCAAAAATAAATAAATAAATAAATGAAATAAAAGGGAATGAGGGAGAAGCTTTGATCCAGGTAGTGGTATGGGATATTCAGATCTATCCCTTTCCCCAAAGTCTGGGAACTGCTGGTAATTGACTGTTAGTCGAGCAAGGAAGCAGCTAGCATGAGGCTTGGGAGGAGTTAATTGTGGGGGAGAGAAAGGGCTGCAGATCATACCAACTAAGCTTGGTAGTAGTGGATTAGAAGATGAGACCAATTTGGATGCAGTCATAATTTTTTTCTTTTTTTTTGAGACAGAGTCTCGCTTTGTCACCCAGGCTGGAGTGCAATAGTGTGATCTCAGCTCACTGTAACCTCCGCCTCCCGGGTTCAAGCAGTTCTTCTGCCTCAGCCTCCCAAGTAGCTGGGACTACAGGCGCACACTACCACACCCGACTAATTTTTTGTGTTTTTAGTGGAGATGGGGTTTCACCATCTTGGCCAGGCTGGTCTTGAACTCCTGACCTTGTGATCCACCTGCCTAGGCCTCCCAAAGTGCTGGGATTACAGACATGAGCCACTGTGCTCGGCCTTTTTCTTTTTTTTTTAGAGACAGAGTATTGCTCTCTCACCCAGGCTGGAGTGCAGTGGCACCATCATAGCTCACTGCAGCCTTGAGCACCCAGGCTCAAGTGAGTCTCACTCCTCAGCCTTCTGAGTAGCTGGGACTACAGGCAGAGCTGCTACACTCAACTTTTTTTTTGAGACAGAGTCTTGCTTTGTCACCCAGGCTGGAGTGCAGTGCACAATCTTGGTTCACTGTAACCTCCGCCTCTTGGGTTCAAGCAATTCTTCTACCTCATCCTCCCAAGTAGCTGGGACTACAGGCGCACATCACCATGCCTGGCTAATTTTTGTATTTTTAGTAGAGATGGGGTTTCACTATGTTGGCCAGGCTGGTCTCGGACACCTAACCTCAGGTGATTTGCCTGCCTCGGCCTCCCAAAGTGCTGGGATTAAAGGTGTAAGCCACTATACCCAGCCTCTTTTTTAAATTTTTATATCTTTTTTTAATTTTTATATAGAGATGGGGTCTTGTATGTTGTCCAGGCTGATCTTAAACTCCTGGTCTCAGGTACTCCTTCTGTCTTGGCCTTCCAAAGTGTTTTACATACGTGAGCTACCATGCCCAGCTTATAATTATAATAACTAACACCTTATTGAATGTTTATTGTGAGCCTAATGTGGTTCTAAGTGCTTACATGTAAAACAACGACTCTTTGAGGTAGTTACTCTATTGTTACTATTTGTTTATGGAAAAGGAAGATGAGGCACAGAGAGGTTAAATAACTTACCCTTATTTGTACAGCTAGATAGTGGGATGGATCTGTGATTTGAGCCCTACCGGTCCAACTCCAGAGTATGCACTCTGTACTGTTTCTGAGTAAGGAGGATGGAAAGACATGTACAGATTTTTAAAATATTAAAGAAGAATCAATAGGACTTGATAACTGGCTGTGAGGAAGGAAGCAAAAGTAAGAGAAGGATGCCCCTTAATTTTCTGGCTTGGACAACTGGGAGGGCCCTGAAAGTTGGATTGGGGAACATCAAAGGGAAAAGCAGAGACAACATAGGAAACTGATGAGGCTGGGTGTGGTGCCTCACACCTGTAGTCCCAGGTGTGGATCACTTGAGCCTGGGAGTTGAAAGATTAGCCTGAGCAACATGGCAGAATCCCACCTCTATATTAACTACAAAAATTAGCTGGGCATTGTGGCTCATGCCTGTAGTCCCAGCTACTTGGGAGGCTCAGGTAGGAGGATCACTTGAACTTGTGAGGTTGAGGCTGCAGTGAGCCATGATTGTGCCACTGCACTCCAACCTGGGTGACAGAGCAAGAACATGTCTCAAAAAAAAAAAAAAAAAAAAAAAAACTGAAGGTGATGAGTTCACTTTGGGATGCATTAATTTTGAAGTTACTTTGAGCCGTTGAATAGGGAGTTGGATATTCTATTCTGAATCTCAGTAAGTGCTGGGCTAGAATTAGTGATTTAGTAGCCATTAGCCTATAGGCAGTGGTTGAAACCATGGGAGTAAATATCCTGTTTACCTTTTAGCTTCTCTGTAACAGGGAATAGATTTTTAAGCTTACGTTGCTTGCCTCCTTCCTTTATTTATTTATTAAGCAAACTTTATCAGATCCCTATTATGTACAGAGCAACTAAATTAGGAGCTGGAGATCTATATATGAATAAACTCAAAAATGTGTTTTTAAATTGCATGTGATCCATCTGGAGAGATAGAAAATCAGTCACGATACTGCTGTGCATGTGTAAAATAGAAGTTTGTGCAAAATGCAGTGGAAATGTAGAGAAGAGACTGGCTGCTTATGAGACTGGTGGGGAGATGTCACAAAGTAGCATTTGCCATAGATCTTAAAGAAAGATTTGCCCTTTCTTAGAAACAGGGGATAGGGATGGACATTCTAGGTAGAGTGAATAGCATATGCTGAGGTATGTAGGCCTGAAAGAAATCTGTGTCCACGACTGGGCACAGTGGCTCATGCCTGTAATCCCAACACTTTGGGAGGCTGAGATGGGTAGATCACTTGAGTCCGTGAGTTCGATACTAGTCTGGGTAACAAGGCAAAATTCCATCTCTACAAAATACAAAAATTAGTCGGCCATGGTGGTACATAACTGTAGTCCCAACTGCTCAGCGGGGCTAAGGTAGGAGGATCACCTGAGCCCGACGAGGTTGAGGCTGCAGTGAGCTGTGATCTGCACTCTACTCCAGACTGTGCCAGAAATCTGTGTGCAAGAAATGGTGAGCAGTTCAGTGTGGCTGCATTGTAGGGTGCAGTGCTAAGTACACATGCCTGGCGAGGAGAATACAAGGCAGGTGATGGCCGTATTATGAAGGTCTCTTTATGTTCATAACCAGTAGTTAGTATTTGATCCTCATGTTAGTGGGGAGCCAGTGGAGGGACTTGATATAATCATATTTGTGGGTTTTTTCTCTAAACCTCTTCTTTGATTTTTCAAGTAGGCTTCTAATATTTTTCTTTTTAAACCTTCTTCCTGCACACTGAAGGCTCCTAATTTTTAAGGTCAGTTGTTTCTCTTAGTGACCAAAATAAAAACCAAATGAGTTTCCCCATACTTGGTCTACCTCAGTGTGGATTCTCTGTTCTCAGTGTCTGAAGTCCTTAGCTTTCAGTTACTTGAGTTTAGTCAAGAATTTGTTGAAAGCAGTTATCCTGTGTGTGCTCTCATCCTTCTTTCAGTCAGCAGTTCTCTACTTTTGGTGCAGTTCACATACCTGCTCTTTTTGATGTTGTCACAAATACTTCGTCTGGGTTTACTGCTCACTTGGCATTTGTTTGGTTCTCGTGACCAGGAAAGTGTAAAAGAACCATGACAACCATATTTACTTTTTTTCTGGGTTTGACCTTGATTTCAGCGTGGAGCTAGCTGTCCCTGATACCTTGGCATAAAAGGGAAAGTCTTTCATTGTAATTTGCCAGTTAAAAGTTCCCAGAATAAGGTTACTCAATGGGCTTGCAGAAGCCTGAGGGGAAACTCTGACTAGTTGAGCTGACACAGTCAACGCTTTCTCCATACAGGCCTGCAGAGATTTCCTCATGTTAGCCCAGACCCATAGTAAAAAATGGCAAAAGTCACTACAGTATGAAAGAGACCAGCGTATCCGACTGGAAGAAACCCTCGAGCAGCTGGCGAAGCAGCATAATCACCTGGAGAGGGCCTTCCGAGGAGCCACGGTGCTGCCGGCAAACACTCCTGGCAATGTGGGTTCTGGTAAAGGTAAGACACTTAGCTCTCAGGTAGCCTGGTCTAAGGTGAGCCAGATGGTTTTCTGCAGTTGATAGGAGAACTCCAAACTCTTCACAGTCAATGAGTCATGTGAAATGGAATTGGAACCCATTGATTTATTCTGGATTTTCCACTGCTTTCTACCATTTTTTGCTGTGTTTGTGGTTAGTATTTAAAAGAACTTGCTATATCAGACATTTGGTAAAGATAACCAAAGTCAACAAATGGGGCTTTTCTTCTTGTAGATCAGTGCTGCTCTGGCAAAGGGGACATGAGCGATGAAGATGATGAGAATGAATTTTTTGATGCACCTGAGATCATCACCATGCCTGAAAATTTGGGCCACAAGTGAGTTATCCTTGATTGTTGAAGCAAATAAACATATCTTCACCATCAATATGGTGGTATTTTAGCATCATATTTTAACCATCAAAAGGTTAAAAACATTTCAGTGAGAGTATTATAATTGTCAATATTGAATCTGGGCCCTTTTCCCTTTTTTTTTTTTTTTTTTTGTCTCAAGATCTCTTTGTAGAATGGGCCCTTTTTCTTAAGTAAGTGAAAAAATGTCAGCTTTTTTACGTAAACAAATTCTCCAGAGATACTTAAATTCATTCCTACTCTAAATGTCGTCATTTGATCACCCATCAATAAGTTTATACAGTGTACTTGGCATTCTGCTTTGTAAAGAAATGTCCAGGACCACACTCTAGTTCTGGTCTTTGTTCTAATTCTCCTGTGTTTCCCATCTGTACAGACGTACTGGCAGCAATATCAGTGGAGCCAGCAGTGACATCAGCCTTGATGAACAGGTAATTCTTATATGGGAGATCTCAGAGGTGAGGGACGTGGGTTGTGATTCCCAAGGATTTTTTTTTTTTTTTTGTGAAGTGCTAAGAGAAACTGATTTTTTTTTCTTTTTTTAGCACGGGGGAAGGGAAGGTTATAAATACCAGGTTTTCTGTTCTTTGTGGGTGGTTGAATGGCTTTGTTTTGCTCTCAGTACAAGCATCAGCTGGAGGAGACCAAAAAGGAAAAGAGAACCAGAATACCATACAAGCCAAACTATAGCCTCAATTTATGGAGCATCATGAAGAACTGCATTGGAAAAGAACTCTCTAAGATCCCCATGCCGGTAAGGTTCTTGCACACTGGAGCTGCTGCCAGGAGTTCCTCTCAAGCCTCAGTGGGAAGAGTGCTGATATGACAGCCCCACCCACTTGTGCGGCAGTTTGTGGCATGGTCTTTTTTACCTTTATAATCATAAACTGTTCCATAAATTTAGCTGCTTTAATTTTGGCTCTGGATCTGATATGTTCCCAGATCACCTAGAATCAGATGTATATGCTCAGTAGCAGTTATTTTTGAGCAAATTCCTATGCTAGATGCACTGGGGACATGCAAAGATAAATACATCATAGTTTCTGTTTTCAAGAAGTGTGTAGTTTAAAAGAGACAGACATGAAAACAGGTAGAAAACATTATTTTCTGTGATAGTATTATGGAAAGTACGACACAGACAAAGGCTTAGGGAACACAGAAGCAAAAATCGCTCATTCAAACCAGACAGATGACCATCCCCATGGCAAAGATGGTGTTTGGGCTGACCTCTCTGCCCCGTCATGTCTTCCTCCAGTCTGTCTACACTGTTGTCAGAGTGATTTTTGAAAAATGTCAAATGTAGTCATGTCAGTCCTCAGCTGAAAATCCTTTACTGGATCTTCATTGCTTTCATCATAGTCCAGATACCTTAGGGGGCTTGGTAACTCCTCCCCATGGGCGAGGCTCTACCCCACGCATCCCAAGTTCTAGTCATTAGGATTTCCTTCAGGCATCCTGTCCTTTCCCTCAGGGCATTTGTACACACTGCTCTTTCTGCCTAGACTTTTGTCAGTTCCCTATTAACACTTGCCACTTTTTTTCTGCTGTGGCTAATACCCATTTCTTGAGGATGCAGCTATAGTGTGTCTTTTTCAGCAAACCTCCAGTGCATCCTGTCAGGATGAAATGTCTCTCCTTTGTGTTCCAACAAGTTCCACTGTTGATGGTGTAAACAGTGTGTATCACTGCTTGTTCATTTCACAAGCATTTTCTGGGTGCCTACTATTTGCCTGATGTTGCGCTAGTTTTCAGTTAGGTATAGAAGATATAGGTTCAATTTATTAAAGAAACAAATTCATGGGGCCAACTGTGGGGTTGGGGAGACAAAAAAAAAAATTCAAAATATATCAGTTTAAGCCAGGGGTCATCACACTAAGGCCCTCAGGCCAACTCTGGCTACCATCTAAGAAGCATAATAGTTTGTGATGTGAAAATTAGATGAATTCAGTTGTTAACATCCATGACATTTTATAGGAGCACAATGATACTCTTTCATTTACGTATCATCTGCAGCTGCTTTCATCCTATAACAGCAGTGTTAAGTGGTTGTGACAAAGACCATATGGCCCTCAAAGCCTAAATATTTGCTATCCAGCCCTTTGCAGAAAAAGTTGTCAACCTCTGCCTTAAACAAATGTTGGCTTAACTCATTATGTTCAAGCCCAGAAGTAGGTGGTCCAGGGCTAGTGCCATACTCTATGGTGTCAGAGCCAGGCTTCTTTCTGTCCTGGGGCTCTGCTGCCTTTGGCCTCAGTCCTCAGGCCCAAAGTGGCTGCTCCAGCTTGAGTCATCAGAGCCTTATTCCAGCTAGCCGGAAAATGGAAAAAGAGGAAAGGCTGTACCATTTAAGGGTGCATCCTGGCTGGGTGCGGTGGCTCATGCGTGTAATCCCAGCACTTTGGGAGGCCAAGGCACGTGCATCACTTGAGGTCAGGAGTTCAAGACCAGCCTGGGCAAAATGGTGAAACCCTGTCTCTACTAAAAATACAAAAGTTAAACGGGTGTGGTGGTGCACACCTCTAGTCCCAGATACTCGGGAGGGTGATGCAGGAGAATTGCTTGAACCCAGGAGGCAGAGGTTGCAGTGAGCTGAGATCGCACCACTATACTCCAGCCTGGGTGACAGAGCTAGACTCTGTCTCAAAAAACCAAGAAGATACTTCCTGGAAGTTGCATAAATCACTATCACTTAAATCTGTGTGGCTAAAACTTAGCTATATGGCCACAGTTAGCTGGAGAGAAGGCTAGAAATGAAGACTTCTGTTCTGGATGGCATGGCCTTGTGAAAAATTAAGGGTTCTACCAGTTGTAGAAGAATGGAAGAATGGATGGTGGGGATGGGCGAGTGGCTACAGGTTTTGTCCACAGCCAGCTACTAAGCCTACAAAAATACAGAAGGCATTCTCCCTACCCTCTTGAAGCTATGGACCAATGTGTGGTTTCTGCCTCTTCATAGACTGCGTTCCTTGTGATCAGGGGCTACGTCTTGATGGTGTTTATAACCTTGATGCTTAGCCCTGTGCCTGGCATGTATAAATCATTTAGCAAATGTCGAAGTAATTAACTGGGTCTTGGAAAACAAATAGGTTTATGTACAAATATGTAGAATTTTTGTTAGAGAAGTGTTGGGCTGGGTGCAACGCAACACTTGGGAGACTGAGGCAGGAGGACTGCTTGAGTCCAAGACTTCAAGACCAGTCTGGGCAACGTGGGGAGACCCTGTCTCTAAAATAATAAAAAATTCGGCTGGGCACAGTGGCTCATGCCTGTAATCCTAGCGCTTTGGGAGACCAAGATGGGTGGATTGTCTGAGCTCAGGAGTTCGAGACCAGCCTAGGCAACATGGTGAAACCCTGTCTCTACTAAAATAGAAAAAATTAGTGGGGCATGGTGGCACGAGCCTGTAGCCCCAGCTACTCAGGATGCTGAGGCATGAGAATGGCTTGAACCCTGGAGGCAGAGGTTGTAGTGAGTCGAGATGGTGCCACTACATTCCAGCCTTGACAACAAGCGAGACTGTCTCTCAAAACAAAATAGTAATAAGTTAGCCAGCATGGTTATGTGTGCCTGTAGTCCCAACTACTTGGGAGGCTAAGGTGGGAGGATCACTTGAGACCGGGAGGTTGAGGCTGCAGTGAGCCATGATCTCACCACTGCACTCCAGCCTGGGTGAGAGCAAGACCCTGTCTCAAAAGAAAAAAAGGTTGACCTTCAGATAAGAAAAGGCCATGAGTAGCCTTAGGATAAACCTAAAATAATAATTAGTTTATTGGGGGCTTGAAAAGAAACCCCACTTGTCTGGAGTATTAGGTGCCTTGAAGGGAGTAGTGGGAAAGTGGACTGGAAAGGCATGTCATTGCAGTCTCAGGAATGTAGTTCCTGCTTAGAAACAGCTTCTGGTGCCATGCGCGGTGGCCCACACCTGTAAAAAAATCCCAGCACTTTGGGAGGCTGAGGCAGGCGGATCACTTGAGGTCAGGAGTTCGAGACCAGCCTGGCCAACATCTCTCTAAAAATATAAAAATTAGCCGGGCATGTTGGCGCGCGTCTGTAATCCTAGCTGCTTGGGAGGCTGAGGCAGGAGAATTGCTTGAATCTGGGAGGCGGAGATTGCAGTGAGCCAAGATTGTGCCACTGCACTCCAGCCTGGGCAACAGAGTGAGACTCCATCTCAAAAAAAAGAAAGAAATAGCTTCTGGGTCTAGGTGACTTCTCTGTCCTCCTTTACCATTAGTTCCTTATTGATCTTGCCTTTAAGAATGTACAGTCCTGTACCTGTTTGCCCGCAGATCAAGTCCTCACCCTTCCCCTACTCTAGGCTGTAACACAGGAAAACTAATCCCTCTAGGAAGTGTTTTTTCAGGCTTCCGTGGCTACTGGAGTCTGGCTGGGCTTCACTAATGCAAGATACCAGTAGGAGGTTATAGCCGTGGGAAGTCTCTCCCTCTATGCCCTCTTGAGTGGTGCTCTGGCGCACCTACGTGGCTCTAGTTTTCACTGGAGAGGCCTCCCCTGCCTTGATGTTTTACATTCTCCTGATCCTCCTCTCTTGGACCCCCACCTCTAGGCTGTAGTAATACTGCTGCTTCTCCCCATCTCTCCACCCTACCAATGGTTATGGCTTCCTGTTGCTGCTAATCTCTGGGTTGTCTTTTTTTTTTTTGGGTGCCTAATTTTTCATCAGCTGTATAGCTCCCTGCTTCCTTCTACTTTAAATACTCAGACTCATTTCTTTCCCTGTTTGGCTTTTGAGTAATAAAATGACCATTATAAGAAGCTTGGCACTTTTGGAGAAACTGGTTGTTGATGGGCAAGGCTGTGTGTGTGTGAAAAGCAGTGATAGCAATGTGCTGATTCTAGTCCCATGCACTGCTGGTATGTCTAGTACCACCAGTGGAGTACACTGCCTGTCCCCAGTTTTCCTCAAAATGTATGGAAATGTTACTTCGTATTGTCTAAATTCTGCCACGGACAGATTTTATTGGGTGTAGTTAATAAGTGCCCTCTTTAAAAAGAATCGAGGATTATGGCTTTTGCAGCGCGCCACCCCTCAGTGTGCATTTGTGTCATCATACTGCTTGTCTTTCAGTGTAGGGAAGAGGGCTCTGGGGTATGGCACACTGTTTTGGTGGGTCCTATTTCTCAAAGGATGAGTGTTGTTGGCTCTGTGGCTCTGTGTTCACTGGAAAATGTTCACAGAGAAACATTTGGGATATTTCTCAGAGAAAAAGCAGGCTCTAGTTTATGAATTTTATTTATTTATTTATTTATTTATTTATTTATTTATTTATTTATTTATTTATTTTTAGACAGAGTCTCGCTCTGTTGCCCAGGCTGGAGTGCAGTGGCATGATCTTGGCTCACTGCAACTTCTGCTTCCTGGGCTCAAGCCATCATCCCACCTCAGCCTCCCAAGTAACTGAGACTACAGGTGCACGCCACCACACCGTGCTAATTTTTGTGTTTTTTTTTTATAGAGATGGTGTTTTGCCATGTTTCCCAGGCTGGTCTCAAACTGCTGAGCACAAGCAATCCGCTTGCCTCAGCCTCTCAAAGTGCTAGGATTGTAAGCATGAGCCACCACACGTGGCCAAGTTTATTACTTTTAAAAATGTATGAATGTATAGAAACAAACTGAAAATGTTAATAGTGGTGATCTCATTTCAAGAAAATTTTTTCCTTGATACTTTGTTTTCAAAGTTTTTTACAGTTAAAAATTATACGATATTAATTTCATGATTGAGCGGGCGGTGGGGGGATAGCAAATATTAGGGTAATATGTAGCTCAGAGATTGGTGGGTAGAAGGGTGAACAAAAATGCCAAAAGAGATGGAACATCAGAAAGAAAAGTGTTGTGTTTTTTTTGTTTGTTTAAGTAAAGCGTTGCTTAAGGCCAGAACCATTCACTAAAAGGGAATTTTTTCTTTCTTCTTTTGTTCTCTGGACTTAGAACTCAGGCTAATAATATTTAGACTTGTTCATCTATATTGTTAATTAAATAAGCTTTATGGACTAACTTGGGAACCTGACTTGTTTTATAGTGAATTTTTACATAGTAAAATCATTTAAAATTTCAAAGTTAATTTTGAAGCTGACTTTTTTAGGGAGTAGAAGGGTGGGGAGCATGAACAATGTTTCTCACTCCCTACCCCTCCACTCCCCAAAAAAGTCAGCTTCTCTTGTTAACTTCTCTCTATCCAGTGGGTAGCATAGGGTCTGGCACACATGGGTACTCAATAAATATTTGTGGAATGAGTAAGTGAATAAATGAATGAATGAACATCTCCCCCAACAGAAGCCCCCAATTCCTGGCACACACACATAAACACACACATGCTTGCTTTATCCAGTACTTGGTCGCCTTAAGCTGGCTTCAGAATTAGAAAGGTAAGAGCATGCACAGCCCCCTCTCAACCCCCATCATGAGCACTTCACTCCCAGAAACACAATTATCCAGCCTCAGAGGAGAAATCAGAATCCTGGCCTGATGCAGAACTGAACTGAGATTTAGCAATTGTTTTGTCCAGGGTGGAAACTAACTTTTATAACTAGTCAGGATATAGCTGTACTTATAATTTACTACTGTTTCTTTCATTCTCCAAGAATTTTAAATACCTGATTTCCTCTCTGGGTATACTTGTGCTAAAATACATTGCATTTCTTTTTTAAAAAACTTATTCATCCAACACCTATTTGATGATAGTCTTCTGTGGGCCAGTCACTGATGGATCTTGGGTATGTAGCACTCAACAGAAGAGGCATGGTTCCCATCTCAAAGAGCTTACAGTTAGTGAAATGAAAACAGTGATTTCTGCCACTCACAGACATGAACAGTTGACAAGGAGAATGGGTTGTTTGCGGGTTAAATATTAGAGCCGCTCTACTGAGCAAAGCCCTCTTTTCCCAGTGATTTATTTCCTAAACTGCAAAAAAAATTAAACTGTCTCTTATAGATGAGTGAGCATAGTTTTTATATCTGTTCTTCTCCTTACAGGTAAACTTTAATGAGCCCTTGTCCATGCTTCAGCGCCTTACTGAAGATCTGGAATACCATGAGCTGTTAGACCGAGCTGCAAAATGTGAGAATTCTCTAGAACAGCTCTGTTATGTTGCAGCTTTCACCGTGTCCTCCTACTCCACTACTGTCTTCCGCACCAGTAAGCCATTCAACCCACTGCTTGGGGAGACCTTTGAGCTGGACCGATTAGAGGAGAATGGGTACCGATCCCTCTGTGAACAGGTAAAGGAACCTCAGAACCATAACGCATTTCCTTTCTGAAGAAAGAGATGATTTTTTGGTTAATCCCCTGGGTCTTATGTTTGCAGAAATTCTAGTCCCTGTCATCCCAGCTTTTATTCTTTTTCTTCAGAACGTCAGCGTTGGAGACCCTGGAGGTTCTGGGATTCACCTACTGTTGTGGGTGTAAAAACGTCAAGTGTGAATTTTGGTGTTTCTCACCAATTTATAGGCAGTATCTTTTTCTTCTCCTTTCTGCCGTCTTAATTTGAACCTGATTTCTTCAAGGTGAGTCATCATCCCCCTGCTGCTGCGCACCATGCTGAGTCCAAAAATGGCTGGACATTGCGTCAGGAAATCAAAATCACCAGCAAGTTTCGAGGCAAATACCTCTCCATTATGCCCCTCGGTAAGGTTACCATCTTTGTCAGAATTAATGCTCCTGGAATGAAAGGTTTTCTGGCACGATGGAGGAGGTCACTGGCTAAAGAGTCAGGAGACAGGAGGTCTGATTCGAGCACTGACCCTCACTAACTGGCTTTGGGCAGGTATTTAACTTTTCAGCTATCAAATGAGTGTGGAGGCTAGAAACTCTTTAAGGACCCATCTAGTCCTAAATTCTTTATCCTCTTAGCTATATTTAACGCATCTCTAAGCACTATTTAGAACACAAGTTCTAGCATGCATTAAAAAAAAAAATTCTGTCTCTTAACTGGTGGTGTTTTCTTCCTTACTTTGGCAGTCAGGTTCTCTCTGTAAATCAGAACTCATGATTGCAAGGTTAGGTTTCTTAGCTAATCCTTCCGCTTTCTCCTCTCCTTCCTCCCTTTTCCTCCACCTGATGGGTTAGGTATCATTTATGTAATGGCTGAATTCTAGGTCACTGAAACTTTATTTTAAAAAGATCTTACTTGGGGCTGGGCACAGTGCCTCACCCCTGTAATCCTAGCACTTTGGGAGGCCAGGGCAGGCAGATTGTCTGAGCTCTGGAGTTCAAGACCAGCCTGGGCAACATGGTGAAACCCTGTCTTTACTAAGAATACAAAAAAATTAGCTGGGTGTGGTGGTGCACACCTGTAGTCTCAGCTACTCGGGAGGCTGAGGCACAAGAATTGCTTGAACCCGGGAGGCGGAGGTTTCAGTGAGCTGAGATTGCACTATTGCACTCCAGCCTGGACTGTAGAGTGAAACTCTATCTCAAAAAAAAAAAAAAGGAAAAACCCAAAAAACAAAAACTCTTATTGGATTACAAGTTAATTTTGTGTCAGGATCAGTCCTGGGAATGGAATCCTAGTATACAATGTTAGAGATCCTATACCTTAGAAGAAATCCAGTTATTCAAAAAGTATGGTAGAGCTTCTCAATGCTTTCTTGAACTAGAGCAACCATGTTTGGCCAAGTGTGTGCTGAAGAGTAAAAGCTGCTCTACAAAAAGAGATCAAAGCACAAAGCAGTTAGAGAAAACAAGTAGCTCCCAAGAGACAGAGCTTACCATAACTCCCTGAGCTCCTGGTGGCTTTCCATTTCCAGGTTCTAGTCTTTCACGAGGTATAGCTACAGTTCTTAAATATTGCAATATAGACTGCTTCTTTAATGAATTCACCTTTGCTCAGAAACACAAATGCAGCAAACATAGTGCAAACTAGAAATTAGCCAGAAAAAAAGTTCATAAATGTTTTCTAACATATGTAAAGGGAGAAAAGAAATTGCAGTGTTACCTCTAATTTCATGGTTAATATGCAGAAGGTCCCTAAACGAAAAGGAGACTAAGTGATACATCAGTCTTGATCTTTACCAAGGACCTTTAAAAAGCTTCTACATGCTTAATTGTCTTTGCAGCTAACAATTTCAGAAGTATTAGCTTAAGAGTAGTAAATGCCTGAGATGTTAACATCTTATTTGCAGAATTTGGGTGTCAGTGGCCGTATTGCAATGTGATGTTTCACCATAGAGAAGAGTTTCAGAGGCCCCTTGAGGATCTCTAAAGGGAAGAATTATATTTCATTCCATGGGTGGTTAGGTACAGTCAGCCATCCATACCTGGGTATTCTGCATTCATGGATTCAACCAACCTTGGACTGAGAGTACTGGGGGCCAGGTGTGGTGGCTCATGCCTGTAATCCCAGCACTTTGGGAGGCCGAGGCAGGCGGATCACCTGAGGTCAGGAGTTTGAGACCAGCCTGGCCAACATGGTGAAACCCCGTCTCTACTAAAAATACAAAAATTAGCCAGGCGTGGTGGTGGGTGCCTGTAATCCCAGCTACTCAGGAGGCTGAGGCAGGAGAATTGCTTGAACCCAGGAGGCGGAGGTTGCAGTAAGCTGAGATCACGCCATTTCACTCCAGCCTGGGCGACAAGAGCAGAACTCCTCAAAAAAAAAAAAAGGAAAAGAAAATACTGAGGGGGAAAATAATAAAAAATAATGATACAAAAAAAGACCAAAAAATATATAATACCTATTTATATAGCATTTATATTGTATTATGTATTATAAGTAATCTAGAGATGATTTAAAGTATACAAGGGAGAGGAATGTGTAGGTTAGATGCAGATACTTTGCACCATTTTATATCAGTGACTTGACCAAATTGTGGTATCTGCAGGGTGTTCTGGAACCAATCTCTCACAAATACCAAAGGAAGAGTATTCATCTAAAAGATAACAATAAACTTAACTAATAAAATATTGTACATTTTCTCTATAATTTGACTAATCTAGGTTTCTTTGAGGAATGAATATATGAACATGGTATAGATGGTGGATCTAATTTTTTTTCTAATTTTTAGTAATTTGTTAAAGATCTAATTTTTTAAAGTTAAAACATTTATCCTAGGGAGACTTCATTTTAAAAATAAATTAAATAACAGGAAAACAAAATTAATTAAAAAGAAAACAATTTGATAGTATTTGCATTCCTATGCTTATTTAAGAATTTGGATCACCGGGATCCTGTTAAGTTCCTCCACATATCACCTGCTTAACTGAGTATCTGCCACATGGCGGGCATCGTTCTCAGTGTTTGGGAAATGTAAGTGAACAAAACAAAAATCCCCATCTTCATGGGGAGATTGAAGAAAGAATTGACTTTGTGATAGGAAGCTGAATATAGAAATCTAAAGAATGGAATTTCTAGGTATTTGCCCTGGAGATGGCTGTATTTAACACTTTTTGGCTCAGTGGCTTGGAAGGCGAATCATGTAGTGAAATTTTTACATTTGCCATGGCACTCAATTCTCAGAGAGAAAATTATTGTTAAGCCAGTAGATATAGCTGAAGAAAAATATATGGACAGGGTTGTGAGTAAGTGAGCAGATAGATGACTGGCAGTTTAATACACTGCTCCAGTGTATTCAGCATAAAGTAAGGCATCTAGGGAAAAGTCGTTCAAACTTTTATGTTGATAATTGAAGTAGCATTTGTTGAGTGCTCATTATGGGTCAGCCATTGATATAAGTGCTTTTCATGTATTAACTCATTCAGGCCCAACAATAATTCTATGAGATAGACACCTTTATTGCCATTTTTTAAACAAAGAAAACTAAGCATAGATAGGTTGGGTTGTCAGGGTCAACTTAACCAGCTAGTATGTGATCTGAGTTGAGGCAATCTGGCTTCAGGGACCCCTGTCATTATCGCTAGGCTGTACTGAAAAGGAGAGACTACAAGCCATCAGTTACAATTACAGTGCAAAAAGGACACTGAAGACATCAGCCTAATAGTCTCACTGAGGTCTGACAAGATAAGGCAGTTTTAAGGTTATTTGGTAGCAGGACAACTTTGTACAAAATTGTGGTTCTGTTAACTCCACTTTGAAAAAGTCATAGCCATGACTGAAGAAAATCTAATACCAATGAAAGTGCCTAAAGATATTTGGAGGCAGTGACAATGAGTGAGTCTCCCTATAAAATAGGCTAAAAAGATTAGAACCCTTGACATTTGGAAAGAAGAATGCTTCTAGAAAATATAACTGAAGTTTCCAAATAATGAAGGCTATTTTAAGGAGCAAATATGAATTTCTTTTTTTTTTTTGAGACTGAGTCTTGCTCTGTCACCCAGGCTAGAGTGCAGTGGCGCAATCTCGGCTCACTGCAACCTCCTCCTCCTGGGTTCAAGCGATTCTCCTGCTTCAGCTTCCGGAGTAGCTGGGATTACAGGTGCCCGCCACCGCACCCAGCTAATTTTTGTATTTTTGGTAGAGACAGGGTTTCACCATGTCGACCAGGCTGGTCTCAAACTCCTGACCTCATGATCCGCCCACCTTGGCCTCCCAAAGTGCTGGGATTACAGGCGTGAGCCACCATGCCCAGTGCAAATAAGAATTTCTTCATCGAGTTCTAGGATATAGAAACTAGCTGATATGCTTGAAGTTTAAAAAGGTGCATTTATTTTTATTTATTTATTTATTTTTTTTGAGACAAAGTCTTGCTGTGTTGCCCAGGCTGGAGGGCAGTGGTGCAATCTCTGCTTATTGCAACCTCCGCCTCCCAGGCTCATGCAATTCTCCTGCCTCAGCCTTCCAAGTAGGTGGGATTACAGGTGCCCGCCACCACACCCAGCTAATTTTTATATTTTTAGTAGAGACTGGGTTCCACCATGTTGGCCAGGCTGGTCTCGAACTTCTGATCTCAAGTGATCCACCTGCCTTGGCCTCCCAAAGTGCTGGGATTACTGGCGTGAGGCACCACCACGCCTGGCCAAAAAGATACATTTAATTAAGACTATTGGCACAGATGCAGTGGCTCATGCCTGTAATCCCAACACTTTGGGAGGCCAAGGCAGGAGGATCACTTGGGCCCAAGAGTCTGATACCAGCCTAGGCAACATAGGGAGACCCCCATCTCTACAAAAAAAAAAAAAAAAGAATGATTGCTTTGGCAGTCTTTTGCTTTCAGCATTTTGCATATATTATCCCACTGCCTTCTGGCCTCTATGACTTATTTTTCTTTTTGTCCTTTTTCCAATTTTTGTTTCTTATTTTTTTATTTTTATTACTTATTTTATTTTTTTCAGACGGAGTCTCGCTCTGTCACCCAGGCTGGAGTGCAGTGGTGTGATCTTGGTTCACTGCAACCTCCCGCTCCTGGGTTCAACTGATTCTCCTGCCTCAGCTTCCTGAGTAGCTGGGACTACAGGCGTGCACCACCACACCTGGCTAACTTTTGTATTTTAGTAGACACGGGGTTTCTCCATGTTGGCCAGGCTGGTCTTGAACTACTCACTTCAAGTGATCCACCTGCTTCGGCCTCCCAGAGTGCTGGAATTACAGGCATGAGCCACTGCGCCCAGCCTCCAATTTTTTAATTGTAAAATACACATAACATAAAATTTAGCACCTTACCCATTCTTAAGTGTACTGGTCAGTGGTATTAAATACATAATGTTGTGCAACCATCACCACCCTCCATCTCCAAAACTCTTGATCTTGTAAAACGGGAACTCTATATACATTAAAAAATAATTTTTTTTTTTTTTTTTTGAGACCGAGTCTCACTCTCTCACCTAGGCTGGAGTGCAGTGGCATGATCTCAGCTCACTGCAACCTCCACCTCCCAGGTTCAAGCGATTCTTGTGACTCAGCCTCCCGAGTAGCTGGGATCACAGGTACCCGCCTCCACACCCGGCTAATTTTTGTGTTGTTTTAGTAGAGATGGGGTTTCACCATGTTGGCCTGGCTGTTCTTGAACTCCTGACCTCAAGTGATCCATCTGCCTTGGCCTCCCAAAGTGCTGGGATTACAGGCATGAGCCACCACACCCAGCCAAAAAATAATTTTCTATTCTCCCTCCCCAAACCCTGGAACCCACTATTCTACTTTCTGTCTCTATTTTAACTACTTTAATTATCTCCTATAAGTGGAATCATATAGTTTTTGTCTGTTTGTGACTGGCTTGTTTCACCTAACGTAATGTCATCAAGGTTCATCCGTGTTGTAGCAAATGTCAGAATTTCCTTTCATTTTAAGGCTGAATAATATTTATCCTATTGTGTGTATGTACACATTTTGCTTATCCATTCATCTGTTGATGGACTCTTGGATTGCTTCCATGTTTTAGCTATTGTGAGTAACACTGCTGTGAACATGGATGTACAAATACCCTTTCATCTCTTTGCCTAAAGTCTTAAGAAAAAAAAATGTTTAAAAAACAACAAATATCTCTTTAAGACCCTGCTTTCAGTTCTTTGCAGTATATACCAGAAATGGAATTGCTGGATCACATGGCAATTATATTCTTAGTTTTTTGAGCAAACTACCATACTGTCTTCGACAATGGTTATACATTCCCACCAACAGTGCACAAAGGTTCCGGTTACTCCATATCCTTGCCAACACTTTTTAAAAATGTATCATAGCTATCCTAATGGATGTGAGGTAGTATCTCATTGTGGTTTGACATGCATTTATCTAATAATTAGTGTTGTTGAGCACTTTTTTATGTACTTACTTATCATTTGTATATCTTTGGAGGAATACCTATTCAAGTCCTTTGCCCTTTTTCTTTTTTTTTTTTTGACATGGAGTCTCGCACTGTCATCCAGTCTGGAGTGCAGTGGCGCAGTCTTGGCTCACTGCAACCTCCACCTCTTGGGTTCAGGTGATTCTCCTGCCTAAGCCTCCAGAATAGCTGGGATTACAGGCCCCCTGCAACACACCCGGCTAATTTTTTGTATTTTTAGTAGAGACTTAGTTTCACCATGTTGGTCAGGCTGGTCTTGAACTCCTGACCTCAAGTGATCTGCCTGCCTCGGCTTCCCAAAGTGCTGGGATTACAGGCGTGAGCTGCCGTACCCAGCCTCCTTTCCCCACTTTTGACTTGAGTTCTTTAGCTTTTTTTTGTTGTTGAATTTTAGGAGTTCTCCGTATATTCTAGATATTAATCCCTTATCAGATATATGATTTGCAAATATTTTCTCCAATTTCTAGAGGCTACATTTTTACTCTGTTGCTATTGTCATTTATTGCACAAATTTTTTTTAATGTTCAGGAGGTTTGCTTTGTATTTTTGTTGTTTTTGCATCTGCTTTTGGTGTCATAGCCAAGAAATTATTGCCAAACCCAATGTTGTGAAGCTTTTGCCCTATGTTTTCTTCTAAGAGTTTTATAGTTTTAGGTCTTACATTTAGGTCTTTCATCTATTTTGAGTTAATTTTTGTACATGGTACTAGATAAAGGTCTAACTTCATTCTTTTGCATGTGGGTCCATTTGTTCAAAAGACTGTCCTGTCCCCATTGAGTGGTCTTGGCACCCTTGCCAAAAATCATTTGACCATATATGAAGGGTTTATTTCTGGGCTCTTTGTTCTATTCCACTGGCCTATATGTCTGTCTTTATTCTAGTACCACACATTTTAGATTACTGTAACTTTGTATTAAGTATCAAAATCAGGAAGTTTGAGTCCTCTAGCTTTGTTCTTTGGCTATTTTGTGGTCCCTTGAGATTCCATATGAATTTTAGGATAGGTTTTTCTATTTCTGCAGAAAACATCTTGGGATTTGGATAGAGATTTCATTGAATCTGTAGATTGCTTTGGGTGGCATTGACAACCTTAACAATGTTGAGTCTTCCAATCTATGAACATAGGATGTGTTTCCATTTATTTATCTTAACTTTAATTTCTTTCAGCAATGTTTTACAGTTTTCACCTCCTTGATTAAGTTCATTCCTAAGTGTTCTTTTTGATACTATTATAAGTGGAATTGTTCTTAATATCCTTTCCAGATTATTCATTGTTAATGTATAATAGAAATGCACCTAATTTTTGTGTGTTGACTTTATACCCTGTTACTTTGTTGAATTCATTTATGAATTCTTTTTTTTTTCTTTTTTTTTTTTTCTTTATTTATTTTTTATTGATCATTCTTGGGTGTTTCTCGCAGAGGGGGATTTGGCAGGGTCATAGGACAATAGTGGAGGGAAGGTCAGCAGATAAACAAGTGAACAAAGGTCTCTGGTTTTCCTAGGCAGAGGACCCCGCGGCCTTCCACAGTGTTTGTGTCCCTGGGTACTTGAGATTAGGGAGTGGTGACGACTCTTAACCAGCATGCTGCCTTCAAGCATCTGTTTAACAAAGCACATCTTGCACCGCCCTTAATCCATTTAACCCTGAGTGGACACAGCACATGTTCAGAGAGCACAGGGTTGGGGGTAAGGTCACAGATCAACAGGATCCCAAGGCAGAAGAATTTTTCTTAGAACAGAACAAAATGAAAAGTCTCCCATGTATACTTCTTTCTACACAGACACGGCAACCATCTGATTTCTCAGTCTTTTCCCCACCTTTCCCCGCTTTCCATTCCACAAAACCGCCATTGTCATCATGGCCAGTTCTCAATGAGCTGTTGGGTACACCTCCCAGACGGGGTGGTGGCCTGGCAGAGGGGCTCCTCACTTCCCAGTAGGGGCGGCTGGGCAGAGGCGCCCCTCACCTCCCGGACGGGGCGGCTGGCCGGGCGGGGGGCTGACCCCCCCAACCTCCCTCCCGGACGGGGTGGCTGCTGGGCGGAGAGGCTCCTCACTTCCCAGACGGGGTGGCTGCCGGGCGGAGGGGCTCCTCACTTCTCAGACGGGGCGGCTGCCGGGCGGAGGGGCTCCTCACTTCTCAGACGGGGTGGTTGCCGGGCGAGGTCTCCTCACTTCTCAGACGGGGCGGCCGGGCAGAGACGCTCCTCACCTCCCAGACGGGGTCGCGGCCGGGCAGAGGCGCTCCTCTCATCCCAGCCGGGGCGGCAGGGCAGAGGCGGTCCCCACATCTCAGACGATGGGCGGCTGGGCAGAGACGCTCCTCACTTCCTAGATGTGATGGCGGCCGGGAAGAGGCGCTCCTCACTTCCTAGATGGGATGGCGGCCGGGCAGAGACGCTCCTCACTTTCCAGACTGGGCAGCCAGGCAGAGGGGCTCCTCACATCCCAGACGATGGGCAGCCAGGCAGAGACGCTCCTCACTTCCCAGACGGGGTGGCGGCCGGGCAGAGGCTGTAATCTCGGCATTTTGGGAGGCCAAGGCAGGCGGCTGGGAGGTGGAGGTTGTAGCGAGCCGAGATCACGCCACTGCACTCCAGCCTGGGCACCATTGAGCCTCATTTATGAATTCTATCAGGATTTCTTTTTTTGGTGGAATTCTTAGCATGTTCACATATGAGATCATATCTGCAAACACAGATAATTTTATCTCTTTCTTTCCATCTTGGATGCCTTTTATTTCTTTTTCTTGCCTGATTGCCCTGGCTAAAACTTCCAGTACTATGTTGAATAGAAGCAGTGAAAGTGGGCATCCTTGCCATGTTCTTGATCTTAGAAGAAAGTCTTTAAGTGTTTCACCATTGAGTATGATATTTGCTGTGGGGTTTTCATATGTGGCTTTTATTATGGTGAGGTATTTTCCTTGTATTTCTAGCTCGTTGAGTGTTTTCATTCTGAAAGGATGTTGAATTCTGTCAGATGCTTTTTCTGCATCAATTGAGATGATCATGTGTTTTTTCGCCCTTCATTCTGTTCATGTGGTGTATTGCATTTACCAGTTTTTATGTGTTCAACCATCCTTGCATTCCAGGAATAAATCCCACCTGGTCATGGTGTATAATCCTTTTAATATGCTGCTGAATTCAATTTCCTAGTTTTTTATTGAGGATTGTTACATCACTGTTCATAAGGGATATGATATTGGTCTGTAGCTTTGGGTTTTTATAGTGTCTTTGGCTTTAGTGTCAGGGAGTGCTGGCCTCATAGAATGAGATGGTAGTGGAGGAGGTATTGGTTAAGAGATTTAGGCTGGGTGCAGTGGCTTGTGCCTGTAATCCTAGTACTTTGGGAGGCTGAGGTGGGAGGATCGCCTGAGCCCAGGAGTTCAAGACCAGTTTAGGCAACATAGTGGAACCCTGTGTCTACAAAAAATAAAAAAATTTAGCTGGGCATTTTGGCATATGCCTATAGTCCCAGCTACTTGGGAGGCTGAGGAGGGAGGATCACTTGAGCCCAGGAGGTCAAGTTTGCAGTGAACTACGATTGCACCATTGCATTCCAGTCTGGGCGACAAAGTGAGATCCTGTCTCAAAAAAAAAAAAAAAAAAAAAAACACCATCAGGTGTGGTGGCTCATGCCTGTAATCCCAGCTCTTTGGGAGACGGAGGTGGGCAGATCACGAGGTCAGTAGTTTGAGACCAGCCTGGCCAACATGGCGAAACCCTGTCTCTACTAAAAATACAAAAATTAGCCAGGTGTGGTGGTGGGCACCTTAACCCCAGCTACTCGGGAGGCTGAGGCAGGATTGTTTGAACCCGGGAGGCAGAGGCTGCAGTGAGCCGAGACCGTGCCACTGCACTCCAGCCTGGGTGACAGAGCAAGACTCCATCTCGAAAAAAAAAAAAAAAAAAAAAAAAAACAGAGATTTAGAATATGTTTAGGTGGAGCAAATATTTCGAAGGTGTTTGTGAATATTAAATGAAATAATGCATGAGGAGACCATAGCACGGCACCTGGTACACAGCAAGTGTTCTCAGCAGAGTGGCTGTTATTATCATTGATGTCATAGCCTTCATTGTTGTGATCCTTATCTGCCAATTATTAGGGCTACTTTAATTTTTTGTATAAGAAACATGTCTAAACCACAATTGGTGAGTTATTTTTTATTAGTGGTTACAGAGAGAACTTAGGGTTATACTTTTACTGAAATCGACTTTATTTTTATTTTTATTTTTTATTTTTGAGACAGCGACTTGCTCTGTCGTCCAGGCTGGAGTGCAGTGATGTGATCTTGGCTCACTGCAACCTCCGCCTCCTGGGTTCAAGTGATTTTCCTACCTCAGCCTCCCGAGTAGCTGGGATTACAGGCGCACACCACCACACCCAGCTAATTTTTTGTATTTTTAGTAGAGATGGGGTTTCATCATGTTGGCCAGGCTGGTCTTGAACACCTGACCTCAAGTGATCTGCCTGCTTTGGCCTTCCAAAGAGCTGGGATTATAGGGGTGAGCCACCCCACCTGGCCTGGAATTGAGTATTATTAACTATATATCTTTTAAAATGTTTGATTATTTTGAATCCTCAATTATCTCTGCTGTGAAACCACTGATTTTGGTATTCATTGGAGATTGACTTATAAGAACAGGAGTCAGCTATATGTTTCAAGCATTTTATTAGGCAAATAAACAGACATTTACTGCACAACAGGACGTGTTATCCCAAGTTTATAGATGATAAAATCAAGGCCTTTGAAACATTCATAGTGCAATACTGTAATGCAATTCTGACACTACCCACCCAGAGTTCCCGCAGACTCCCTAAGTTAAGGGCATAGTACCCAACAAAATTGCCCTTGCTTCAGATGCCAGCAACAAGTTGGAGGCCCTAGGCCACCTGCACTTCTGATAACTGGCTATAAGTTCAGGAGTCCCCACAACTACCTCAGGTTTGATAATTCATTAAAATGACTCAACTCAGGAAAGTGCTCTACTTATCATTACCGTTTTATTATTCAGGGTACAAATCAGGGCCAGCCAAATGAAGGGACCCGTAGGGTGAGGTCTGGGAGGGTCCTGAACACAGAGCATTGTGCCCTGTCTCCATGGGATCAGGGCACATCACCCTCCTGGCACACTGATCTATTCACCAACCAGGAAACTCCACTGAGCTTTGGTATCCAGAGATTTTAGCAGGGCTTCATTATTTAGGTTTGATTGCAGGATTGAATTCAATATCCAGATCCTCTTTCATCCCCAGAGGTCAGGAAGTTGACCCAATATCAGGTGACTCAAAACCCTGTCTCTAATCACATGGTGGAGCCTGGCATCCTAAGTTATTAGCATTAGCTATCTGAGGCCCACCATGAGTCACCTCATTAGTATAAATTGTCAAGGTCCACCGTAAATAACAGAGATATTCCTGTCACTTGGGAAATTACAAGGGTTTTATTCTTCATTATACAACAGAGGGTCATACATCTAATGAGGACTAGAGTCAGGATTTAATCCAGTTCTGTCTGAATTCAAAGCCCCAGCTCTATCCACTATTCCATTTTTACAATTAAGGGCCTTAGATAAGTGGTTTGTTTAAGGTCACACAGCTAGTAACTTAACAATAGAGCCTGGTCCCGGTACAGACTACCAATGTGTGCTCCTTCCATAATGCAGTTACTTCCATGATGCATGTTGGGGTGCATTTGACTTGTTTCTGTAAATTTTGCAATTGTATTATAGAACACAGCGTCCTAGCTAAGGTATATCAGTTGCCAGGGTTTGTCATCATTTAGTTATGTTTTATTCATAGATTTTTGAAAGTCAAGTGAGAAAAATTCAGTCAATACTTCCAACATTTAAGAAAGTGTAAGTCCTTTTTGATTTATTGTTTTATTTCTAAAAGTAATAAATATCAATAGAAGGAAATTAATCCATTACTGTTTTGAGGCTGCATGGTGCTATTTTTCTGACATTTGGCTTAATTTGGATACCTCTTTCTGCTTCCAGGTACCATTCATTGTATTTTCCATGCAACTGGGCACCACTACACTTGGAAGAAAGTTACCACAACTGTACACAACATTATTGTGGGCAAGTTGTGGATAGATCAGGTGAGGAAAGGTACCCAAAGTGTGTGTGAAGTTTAAAAGAATACTTCTTTAGGTATATTTCTGCAGTATTTAGGACATGTGAACTGGTCTCAGAATGTTGCTACTGATTCATCAGTTTCTCCTAAGGAATTTCTCTCAGGCAGTAGCCCTACCTCTAACTCTCTAAGTTTTCTGTACCACAAATTATTGTTTATAAATGACCAAATTATAACATTCATCAATGACTATTCTGCTAGGACTGTGTTGGGTGCTACGACAGGTAGAAAAAACAAACGTGGCCCCAACTCTTAATCCTTTCATTATTCATCAAATATTTATTGCCAGGCAGTATGCTAGGTCCTGGGGATACAAAGTCTGATGAGATGTCCCTCAATAATTTATTATATCATTGGAGATACATGACCAATGTGTAGGTTGGAAAATGTGCAGCAACATACACTAATATAAAAGATGCCCTATGATAGTATCTAATTAATTGTCAGTTTTCTCTTAAGACAATGGTTGCAGCAAATTTAGAAAAGAGGGTATACTGTCTTCTGAGCAGTCAGGAAAGGCCTCACAGTAGATGTGGGAGTTAAGCTGAATCTTAAAGTGTGGTTTGGGATTTAGAAGATAGAAAGGAAGGGAAAATGGGCTGGGCATGTTGGCTCATGCCTATAATCCCAACACCTTGGGAGGCCAAGGCGGGAGGATCACTTGAGCACAGGAGTTTGAGACTAGCCTGGGCAATATAGTGAGACCTTGTCTCTACAAAAAATTTAAAAAAAAAAGAAAGGAGGGAAAATGAAATGAATCAAGTATAGAAAGGCCGACCATATGTAATTTGCAATTGTGAGTAGAGTATTTTGATTTAAGCAGAAGAGTTCATGAAGGGTACTAGTGAGGGATTGGTTTGGAAAGGTAAATTATCATGTGTACTTCAGTATATGTGCTGAAGGTCAAATCATGCCATCTAACATGTGAGATACAATTCAAAACAAGTGGACACTTGGTCTTGATCTCAACCTGGAAAACCAAGGTTACATAGGGATTCTATAGCATTCCCAAGGCTAGCTAAGATCTGAATCTTAAACAAGGGATTACTAGAATGTAAGATTGAAAAGTAAAGAATTATGAACCATGGGTTTGGCAGACATTGAATTTATCCAGTCTTAATAAAACTGAATTTTTTCATTTTACAGTCTGGCGAAATTGATATTGTGAATCACAAGACAGGAGACAAGTGTAATCTTAAATTTGTTCCTTATAGCTACTTCTCTCGGGATGTAGCAAGAAAGGTAAGGGAAGTTGAAATTTAAATTGTTTCACGTAGCATGTATCTCTTAGAAAGCATACTCCTTTAGGACTGGAATGTATATACATGTGGGGTGGTATGGGGGTGTGTACATTTTATATAGTGTATGTGTACATATAGTGATTCAAAAAAAGTAGAGGTGAAAGGCTGGGCGCGGTGGCTCACAGCTGTAATCCCAGCACTTTGGGAGGCTGAGGCAGATGGATCGCCTGAGGTCAGGAGTTCGAGCCCAGCCTGGCCAACATGATGAAACCCTGTCTCTACTAAAAATGCAAAAATTAGCTGGGTGTGGTGGCGCGTGCCTGTAATCCCAGCTACTCGGGTGAGGCAGGAGAATCGCTTGAACCTGGGAGGCAGAGGCTGCAGTGAGTCTCGCACCATTGCACCCCAGCCTGGGCAACAGAGCGAGACTCCGTCTCAAAAAAAAAAAAGTAGAGGTGAAGGAGAAAGTCATCAAGAAAGACTATATTGTATTACTACTAAGCCAATTCCTTCTCTTTTCTGGGAATGACAATAAGTGAGGAAGTGAAAGTGTCGAGAGCAATGAGAGATTGACAATGGGAAACACGGTGGAGGCGGGCGGATCACCTGAGGTCGGGAGTTCGAGACCAGCCTGACCAACATGGAGAAACCCTGTCTCCACGAAAAATACAAAATTAGCCGGGCATGGTGGCATATGCCTGAAATCCCAGCTACTCGGGAGGCTGAGGCAGGAGAATTGCTTGAACCAGGGAGGCAGAGTTTGCAGTGAGCCGAGATCACGCCATTGCACTCCAGCCTGGGCAGCAAGAGAGAAACGCCGTCTCAAAAAAAAAAAAAAAGAAAGAAAGAAAGTAAATGGGAAAACACAGAGGAAGGACTAATAAAAGATTTCAGGAAAAAGGGGTTTGATCACTGAGAAGTTTGAGGGGGAGTTGTGTGATACCACCATAATGATTTGTGTCATGAGTTTCTGTGGGAGACTGAAGAATAGCTGGGGATTTAAATCTGTTTATAGGTCCCTGTGAATTTCTTGAGAGAAGAAAATATAATTCTGAGTACCAGTCAGATGCTTTTGCTACGTGTATCTTTGATACAAAAATCCCTGGGAAGGGTAGTGAGGGGAGGGGACAGAGAGCAAGAAGTGGGGATAAAGAATAAAGTCTAGTATTTGCTGGCACAACAGGGTGACTACAGTCAAAAATAATTTAATTGTACATTTTAAAATAACTAAAAGAGTATAATTGAATTGTTTGCAACACAAAGGATAAATGCAAATTATATACACCTACTATGAACTCACAAAAATAAAAACTAAAAATAAAGTTTACCAAAAATCCCCATATAACAAAAAATGATAATGAAATCCCCAAGTCATGGCTCAGTTATTTCAAGTAGCAGAAAAAAATACAACAAAATAATTTGAGGCCAGGCATGGTGGCTCATGCCTATAATCCTAACACTTTGGGAGGTGGAGATAAGAGGATTGCTTGAGCCAAGGAGTTCAAGACCTGCCTGGGCAACATAGCAAGACCCCTTCTCTACAAAAAAAATTAAAGACTTAGCCAGATATGGTGGCACATGCCTGTAGTTCTAGCTACTCAAGTAGCTGAGGTGAGACATCACTTGAGCCCTAGAGTTGGAGGCCACAGTGAGCTACGATTGCATCAGTGTACTCCAGCCTGGGCAACAGAGCAAGATCCCATCTCTAATAATAATTTGGATGACTCTCTGGTGTTTGTTATAACAGGACCTAACCATTATTTATCCTAGGACTTCCAGTATAGTCAGGTAAGCTAATTCACAGTGAATTCTATATAGCCAAGCCCTGTTCTCCACCCTTGCAGGTGACGGGGGAAGTGACAGATCCATCAGGAAAAGTCCACTTTGCTCTTCTGGGGACGTGGGATGAGAAAATGGAATGTTTCAAAGTACAGCCAGTCATTGGGGAAAATGGGGGTGATGCTCGACAGAGAGGCCATGAAGCAGAGGAAAGCAGGGTCATGCTGTGGAAAAGGAATCCTTTACCGTGAGTATCAGCATGCATGCTGCCCAGATACCACTTTGACCTTGACTGTGGAGCAATATTGAAGGCATTTCTGCCTGCCCTCTCACTTAATTATGTGGGGAATTGAGCAAGGGAAATTGAGACTTTTGGAGAGATTAACAGAAGGTTGTCATTGTATGATTTGACTTGTAGCATGCTTATTTCAAGGAAGTTCAAACCAAACTACATCTGACAAAAAATACTTTGTGCTTTCTAAAGGTCCTTTGGATTGTGATTCAGAAGGGTATTTTTCTACTATTTAGAGCAAAACTGTTCAAAAGTGGCTAGAGGAGGAAGGTGCCTACCACCTGTTAACAATTTAGCCTAAAGGCCCATCAGCAGCCAGGTGCGGTGGCTCACGCCTGCAATCCCAGCACTTTGGGAGGCCAGGGCAGGTGGATCACTTGTGATTAGGAGTTCAAGACCAGCCTGGCCAACATGGCGAAACCGTCTCTACTAAAAATACAAAAATTAGCCACATATGGTGGTGTGCACCCATAATCCCAGCTACTTGGGAGGCTGAGGCATGAGGATGACTTGAGCCCAGAAGTTTGAGGTTGCAGTGAGCTGAGGTCATGCCACTGCACTCCAGCCTAGGCGACAGAGTGAGACTGTCTAAATAAATAAATAAATAAGAAAAAGAAAAAAAAGCCCAGCAGAAAAGAAAGATCCCTGAGACAATGTACAGGACTTTGGAAACAAGATGGAGGTCACTTATTTCCTGTCGTCATCTAATACAGTCAGTTTGTAGTGATAGCCAAGATTATCCCAGAGAGAGTTAAAAAGAAAACTAAGGAAACAGGAGTGAGGAATTTTCATTCAGTAGAATGTTTCCTTCTTTCTAATGAACGTAGATAATTTCAGCTGGGCACCACACAACACCAGAAGACTATGGAACTGAGTGATGCCAGGGAGCGGATGGGGAGGGATCCAATTTGTCTCCTTTAGTTAGGGCAATGTGACATGGTCCTAGATCCTTTTCACAGATCCTGTTTTTGTAGAACAGCCTTGGTGATGTGGCCTTGGCAGTGTACTTAGTTGTTGCTCTTTAAATAGGGTCTGGGCTCTGGGATTACCATTTCTTTTTCTTGTCTTCTACTTTTAGGAAGAATGCAGAAAACATGTACTACTTCTCAGAGCTTGCTCTGACTCTCAATGCTTGGGAAAGTGGCACTGCCCCCACAGACAGCCGGTTACGACCTGACCAGAGACTGATGGAAAATGGACGCTGGGATGAAGCAAATGCGGAGAAGCAGCGCCTGGAGGAAAAACAAAGACTTTCCAGAAAGAAGAGAGAAGCGGAAGCTATGAAAGCCACAGAGGATGGTAATGAACTTCCCTTCTACTCTTCTTTCTTGATGCATGGAGAATGCCAGCACTAATTTTTTTCTTTCCTCTCTTTTCCTTTTAGGCACACCATATGATCCCTATAAGGCACTGTGGTTTGAGCGGAAGAAGGACCCTGTTACCAAGGAGTTAACCCATATTTATAGGGGAGAATACTGGGAGTGTAAAGAAAAACAGGACTGGAGCTCATGCCCGGACATTTTCTGAAACGGCAGTAACAAAAAAGAGGAGCATATAATGGAGAAGAGGACAGAGGATGTGTGGGAAAGCTGGAAGTTGTGACTCTCTTACCAAGTGCTTTCCTCAAGTTTGTCTCTCTTGACCAATCATTTTTTCCAAATCAATCACCAGAAGGAGACACCAGTGGTGGTGATTGGCTGGTTGCCTTAGCTGATTGAAACTGAAATCGACATAGGAGATACTATGTCTGTAAGGGAGAGGTTTAGTGGCCGAAGGTTAGTGTTATTCCACATCCACGAAGTCAAGTATTCTTGGCTCTTCTTTCTCCCTCTGCCCCCATTTAAGACAATGTCACTCACCCTCCCCTTGTAGTATCCTGCTCAGCCAAGATCTGCCTAAGATTATGATTCAGGGGCATTTTGGTGCTGTTAAAAGCAAGAGCCGAATTTAGAAGTTCCCTTAAAAAGAAACACATAAGACTTACCAATGGAGGCATTGTGAATGGTTGCAGTGGAGCTTAGGTATAACATCATCAAGTGTGTTCACACGCGGGGTCGGTTTAATGGAGTGTCCACGCGGAGATAACTGCGATATTGGAACACCTGTGAGAGAGATTGTTCTATAGGGCTGGAATATTCAGAGTTACATTCTTGGAAGTTTCTGTTTTTACTTGCATCAAACACCCCTCTGTTGTTCTCCATCATCTTTAATAGCAACTGGAGACCACTTTGGTCATTGGTAAGGGGGTGCATTCTCCTCACAAAGGGGTTTTATGGACTTCCTCAGGCGGAGAGCTTCTGAGAACACAGGCAGGATGGAAAAAGACTACTAGCCACTTTTGCTTTCCCAACCCCCCTTAATGCCATCCTTCATTGTCTTTCTGGCTTCTCTTCTTCTGGCACAGTACCATTTTGGGTCTGTGCCCCAGTGTGGAGCAAAACATTGCCTGTCCCATTCTGATATACTTCAGAATTTGAGAGCAGAAGTTAATGTGGAACAAAAGTTTTCACCATCTCTCAAGCCCCAAGGACTGGAGCCACCTCTGGAATAATGTGTTAAATATCTGTATATTATATATATGTAGAGAAAAATCTAATTTTTTGGTTTGATTTCCTTCCCATTAAGAATCTTGTTTTTTGATACCCTTGTCTCCCTGAGACTCTTTCTTGGACACGTGTTGATGTGGATGGCACTCCTGCTCTCCATCTTTTATGGGCAGAGAGATTTCAAAACCTGAGCAGGATCATGTCTGGCAGTTACTAAACAGGGACTTTGTCCATGGTTTGTATCATGGGGTGCCTACTGCTGTCTAAACTCTGCTCTCCTAATTAGCTGACTCTTGAAAATGAAATCCTAACCTCTTTCCTGCCTCTTTTCTTTCTCTTTTCAGGAAGAGTGTGGGTAGAAAGTCCGGAGGGCAACTTCCAATTTAATTCTGCTCTGTCCGGCGCATAGGCTGAATTCCAAAAGAACTTTCTTCCTAGGATGTGGGGCTTAAAGCACCGTCATGTGGGGTGGATCAGATAATTGCTCCTGTGGGGCCCTGGCTTCCTTCTCTGTTTGTGCAGTATTTGTTTTTGTTGTCTTGTTGAGAAATATCCCCTGTGCAACCCACCCTTGGTTGAGGATCACAAATTGAGGTGCCTTCCTTGTATGCTTTTTGTTAGTATTTTTTGTTTTTGTTCCTTAACTGCTGAGCCTCAGCCAGCGTGGGTCCTGGGGGAAATACCATTCCAAAGGAAGCCATCCCTATGGGGAAATTGGTTTTACTGGGTAAATTAATACTTTTATTTCTTCCCCTATCCCTTCCTTCCTAGTTGTGATAAACATGGGAGAGGAGTGACTTTGACTGCTGGGGAATTTCCTCCTAAGAACCTTATTCCCAAAATAAGCCAGGGATTATGTCAAGGCTTCTTTCAAGGAGGCTCATAAAAGCAGTGACCTCATCCGGGGCTTTGGATAGAGTGAGAATTCCCCAACTAAATTGGACTTCTCTGCTTTATCCCCTTCTCTTCCTTCACCATCTGCACTACATTTCTGGCTGATCCCAATCAGATTCCCGCTAATGGAAGAAGTTTAGAATCTTTCAGGTGGAATAAAGTCACATGAAAACAAAACACAACTATATATATTTTCAGTTTTTTTGCCTTATTGATTTTTTTCCAAAAAAAAAAAACTACTAAATTAAATAATTTTTTAAAAGTCATATTGTTTGTCTGATTCACTTCTGCTGCTAGGCAGTAAGTGGTGTTGGGGAGGTGAAGGAGAACTGGTCCAATGGTAATTTGTTCTGCTCAAGAATCTGAGCGCCCAGAAGCCCTGGTCTTCATGAGAAATGGAAAGTAAAGCTGTTCACCACCACTCCGGAGGGCCATGAGCAGAGGAGTAGTTTTAACAGCCCCTGCTGCTTAAATTAACAGTCATCAACATCCCACCTTAGTACAGGGGAATCGTTTTTAGTGTTTTTGGTACTGGGCCTGCTTCACTTCAAAAATTTTCCCTGTAAATTTAATTTATCTTGTCCATTTAGATTCTCAGATTGTTGGCTGTTTATGTAGGAATTCAAATTCTGTTTTTTGTTTGAGACAGGGTCTCACTCTGTCACCCAGGCTGGAGGGCAGTGGCATGACAGCTCACCGTAACATCCACCTCCTAGGCTCAAGCGATTCTTGCCACCTCAGCTCCCCAAGTAGCTGGGACCACAGGTGCATGCCACCAGAACCAGCTAATTTTTGAATTTTTAGTAGAGACAGGGTTTTGCCATGTTGCCCAGGCTGGTCTTGAATTCCTGGGTTCAAGCAATCCACCAGCCTCTGCCCCCCAAAGTGCTGGGATTACAGACAGGTGTGAGCCACTGCACTTGGCCTCAAGTTCTGTTTTTGAAACAAGCAATTGAGTTTTGATTTGAAGACCTTTGAGAAAACTAATGACAGTGAACATGTTTGTACAAGTTTTCACTGGAAAGTTCAGGTTCAGGGAGGGGATAGGCAAAGTAACCTATGGTCCTGGCGGGGGCTCAGATCAGAGCAAGCACAATTCCTGCCCGTGGGAGGGACCTCACATTTGCTGAGCATCTGCCTCCATGGAATAGGATCTGCCTCCATGCTGAAATAGGAACTCTGACCATTCTCTGGCTTGCACATAAACGATTTTAAGAAGAAAATGTTGCAATCATTTTGAAGATGAAGGAAACCTAATTTAAATAAATTCACTCATGGTCATGTAGCTGGTCAGTTAGTCACAGTGTTGGAATTCAAAGCTGGGTTGAGTTTGTGACCTCTACAGTCCTGTGCTCTGGAAGAAACTCTGGGTTGGAAGGCAGCTGATAATTAAGTACTTTCCTCCTAGATTATATCACATCATGCATAAATGCACATTTTCATTTCCGGAAGCTAATATCGATAGCACCATTTCTTTTTTTTCTTTTTTTTTTTTTGAGATGGAGTCTCTCTCTGTCACCCAGGCTGGAGTGCAGTGTCGCGATCTCAGCTCACTGCAACCTCCGCCTCCCGGGTTCAAGCAGTTCTCCTGCCTCAGCCTCCCAAGTAGCTGGGATTACAGGCACGTGCCACCACGCCCAGCTAATTTTTTGTATTTTTAGTAGAGATGGCGTTTCACCTGTTGGCCAGGCTGGTCTCGAACTCCTGACCTTGTGATTCACCCACTTCAGCCTCCCAAAGTGCTGGGATTGCAGGCGTGAGCCACTGCACCTGGCAGCACCATTTCTTTTAAGGCTGTACGTGAGAAAGGAGCATCCCCTGAAATTCAGCCTACAGGTTCCTTGATTGATCAAGGCCCTCATGTCTACAAAGTTGGCTCTGATGTCAGGGATGATTTTCTAGCCTGGTTCTTAGGAAGGCCACCTAAGTGTTCAAGTCATTTGCCTGACTCCCATTGGCTGGATTTGATATTAAGTTTCAGCAAAGGTTTTTTTCCGGCAAGCTAAGGAACCACTGCAGTAGACCCCTGACATTTGTGAGAGCTGTATCCTGCAATCTTGAATACTACCATGGCACACAATGTCCTGCATTAGGGACAATCAAGTGTAGCTGAAACATTTAACGATCCCTCATTGAATCCTTTATTATTTTTATTTTTATTTTTTAAGATGGAGGTCTCACTATATTGCCCAGGCTGTTCTTGAACTCCTGGGCTCAAGCGATCCTCCCACCTCGGCCTCTTGAAGTGCTGGGGTTACAGGTGTGAGCCTCTGTGTCCGACCCCTCATTGCGTCCTTTAATGTGACATGATGGGCTAGGATGTGGATCTTGAGGGGTCTACCATGCTCAGTCATGATTCAAAATTATGACTCAGCAAAATGATAAATTATTAAATTTGTCGGGGACCTCTGAATTTGCACAAAAATGTTAAACCTATACATTTAAGGGTCTGCTGTACTTTCAGCAAGATAATTGAGAACCACCCTACAGTATTGTCCTAAAAGGAGGTATGGAAAATCTTTGCAATTCATTCACTATAGTTGTATATTTTGTGCAACTCTAAGATTGTTACCAAAATTTATAACTTGCTTCTAAAAGTTTATAAAACTTATGGCCAGGCAGGGTGGCTCATAATCCCAGCATTTTGGGAGGTCGAGGTGGGAGGATCACTTGAGATCAGGAATTCCAGACCAGCCTGGACAACATGGTGAAACCCCATCTCTACTAAAAATACAAAAATTAGCTGGGCATGGTGGCAGGTGCCTGTAATCCCAGCTACTTGGGAGGCTGAGGTGGGAGAATCACTTGAACCTGTGAGGTGGAGGTTGCAGTGAGCCGAGATTGCGCCATTGCACTCCAGCCTGGGCAACAGAGTGAAAAAAAAAAAAACTTTTGCCAAGTACTCTACAGTACCCAGTGGGAAGCATCCCAAGCCTTTCATGGCGCTCCCTTCCAAAGCTCATAATTTGTGGTTAAACTCTCCTCATAATTTTTGGCTAAACTCTCCTGCTCACATTGATCCCTCAGGGGAAGGAGACAGGGTAGACAGATGAGGCTTCTTTAAAGGCAAAAAGCTGAAGGTCTCGGATCTTCTACAAAGAGTATTGCAGAGGTCACATCTTCTAAGTTTGACCAGGTGACATTAGAGGTTGCTAAAGAAAGAGTTGGTCCTGAGATACGGCTAGATATTTTTAAATTAATTATTAATTCCACATTTACTCTAGCCTGTTACGTGACATACATTGGGGATGCAAATAGCAAGAAAGAGCGTAAACAGGCAATTGCAATCCAGTTTTATAAGTGGTGTAAAAGCACAGCAGGGACAACTATTCTGTAGTGAATTAGGAGGGAGGGGATAGAGACATGTCTGAGAAGACTTCTAGGAGAATGCATGTGAGCTGAGAGTTGCAGGTTACATAGGGGTTAGGAGAAGGGCAATGTCAAAAATGCTGCATGGAGGAAGATGAAATGCAGGGCCAAAGCATTCTGAGTTCAGATGACTGCATGAATAGCTTGTGTTTAGTGTCAAAGAGAGAGCCCTGAGATATGCTGCTGGAGAAAGTTTAGCCCCAAGTTATGGAAGGCTTTTTACATACCCTATGGAGAAGCCATGTAGCTCCTGCCTGCAATTCTAACATTTTGAGAGGCCAAGGCAGGAGGATCCCTTGAGCCCAGGAGTTTGAGATCAGCCTGGGTAACATAGTGAGACCCTGGTCTCTGTTTATATTTAAAGGGGAAGAAAAGCCTGGGTTTTTTTTCTTTGCTTTTTTTTTTTTTTTTTTGAGATGGAGTCTGGCTCTGTCACCCAGGCTTCCAGGCTGGAGTGCAGTGGCGTGATCTAGGCTTGCTGCAACCTGCCCCTTCCAGGTTCAAGCAATTCTCCTGCCTCAGTCTCCCAAGTAGCTGGGATTACAGGCACGTGCCACCATGCCTGGCTAATTTTTTGTATTTTTAGTAAAAACAGGGTTTCACCATGTTAGCCAGGCTGGTCTCGAACTCCTGACCTCAGGTGATCTGCCTGCCTCAGCCTCCTGAAGTGCTGGGAATATAGGCCTGAGCCACCCCATTCGGCCCAAGAGCCTGGATTTTTGTTTTTAACTAGAGAGCTAGTGAAACATTCTTAAGCAGGGTGGAAAATGATTGGAGAGGGGCCGGGTGCGGTGGCTCACGCCTGTAATCCCAGCACTTTGGAAGGCCAAGGCGGGCAGATCACCTGAAGTCAGGAGTTCCAGACCAGCCTGGCCAACGTGGCAAAACCCCATCTCTACTAAAAATACAAAAAAATTAGCCAGGCATGGTGGCGGGTGCCTGTATTCCCAGATACTCGGGAGGCTGGGGCAAGAGAATTGCCTGAACCCGGGAGGCAGATGTTGCAGTGAGCCGAGATCGTGCCACTGCACTCCAGCCTGGGCTACAGAGCTCCCTCTCAAAAAAAAGAAAAAAAAGAAAAAAAAAAAAAAAAGGAGGTTGGAGAGGATACGAAGATGAGAAATGGAGGGCTTCCAGAAAGGATGAAGTAGAATGAAAGCATTTCATGGCTTTCCCATAAAATGGAGGGCAGAGGGAAGAAGGAATTCTTATTTTTCTGACTTAGGAAACCTAGATGGAAGATGGTAGTAAGATAAGCAAGTTTAGAAGGAAAGTTAGGTTCATTTTTAATTTTTTTAGAGATAGGGTCTCACTGGGTTGCCTAGGTTGAAGTGTAGTGGCATGATCATAGCTCACTGCAGCCTCCAACTCCTGGGCTTAAGCAGTCCTCCTGCCTCAGCCTCTCTAGTAGCTGGAACTACAGGTGTGCGCCACTACGCCCAGCTTATTTTTTTATTTTTTGTAGAAACGGGGTCTCACCATGTTGCCCAGGACGGTCTCAAGCTCCTGGCCTCATGCAATTCTCCCACCTCGGCCTTCCAAAGTGCTGGGATTACAGGTGTGAGCCACTGCACCCAACAGGTTCATTTTTAGACATGCTTTGTAAGATGTGCCTGTTCAGAAGTCGAGTAAGCAATTTTAGAAAATGGGTCTTAACATATCATAGTGGCATTTTTGTGAGAACCGAGGAATGAGAGACTGAGAGAGCCTGCACATAAAATCAGCTGGCCAACTTAAAACACATATAATACCTTGACCCCATCTGCAGAGATTCTATTCAATTAGGGGCTAGGGCAATTTTAGACACACACACACACACACACACACACACACACACACACACACACACACATAATTGCCTTAGCCCTAATTGAATCAGAATCTCTGCAGATGGGGTCCAGGTATTTTACATATATATGTGTGTACGTATGTGTGTGTGTGTGTATATTTTTTTATACATATACACATATGTATATATAAATTATATATATGTATGTATGTGTGCATGTGTGTATCACACTGGAACCAGGTGCAGGGGCTCATGCCTGTAATCCCAGCACTTTGGGAGGCCAAGGAGGGTGGATCACCTGAGGTCAGGAGTTTGAGACCAGCCTGGCCAGTGTGGCAAAACCCCATCTCTACTCAAAATACAAAAATTAGCCAGGGCCAGGGGCGGTGGCTCATGCCTGTAATCCTAGCACATTGGGAGGCCGAGGCGGGTGGATCACGAGGTCAGGAGTTCGAAACCAGCCTGGCCAATATGGTGAAATCCCGTCTCTACTAAAAATACAAAAATTAGCTGGGCGTGGTAGCACACACCTATAGTCCCAGCTGCTCGGGAGGCTGAGACAGAAGAATCGCTTGAACCCAGGAGGCAGAGGTTGCAGTGAGCTGAGATCCTGCCACTTCACTCCAGCCTGGGTGGCAGAGCGAGACTCCGTCTCAATAAATAAATAAATAAATAAATAAATAAATAAATAAATAAATAAATAAATGAATAAGCAAGCCGGGCGTGGTGGTGGGCGCCTGTAGTCCCAGCTACTCGGGAGTCTGAGGCAGGAGAATCGCTTGAATCCGGGAGGCAGAGGTTGCAGTGAGCCGAGATCGTGCCACTGCACTCCAGCCTGGGCAGCAAAGCAAGACTCTGTCTCAAAAAGAAAAAAGAAAAAAGAAAAAAGAAAAGAAACCGACTTAAGCATAGACAAGTAAATGACTCAAGAACATAGGCAAGTAAGTGACCGGAAAAGGACTTAAATCCACTCTTTGTCATTAATATACCTAGCCTATGGTAAGTCTATACTACGGTATTAATTTTCCATAGCTGCATAACTAATTACTATAAACAGTAGCTTAAAACAACACCTGTTCTATCCATTCACGGTTTATCCGTTCATCTGTAGATGAGAAGTCCCACATGATGTGACTGGGTTCTCTACTCAGGGTGTCACAAGACTGAAATCAAGGAGTTGACCAGCTTGAGTTCTCATCTGGAGGCACTGAGGGGAAAGCTGCTTCCAAACTCATTCTTGTTCTTGGCCAACTTAGGTTTCCTGCAGTTGCAGAACTGAAGACCAATTTCCTTGCTGGCTGTCAGCTGAGAACCACCCTCAACTTCTAGAGACTGCCCGTATATTTTTGCCACATGGTCCCCTCCATCTTCAAGTCTTGTGTTTTGAGTCTCTGACTCCTTTCTGCAACCAGCTAGAAAAAACCCTCTGCTTTTAAAGGGCTCAAGTGATTGGTCAGGCTCACCCAGATAATCACATATTTTAGAGTAACCTGTACTATATAATATCACCTAATAACAGGTTATAAATTAATATGATGAATTTCATAGTCCCAGGGATTATGCAGGGTTTTGTGGGGCTGGGAGGGTGTTTTGTGGGTCATTTTAGAATTTTTCGTACTTCAACTACCAAGGGAAACCAAAAGGGTGAAATTTAAGCTAAACAAATGATAGGCTCTTGAGTCTGAAAAAACTGTAAAGTCACCTAGTTTAGGCGTGACAGCCACAAACATCTCATTTCAGATGTACTCTTAATCTTTCTTGAGAATGACAGTCTATACTCATCCTCCATTTTAAGCCTATTGTTTATAAATTCTAAACTAAGGTCATGGCGCTTTTATTTCAAATTGTAATGAGTCCATGCTGGCTCCTTATTTATGAAGCAAGTGAATACAAAGCATTGAATTATTCTAACAGCCTTATGGAGTTTATATAAAACTTTTTTTTTTTTGAGACGGAGTTTTGCTGTTGTTGCTCAGGCTGGAGTGCAATGGCGCAATCTCGGCCCACTGCAACCTCCACCTCCCTGGTTCAAGGGAGTCTCCTGCTTCAGCCTCCCGAGCAGCTGGAATTACAGGCGTGCACCACCACGCCCGGCTAATTTTGTATTTTTAGTAGAGACGGGGTTTCTCCATGTTGGTCAGGCTGGTCTTGAACTCCCGACCTCAGGTGATCCGCCTGCCTTGGCCTCCCAGAGACACCGCATCTGGCTAAAACATTTTTCAGTGAATAAATGCAAGAGATGAAAATTATGAAATGGGAGGTGGAGGAGGAATAAAATCAGCATATTAGAGATATTATTAAACCACAACTTGCTTCTTAGAGTTTGAGGGAAGCCTGACTTAATTCTTTTTTTTGACTATATATATTTAAAAATGAAAAATGCCAAGATGGTATTCCAAAAATTGAGGTATATTTTTAATGCTAGGTTTAGCAAATCAATGCTTTTAACAAATACTGTACAGTGACTCTATGTTTACCTCATGTGGAGGTAGCATTGAAAGTCTACATTTGAAGCCTTTACAAATGGCCTTCCTTACCTCTTCTATATATCCTGGATTTCAATCTGAAGATATCTGTAAAAATCACAATGTTTATATATATCTACCTTGCAAAATCTGCCTTTGCACAAGAAAAACAAGTATATTTTAAAAATTTATGGCAGTATTGTTTTTAATAATGAGATATAGAAAAAGGTAAAAAAGCTGATAGTTGTCAGTTTGATTACATAGATTATGTTATAACCATACAATCCAATACTGGCGAACGTGGATTAAAAAGTATGATAGGTCTACATAACTGCCATGAAAAAAGTCCATAATATGTTTTTAAATGAAAAAAGCAAATTGCAGGGAACTTAAAACAACAACAACAACAAAAAACCCTGAGAAAAGTGATTTATCACTTCAGTTTGTAAACAAGGGCCTTGCCTTATCACCTTTGTAACATTTGTAAAATGCCTACCTCTAGCTGAATCCATATGATCTTTGTTACCACGGAACAAATACTATTTTATTATAATTATGTAGAAAAAAAGAAAAACGTCTTCCACGGCAGCCGAAATAGCTCAGTTGGGAGAGCGTTAGACTGAAGATCTAAAGGTCCCTGGTTCAATCCCGGGTTTCGGCAGCGCTTCCGTTTTAGGCGTTAGTCATCACTACATGTGATTTCTGCAGTTAACAGGGTCTTTCTGCAGTTAACAGGGTCAACACCCTGTGGGTTCTCACGCGGGCTGGGGCAGTTAAGGGAAACCTTATCGTCATTTTCCCCTGGGAGGGAGGATACTGGGGACATATGTCTTACCTTTTAAACTGCCCAGTACGAAGTTACGCCTCTGCCCTCACTTGGGACCTGGTTTGAGACAAGCTCTTCCGGAGCACTGCGCATAGCTCACTTTCTTGAGCAACCCTGTGTCCCCGCACCCCGCTCCTCTTCTTTCGGGTTCTAGGCAGCCGTGGGCGCTGCGACCCTTCTCTCACTGTCAGAGGGGCGGGAGCTCTCGGCCTGCGCCGCCTCCGCTGCCTGCTTGGTCGCGGGCTTGCCGGGAATGGTGACAGCCCGGGCCCCCTCTTGGCCAAAGAAGTCCTCGAAAGCGTTCGGCGCACGGGCTTTGTCCAGCTTTTTAAACCGTAACAAGGACCGGGGCCGGGCGCGGTGGCTCACGCCTGTAATCCCAGCATTTTGGGAAGTCGAGGCGGACGGATTACTTGAGGTCATGAGTTCGAGACCAGCCTGGCCAACACGGTGAAACTCTGTCTTTAAAAAAGAAAACAAAAACAATAACAAGGACCCTAGAACAGCTCTTAGGTGGGGCGGGAGACAGAGATCGGAAGCCCTTTCTAGTTTAAATCTACACTAGGGTTAGAAGACCAAATACAGGACGTCCAATTAATTTCCTTTTTTTTCTTTTTCCTTTTCTTTTCTTTTTTCTTTTTTTAAGATGGAGTCTTGCTCCCATGCTGGAGTGCAGTGGCGTGATCTCGGCTGACTGTAACCTCCGCCTCCCGGGTTCAAGTGATTCTCCTGCCTCAGCCTCCGGAGTAGCTGGGATTACAGGTGCCCGGCTAATTTTTGTATTTTTAGTAGAGACAGGGTTTCACCATGTTGGCCAGGCTGGTCCCGAACTCCTGACCTCAGGTCATCCTCCTGCCTCAGCCTCCCAAAGTGTTGGGATTACAGGCACGAGCCACTGAACCCGGCCAAAATTTGAATTTCAGAGAAACAACAAATACTTTTTAGTATAAACATGTCCCAAATATTGCATGGAATATACAAAGTACATATTTGTTGTTTCTGTGAAATTGGATTTAACTGGACACCCTGTATTTTTATTTTCCAAATTGCAAGTCACTTGTACATCATATCCTTGCACCCCTCTGAACCCTATGCACCACCTTCCCCACCCCAGCAAAGATATCCAGACGCTGTATGCAGGAAGAACTGAATTTCAGAGGACACCGTTTGATCTTCAACACCTGGCAGTTTACAAAACAGGTTTGTATCCATTGGCTAATTTGTTATCAGCACCAACAGAGAAGCTCCTGGCAGAGATCACTAGGAAACACCCCGGGAATCGGCCATCCACCAGTTTCTAGGCTTCCAGAGTTGTCCATGCTTGTCTGGCATGGGGGCGGAGGTCAGTGGAACTCGGAGGATATGGATTGAATTTCAGTAGAAAGCCTCATTAAGATGATGAACCACAGCCGGGCATAGTGGCTCACGCCTGTAATCCCAGCACTTTGGGAGGCTGAGGCGGGCGGATCACCTGAGGTTGGGAGTTCAAGACCAGCCTGACCAAAATGGAGAAATCCCGTCTCTACTAAAAATACAAAATTAACCGTGCGTGGTGGCGCACGCCTGTCATCCCAGCTACTCGGGAGGCTGAGGCAGGAGAATCGCTTGAACCCAGGAGGCAGAGGTTGCCGTGAGCGGAGATTACACCATTGCACTGCAGCCAGGACAACAAGAGCGAAATTCCGTCTCAAAAAAAAAAAAAAAAAAAAAAAAAAAAAAAGATGAGCCACTCCACTCAAGGCAAGGCAATGGAAAAACACACTTAGGGAGTGCCTTCTTTTTAGTCAGGCTGGACCATGGAGGGAGAGGAAGGAGATCCATGTGTCACATTCTAAGAACTCGCAGTGTGGTAAAAGGCAAAATGAAGCCAGCCATATGGTTTTTAGGCCTATTTATACCCCTCTCCTCTTTCTGTTAATGTTTGCCAATATGCTAGCTGATATGGGGCTTCAGCCCCAAAATCGTTGAGTTCTTGGGTGGAAAGATGTATTTTGATGAGGGGCTCTTGAAAGTCCAATGGTGATCAATAAGAAGAAACCCCAACTGATCATCTAATAGACTAGAGAATTAAACTTTTCATGAGGTTTGGTCGAACGCCATTCTAGATGTTACTAGGAAGGTGTTTTTGGTTTGTTTCTTTTGAGACAGGGTCTTGTTCTGTTGCCCAGGGGTGGGGTGCAGTGGCACCATCACAGTTCACTGCAGCCTCAACCTCCTGGGCCTCAAGTCATTCTTTGGCCTCAGCCTCCCTAGTAGCTGGGACCACAGGTACGCAGCATCACGTCCGGTTAATTTTTTGTATTTATAGAGACGGGGTGTCGCCATGTTGCCCAGGCTGGTCTCGAACTCTGGAGCTCAAGCGATCTGCCTGCCTCGGCCTTTCAAAGTGCTGAGACTACAGGTATGAGTCACAGCCCCTGGCAATGAAGGTATTTTTTACATGTGATTAACGTTTAAATCAGTAGACTCCAGGTAAAGAAGATCACCCTTTATAATGTGCCTCATTAAATCAGCTGAAGCCTTTAAGAGCAAAGACTGGAGTTTCTGAAGAAGAAGGAATTCTCCTAAAAACTTTGCTATAGGCCAGGCGCGGTGGCTTACGCCTGTAATCCCAGCATTTTGGGAGGCCGAGACGGGCAGATCACCTGAGGTCAGGAGTTGCAGACCAGCCTGGCCAACATGGTGAAACCCCATCTCTGTTAAAAATACAAAAATTAGCCAGGCATGGTGGCGCATGCCTGTAATCCTAGCTACTTGGGAGGCTGAGACAGGAGAATTGCTTGAACCTGGGAGGCGGAGGTTGCAGTGAGCCAAGATTGAGCCACTCCACTCCAGCCTGGACAACAGAGCAAGACTCCATCTCAAACAAAAACAAACAAACAAAAAAAACTTTGGTATAGAAAACCTGCCTTCCTGAGTCTCCAGCTTACTGCCCTGCTGAATTTATTTATTTATTTATTTATTTATTTATTTATTTATTTAATTTTTTGAGAGGGAGTCCTGGTCTGTCACCCAGACTGGAGTGCAGTGGCGCCATCTGGGCTCACTGCAACCTCTGCCTCCTGGGTTCCAGAGATTCTCCTGCCTCAGCCTCCCAAGTAGCTTGACTACAGGTGTGCACCACCACGCCTGGCTAATTTTTGTATTTTTAGTAGAGACGGGGTTTTACCGTGTTGGCCAGGCTGGTCTGGAACTCCTGACCTCAGGTCATCCACCCGCCTCAGTCTCCCAAAGTGTTGGGATTACAGGCATGAACCACAGCACCTGGCCTGCCCTGCTGAATTTAAACTCAAGATGGCAACCTTAACTCTTATCTGAATTTTCAAACCGTTAGTCTGCCCTACAGGTTTTGGGTTTGCTGACCCCCACAATGTGTGAACCGAGCTCTTAAAATAATCTTTCTCTACCTCTGTTTCTATCTGTCTCTGTCCTACTGGTTCTGTTTCTTTGGAGAACCTGACAGCATGCTTTAAAGTGTTACTTATACACACAGGTAAGAGTGAAGAATGAGATTGTTACTATTGTTCTGAGCAAAAGCCAACCACCTTGGGACCAAAAGTGGGAGGCATATTCCTAGGAAATGTTGGGCCTAGCCTTTGCCCTAAAAAGGCAAGCCCTGTCTGTTTTCAGCCTGAAGAGGAGAGGGGGAATCCTGGTGAGAAGCATTTGGAATTCAAGCTCAGAGAAGAAGACACGGTATTTCTGGCTGAATCACATTTCCTGCATGCCTGCACACTCCTACTCACCTTTCAAGGCACAGTTCTAATGCCTTACCCCCTGCCAGGTGCTACTCTGCCTTCCTTCTAGTGATTTCTCTGGGTTACCAAAGGTCTTGCATATTTCTCTATTAAAGCATTGATTAAAAGCCATCTCGGCTCACTGCAACCTCTGTTTCCTGGGTTCCAGCGATTCTCCTGCCTCAGCCTCCCGAGTAGCTGGGACTACGGGTGTGCGCCACCGCACTTGGCTATTTTTGTATTTTTTGGTAGAGACCAGGTTTCACCATGTTGGCCAGGCTAGTCTCAAACTCCTGACCTCAAGTGATTGGCCCGCCTCGGCCTCCAAAGCGCTGGAATTACAGGCGTGAACTACTGCTTTGGCCAAGCTGCATTCTCAAAGGTGTAAAGGGTAGAAGTATATACCACCCGAAAATATGCCACTCCGGCCTAAGGATTATTTTGCGCTAAAGGCAATTGGGAAGAAGCTGATTAAAATAAAGCTCCATAGCCTCCCCCTATCTGCCTAAAAGCAGGATATACATTTACAAAGTCGTTCCTCCTCCTTTCTCTACCAGGAAGGACAAAGGTTGATAACCTAAGACAACTTTAGGTCCTTAACAGCTTGGAGACGTGAACAGAGGGGACCACAGAAGTACATTTAACAAGCTTTAGGAACCTGCCTTTATCTAACATTAATTTCCCATATATTTGCTTTCCCACAATTTGCTGTCCCTGGAGACCCGAGGTCCTTTCTTTTTGCTTTCTTTTTTTTTGTTTTTTTTGGGACAGAGTCTCGCTCTGTCGCGCAGGCTGGAGTGCAGTGGCGCGATCTCGGCTCACTGCAACCTCTGCCTCCGAGTTCAAGCGATTCTCCTGCCTCAGCCTCCTGAGTAGCTGGGATTACAGGCGCGCGCCACCACGCCCGGCTAATTTTTGTATTTTTAGTAGAGACGAGGTTTCACCACATGTTGGTCAGGCTGGTCTCGAACTCCTGACCTCAGGTGATCCGCCCACCTCGGCCTCGCAAAGTACTGGGATTACAGGCGTGAGCCACCGCGCCCAGCCTTTAAGGTCCTTTTCCTTTGTGTTGTCACTTCTCCAAAAACGTATTGTTCTTTGTTGACGATGCTGTATAAAATGGAGTTCTCAGCCACACCTTTAGAATTACTCATTCCCTGGGTATGTCCCATGTATATATGAAATGCACATGTTAATACACTTGTTTTTCTCTTCATTCTGTCTGTTGTTACAGGAGTCCCAGCTGAGAACTCAAACTGGTAGAAGGAAGATTATTTTTCCTTCTCTATAGGTGCTTGGAGGTAACGAGGGGAAAGGAGTTGAAAGGAAGGTGACATTTCAGGTATTGATGGGACAGCACGTGCGAGGCCTAGAGGACTGAAAGTTCTTGATGGGATCTGTCAGAAGAAAACAGCTGCGTGTACAGGGGAGAAGTGGGAGGGGCGGGTCGGCTAGCGAGCTGAGACGGAGCTGCGCGTGCGTCGAAGTCGGGGCTGTGGGGGCGGGGTGGGTCCGGGGCGCGCTCACCGGATCGCCGGCGAGCTACGGCTACCACCCGTCATCTCTTTTCAGCTAATCTGCTTCGCGCTACTTTTTTGAGGTGGGCACCTGGGATGGAGGCAAGGAATCACGAAGTGGCGTCTCCTCGGAAGGGGCAGCCTGATGTCTTTAACCACTGAACTGTGGTTTCCAACTGGATGCGCTTTGGGTTCAGGGCTAAGACACGCGTAGGCGGTGCAGACAGTTCAATTCGTGGGCGGCTTTTTCTCTCCCCTGCGCGGTTTTGCAGAACTGAGGATTCACGTTTGCCACGCAGTCTCTAAATGTAAGGAGAACTTGCTTTATTTAACGAATGTGTATTCAGCTGCCAAAGAACAAGCTAATCACCCTTCCTCCCCACGCCCGACTTAGCCTCCTCCCAGCCCTCGCCGGATTTCTGCATCGGAATTGGATTGGATCACACACAAAAGAAGAGCCCAGGAACTCGTTCACCACCTTGCACCTTGCCTGTTAGTTCACGGCATAATGGTAACAGAGTCTTCATTAATGGAAGCAACGTTACTACCGTGAGCCCGGATAGCTCAGTCGGTAGAGCATCAGACTTTTAATCTGAGGGTCCAGGGTTCAAGTCCCTGTTCGGGCGGTATCTTTTTTTTCCTCATTAAAAGAGTAAGAACCAATTTTAGGATCTTTTGTTTGTTAACACACTGCAAAAGAAGGGAATAAAGTCCTGGATTGTGTAAACTGCGACCCCAAACACTTCTCGGAGGGTAAGCCCTCTATGGGGATAGGCCTTTGTGCAGAGGTATACGGGAAACTTCTAATCCATCACTTTGGGGGCTGTAATAGGCAGATTATTCTGTAGCCACCAGCCGGGCTGCTGTATCCCAACAGCGGATATATCAAAGGACCAGGCCGCCACAGTGACAGCCTCTCTTCGCTCCCCTGTGATGGCTCCTGCTGACCCTCCCTCTTGGGTTCTCTCCGATTGGGTGCCTGAGGAATATGGCTGGGATCCTGTACCTTCCCAGCCCTCCTTACTACCTTAGGAAAGAGTTTTCTGCACTATAAAAAGGAAGTGATGATCATCTAGAAACTGAAGCCCCAAACTGAGCCGTTCCCCTCATTAAACCAGGTCAAATCCACCCCTGACTCCCCTCTCAAAAGTGTGATCTGAACAAAGGAAGAAGTTGAGGTGGAGACAGCAGCTTCTGTTGGTGGGAGGAAGAGGGTGTGTATTAAGAGAGAGCGTATTCAAGGGACTGAAATGGGAAAAATGAAATGTTAGTGCTCCCCTACTACAAATTAAAAAGGTAAACAGGCGATCTTAGCGCTTTGGGAGACCGAGGCGGGCGAATCACAAGGTCAGAAGTTCGAGACCAGCCTGGCCAACATGGTGAAGCGCCATCTGTAGTAAAAATACAAAAACAATTAGCTGGGCGTGGTGGCCGGCGCCTGTAATCCCAGCTACTCGGGAGGCTGAGGAAGGAGAATAGCTTGAACCCGGAAGGCGGAGGTTGCAGTGAGCCGAGATCGCGCCACTGCACTCCAGCGCGGGCGACAGTGCGAGACTCTGTCTCAAAGAAAAAAAAAGGCGGGGTGTGGGGAAACATCGGCTTCTGCAGCGGTTTTTAGAATGTAAGGTCATCAAGGTGAGCTAATTTCCCTGTGAAGTGAAGGGACCGGTTGCATCCCTTGCTTGGCTAATGATGGAGCCTTCCTGGCTTCAGCCAGGCAACAGAAGAAAGTCGGTCTTGATCTCCTCATTGACAGGATGGGGATGTGGGCTGAACGTGTAAGAGGCTGCCCTCTTAGCTGGTGGACTGTGGTGCCCAGTGAGTCCTGATTAGTGGGGAAAGGCCAGGATGGCGACAGCACCCAATCGTGAGGCAGGGCCTTCACCCTGCCCACAGGAATGCTCTACCGTGGTCCACACAGATCCCAGCATTACCTCCCGCTCTCTAAAGCTCAGTTTCCCCAGGAGAAAGGGAATAATAATAGCTTCCATCTCATAAGCTTGTGATAATTAAATGGGATACCAATGCATGTACTGTGCTTAATAGCCTAAAAGCAAGCATTCAAAACACGGTAGCCATTATTATAATTATTGTTTTTATTTTATTTTCCTGTGAAAACCAGAAAACCTGCTAAACAAATTCTGAAAGAGCTGTAACACTGTTACCATAATTCTTAAAGAGCTTTCAATCTAACGATGAAACAACAGATACATATTGTAATAGGAGAGGAACCATTACAAAGAAATATGTGCCCAATATGCCCATATTCAGATGACTCGAGTTGACTAGTATGTGCTGGAGGGACAGCGATCCTCGCTGCTCCTAGGAAGAGTGGGCTGGGTGGGCGAGGCGAGCTTCTTTATTGAGGAAAGTAAATCTCAGGGTTCAGAAGGCATTCCAGGGAGAGAAACAGGTAAGTTTCTCGAATTTTTCTCCTTCTTCCTGAAGGAGTCCCTTCGAAAGCGATCAGTTCCACTTTTGGCGATCTTGAAAAGGGGAATCTTTTTACTCCAACCAGTTTCTGAATGAGCAAGAACAGACCAGGCTGGAGCGAGAGGACAAGGGTGGAGAGCTCTGGGTCCCCCCAGTCTTTCCTCCTTTCCCTCCTCCAGTTCATTCCCTCTCCAGCCATGGTGTTTAGTTTAGCCTTTGATGCTTTGGAGCCTCCCTAATAGTTCTAGGTGATTGGTGGCACATTTGTTATTCATTAAAAAATTTGTATATTATCATATCAATTAAAGGCAGGCGTGGGGGAGGACGGAATTGAATGCAATGCTGTAGATCCCTGCTGGACACACAGTAGGTTCTTAGAAAGCGGCGGTTCTTACTCTTATTAGGGCCCTGGGAAGAGAGAAAGCATGAGGAAGACAACACAATGTGGCCTGGGAAAAGGCAGAACGGGAAAGTTTCCTCACATGAAAGGAATTAATTTTCTTACTGATTGCTCTTAAAACCTCAGGGCTAAAAATAATACAGTTTGGAAGGTGAAATGAAGAACTAAAAGCCTGGAAGTGGGAGGAAACAGGATTATTATTATTGTTATTATTATTATTTGAGACGGAGTTTCGCTCTTGTCGCCCAGGCTGGAGTGCAATGGCGCCATCTCGGCTCACTGCAACCTCCGCCTCCCAGGTTCAAGCGATGCTCCCGCCTCAGCCTCCTAAGTAGCTGGGATTACAGGGGCTCGCTACCACGCCCGGCTAATTTTTTTTGTATTTTTAGTAGAGACGGGGTTTCACCATATTGGCCAGGCTGGTCTCGAACTCCCGAGTTCAGGTAATCCACCCGCCTCGGGCTCCCAAAGCGCTGGCATTACAGACATGAGCCACCACGCCCGGTTTTTTTTTTTCTTTTAAATTTCCTTGACAGGGCGGGACTGTCTCATGTCTTCGCCGAAATAGCTCAGTTGGGAGAGCGTTAGACTGAAGATCTAAAGGTCCCTGGTTCGATCCCGGGTTTCGGCAGACCTTTTGTTGGCTCAACCCCTTTGAACAGACAGGGCTACGGTCCACTTCTTAGCCTCTCTGGAGGCTCGCCTCTCTCCCCAGTACCCTTGCACGTTTGCACCTACGCCATACACACCCAGAGACGGCTGTTCTCCTTGTCTCTTAGGCGGGCAGAAACTAATGAGACGAAGTATTTAGTAAGGTATTATAAGGATGCAAAGAATAAGCTCGAGAAATCAGAAGTCAAAGTCATTATGAGGATGCATGATGAACTTAAGCCTCTCAAAGGAATCAGAAGTCGTAGAATGATTTCTTCCCAGTTCCGTAATCACCCTATTTATACTACTGGATGTTAAATGGCAATACGTGGCACAAGATTTGTTATTGAGGTGGCCAACACGCCTGTTCCACAGGCGGAAGGTCTTGGGTTTGATCACCAGTATAGTCAGCTCTCTGGGGCTGCACGTTTTTTCATCGACGACAGACATGAGGACAGTGTTCAAAAGCATTAGTCTTTACCGCAAGAGACACAAGTCAGGGGCCCACCAGAGCATTAAGAATCTGGTGAAGGACTGCGTCCAGTTGGAGATGTAGGAATCTTGCGTCTTTACGTGTCTTCATCTGAAATATTTCTTGAGTCTCAGTTTCCTCATCGCACTTTTAATAAAAAGTGCCTGAAAACATTCCTCGGTGCCAAAAGCTGCACAATTCTTGCCAAGAATATTACTAATTGTGACTCTGACGATGTGTTTATTGATCTGTTTTGAATATAAAATACAATTTAAAAGAAAAAATATCCTAAGACAAAGCAACGTATAAAGGTTGGAAAAGAAAAGCCTGCTATTGGAAGATAAAGTTTCTTGGCATTTTCCACACGTTTCACTTCTTCCGGTAAGAACCCACTAGCAAGTTCTGGTTTCCCTCAAGGAGGAGGCACCCCAAGCGGGTTTCACATAACGTTCCTTTCTCTCAGCCTCGCCCAAATCCATTTTATTGGAAACTAAAACAGCATCCGCCCGAACAGGGACTTGAACCCCGGACCCTCAGATTAAAAGTCTGATGCTCTACCGACTGAGCTATCCGGGCCCCTGAAGAAAAGCGTTTGCTTAGTCTATCCACAGGAAAATAGGCCACGTGGCCGCATTCTTTCCCTTCGCGATTACAATTCTGAGTCTTTTTGCTGATTTCTTGAGAGATGAACCGGCAAAATTGACAATGAGCAGGCGTTCAGCAAAATCGAGTCTTCATTTCTCCTTTTCTCCCATCATAGACGATAAAGACCCAAAAAGTAACCTCCTTCCTGACCTGCTCCGCGCCCTTACTGGAATTTCCCAGGAGGAATCCTCCCAGATTTAAGACATTTGACCGGGCCTCCGGGTAAACAGCGGGATTGCTAATTCCAGTTTTGGTCTTTGAGGAGTCAGTCCTAGAGCTTCTTGTGGGAGAAGCAGTGATGAAAAATTAGGTTTCCAATAATCGATTGGACTCAGTAAGTGGCTACTTACTGAGTGCAAACCGCACTCTCGGAACTAAGCAAGTACTGGGGCCGCAAAGACAAAGTCTCGGCCCTCAGTGGAACTGGAAGACGCGCAAAACAGAAGACCCTAGTCACGCGCGTTGGTGGTGGGATGCCAGCCTTTGCGGACCCCGGAGGACTTGGTCGGCACCCGAATTAAGAGCCAAGTTTTCCAGGGAGTGATGATGCCTGAACCGAGCTGTGGATAGCGACTGGGCACCTGAAGACTTGGAAAGAGGTTTCTAGCCGAGGGAAGAGCAAATGGAAAATGATGATATTTACTAACCTTGGGCATCTGACCATTTAGCTAAAGCATCCATTGAAAGATTTTGATCAGGCAAGCTACAGGCTGGATTTTATCTTTTTAGGGAGTCTGTTACCTTGGTAGCTGTGTCCCAGACGTACCTAATTAGTCAATTCTATAATTCGACCTGTTTCTTCATAACTTCTTTGCCATCTCATTTCTTAAAGCATTGGATCCCTTGAAAGAGAATTAAGCTGGGCATTGTGGCTCACGCCTGTAATCCCAGCACTTTGGGAGGCCGAGGCGGGAGGATCATTAGGTCAGGAGATCAAGACTGTCTTGGCTAACACAGTGAAACCCCGTCTCTACTAAAAAATACAAAAAAAAAAAAAAAAAAAAAATTAGCCAGGCGTGGTGGCGGGTGCCTGTAGTCCCACCTACTCGGGAGGCTGAGGCAGGAGAATGGTGTGAACCCAGGAGGCGGAGCTTGCAGTGAGCAGAGATCGAGCCACTGCACTCCAGCCTGGGCGACAGAGAGAGACTCCGTCTCAAAAAAAAAAAAAAAAAAAAAAAAAAAAAAGAAAGAAATTAAAGCATTTCTGTATATGAGCATATATAAACATATATCCTTTAATAATACATATAATTATATATAAATCTTGTTTGCGTATACATGGAAGGTCTATAAAGATAGAAAATAACCTGATAAAAAGGCTACATTTTGAGGAATGGCAATGAAGCCTGTGAGAGGACGTTTTCACTATTTTCTTTTTCTTTTCTTTTCTTTCTTCTTTCTTTCTTTTCTTTCTTTTTTTCTTTCTTTCTTTCTTTCTTTCTTTCTTTCTTTCTTTCTTTCTTTCTTTCTTTTTCTTTCTCCTTCCTTCCTTTCTTTCTTTCTTTCTTTTTTCTTTTTTTTCTTTTTTTGTCGCCCAGGCTGGAGTGCAATGGCGCGACCTCGGCTCACTGCAACCTCCTCCTCTCGGGTTCAAGCGATTCTCCTGCCTCAGCCTCCTGAGTAGCTGGGACTACAGGCGCCCGCCACCATGCCCGGCTAATTTTTGTATTTTTAGTAGACACGGGGTTTCACCATGTTGGTCAGGCTGGTCTGGAACTCTTGACTTCACGTGATCCGCCTGCCTCAGCCTCCCAAAGTGCTGGGAAAAATATGATTTGTTATTAACAAAATATTCCATGCTTCTGGGATGGCAGAAGTGGCACCTTAGATCAAAGCTTCCTTTGAAGTTTTTCTATAAAGAGCCAGAAGAAAAGGGTTAAATCACACACTTCCTCCTCTGCGGGACTCCCTCCTTGCCTCATTGTTTTGGATGGGAGTTGTTGGTATTGAAAAATCACAAATTTGACAGGTGCAGTTTTCACAAATGAAGATGTGGATCCCTAGGCATCAGATGGCAAGCCTCGGCTCAAGGAAGAAAACTAAAACCAGACCCCTTGGAAAGGAGGTGCCTGTGTCTCGTGAGGTCAGTCCCACGGGGTTATGAGCCTTTGGTCTGTTTCTTTCCAAACCTCTGAACCTCCACTTCTTTTTTTTCTTCTTCTTTTTTTTTTTTTTGAGACGGAGTCTCGCTCTGTCGCCCAGGCTGGAGTGCAGTGGCGCAATCTCAGCTCACTGCAACCTCCGCCTCCTGAGGTCAAGCTATTCTCCTTCCTCGGCCTCCTTAGTAGCCAGGATTAAAGGCGCACGCCACCATGCCCGGCTAATTTTTGTATTTTTAGTAGAGACGGGGTTTCACCATGCTGGCCAGGCTGGTCGCGAACTCCTGACCTCGCGATCCACCCGCCTCGGTGTCCCAAAGTGCTGGGATTATAGGCGTGAGCCACCACGCCCGGTGAACCTCCACTTCTTACAAAAGTGCCAGGTACACTGAGTTACTGAGTACAGTAACTGAGTAACACTGGTCACTGAGTACAGCTTTGAATGAATAAGAGCATGAAGATGCGTTTCCTGTTCTGGGACTGACCAGCTTGATAGGCACCAAACACAGACCAAAAGTCTCAAACTCTTAACTGTATCAAGTGTTAACTGTGTGGTAGTGGACTGCTTAACACTGGGAAGTAGGCCGGATGCGGTGGCTCACACCTGTAATCCCAACATTTTGAGACGCTGAGGCGGGCGAATCGCTTGAGGCCACGAGTTCGAGAGAAGGCTAACCAACATGGCGAAATCCCACCTCTACAAAAAAATACAAAAATTAGCCGAGCGTGGTGGCACGCGCCGGTAATCCTAGCAACTCGGGAGGCTGGGACAAGAGAATCGCTTGAATCCGGGAGGCGGAGGTTGCGGTGAGCTGAAGGGTGCAATGAGTAGAGATGGCGCCACTGCACTTCAGCCTGAGCGGCAGAGCAAGACTCTGTGTCAAAACAAACAAACAAACAACAACATAGGGAACTGTTAGTATTTCAATTAGCATTCCACAGTGGTTTTGTTTTTGTTTTTTTGTTTTTTGTTTTTTTGTGGAAGGTTCTGGCTGATCTTTACAGACAGGGTTCAGGAGTTGCCCCAGAGATCCCTGCTTGATCCTTTCCAGACAGGGTTAGGAACTGGGCTCTGAGCCTGTCTCTGTTGCTGTGCCCACTGCAACCTACCTTAAACACCTGTTTAACGAATCTGTTTTCCTCCTAGAATGTTTCTGCTGTGAGGACAGGAACTCTCTGTATATCTGCAATCCCTGAGTCAGTGCCTCACTGAAAGCTCTCAAAAACTGTCCTTGAATGAAAGAATGGAGAGTTGAATGAGGGTGATTGGTCAGGAAAGGCTTTTAGTGGAGGAGGAGGGTCAGAATTAGTCCTTGGAAGTTTTTGTTTGGTAGAGAGAGGGGAAGAACATTTCTGTCAAGGACGATGATTTTCATAATCAAATGGAATAAGTTTGTCCTGAGAAAAGCCATTCTGTTGGGCTGCCTTGTTTTATTTTCTGTATAGTACCTATCGCTATCTCTCAAATTCTCCAATTTGTCCAGTTGTTTTTATTTATTTTTAATTAAAAAAATTTTTTTTAAAAATAGACAGTGTCTCACGTTCTTGCCCAAGCTGGTCGCAAACCCCTAGCCTCAAGCAATCCTCCTGCCTTGGCCTCCCAAAGCGCTGGGATTGCAGGCGTGAGCCCCACCGCACCAAACCTGTCTGCTTTTTTTTTTTTTTTTTTTTTTTTTTGAGACGAAGTCTCTCTCTGTTGCCCAGGCTGGAGTGCAGTGGCACCACCTCGGCTCACTGCAACCTCCGCCTCCCAGGTTCAAGCGATCCTCCTGCCTCAGCCCTCCTAGTAGCTGGGATTACAGACACGCGCCACCATGCCCGGCTAATTTTTGTATTTTTAGTAGAGACGGAGAGTTTCGCCATGTTGGCCAGGCTTGTCTCAAACTCCTGACCTCAGGTGATCCACCCGCCTCGTCCTCCCGAAGTGCTGGGATTACAGGCGTCAGCCACCGTGCCCGGCTGTCTGCTTGTTTTTAAACCATATTTTTCTTCTGTCACTTTGTCATGTAAGTGACATTGGGCAGTGGTCTTGATGGTAAGGCTCTTGTATTTTTTGTTGTTTTGCTTTAAAAGAAAAAAAACCAAACCTACATCACCACAACCCCAGTGTTTAGAACAGTACTTGGCACGTAATAGGATCTCAAGAAATAACTGTCGACTCGGAGTGAACGTTTTTGCAGCACAATGTGCCTCTCGCTCTGTGCTCCCTCACTCCCATATAGCTGGACCCAGACGTTTTCTTTCTTTTTTTCAGACGTTTTCTTTCTACTTTTCAAACCATAAACTGTGAAGCTGTCGCTATATGTAAGGTATCTGGCAAAATGATATTAACTATAGTTATTGTTATCTGGACGCTTAAGATTGCAAAATGGATTGTCAAGGATTAGGAAAAAAGGTTTTTGCCAGGAAAAACAACTCCTCTTTACCAGAAGTGGGGTTCGAACCCACGCGGATATGAATCCATTGGATCTTAAGTCCAACGCCTTAACCACTCGGCCATTCTGGTAACTGATAAAACAATGTTTTATTTTAAAGCAACTCGGGTAACACTAGGCGACTAAAGTTTCGGAACAATTTAAAATTACTTTTTTTCCTGATATAAAAGAATAATATGGGGAAAAAACTTGGTAACTTTGATTATATTTCCCTAATTTCTTTATCTCGCCACTAGAAACTGGGGCCAGGTAAAAGTGAAGGAGAAAAGGCTCGATAGAGGAACGGGATTCTTTACGCCTTCAAGTGAAGGGACATAACCAGGAACTGCAATTAGCTGCAATTCACATCATTCCGGAAATTTTAAATGGTAGACAGTTCTCGTTTCATCTATTTTATATCCATTCCCTCCGCCTAACTTTCCGTTTGCTCTTCTTCAAACAAAAAGCGACTCTGGTGGGACTCGAACCCACAACCTTTGAATTTCTCTAACTATCTAGAAGTCCAATGCGCTATCCATTGCGCCACAGAGCCAGACACGTGCGACCTCTCCGCGATGAACACATCAGGGGAGGCACTTTCTTTCCACAAGTAAGTGTGGAACCTTTGTCTCTAAAGAGAGCGTGGGTAGGAATTACACTGGAAAGTCTGTAATCCTGGTGAAAGTTTCTCTTTTCGTGATCGCTGAGCAGTAAATCCCTTTCAGTCCACGTTGTTAACATGTCTTTATGCAGAATTGCTAAATCCAGAGACAGCCATTCCGCACGCGGTTCCATAGTGTAGCGGTTATCACGTCTGCTTTACACGCAGAAGGTCCTGGGTTCGAGCCCCAGTGGAACCACGGCGTGATTCATACCTTTTTCTTTTCTTTCCTTTCTTTATAATGTTTAGTATTAACATTTTGCGAGCCCAATCGTGGGTTTTGGTTCAGGAAGCTGGAGACGCAGACATTTTGACAATGTTTCTGTGCGGTCGTGCTCCTCTGAATACTGGAAAATGAGGAATCCTTTTGAAAGTTTTTCTCTGTGCACAATCGCCGGATGTCAAGTCTACATGACCATTTCCCAGTGCCAAAATGTCTTTTTGAACAATTATCAAATCCTGGAGGAACGTTTTAGTCGTGTGGGGTTCCATAGTGTAGTGGTTATCACGTCTGCTTTACACGCAGAAGGTCCTGGGTTCGAGCCCCAGTGGAACCATGAGATGTTACCTAGCGTTTTGTGAGCCAGGTGTTGGGTTTTGCACCAGGAAGCTGGCGACGAACCCGTGTCTCAAGAATTTCTACGGCTTGTTTCCCGCCTGCTGCATCAGCCCGGTTTCTCTTAGCGCTCGGCGCTGAGTCGGCCTCCGCGGCGGCCCCCGTATGGCGCCTCTCTGGAGGTGCAGGCGGCTCCGCTCCACCGAGGCTTCGCTCGCCCCTGCGCCTGCGCCTTTCCACTACCTGGCCAGCCGGCTTCTGGGTTCCTGGGTGTTGCCCCTTGGCTCACCTACCTTCTCCTAAGCCTTGCTTGGGCCATCTCTAAAAATTGCCACCACTAAGTCGAAGGACATCACGAAGGCCGCCCTCATACTTTATTTATTTAAATTAAAAATGCTTTTTGAGGCCAGGCGCGGTGGATCATGCCTGTAATCCCAGCACTTTGGGAGGCTGAGGCGGGCGGATCACGAGGTCAGGAGATCGTGTCCATCCTGGCTAACACGGTGAAACCCCGTTTCTACTAAAAATACCAAAAAAATTAGCCAGGCGTGGTGGCGGGTGCCTGTAGTCCCAGCTACTCTACTCGGGAGGTTGAGGCAGGAGAATGGCGTGAACCCGGCAGGCGGAGCTTGCAGTGAGCCGAGATCGCGCCACTGCACTCCAGCCTGGGAGAGAGCCGTCTCAAAAAAAAAAAAAAAAAAAAAAAGCTTTTTGAAAAATTAATTTCATGCACAGAATTCAGAATCCCTCCACGTATTTCACAACTGATGTTTCCATCCCATCTTTCAATGGTTAGCTGTTTCTTTTGTGACCCTTCAGAAATTGTCTATGCATTCACCAGTATACACGTACATTTACTTTAAAACCCACTTCACGCTTTTTGTACGAAGGTAGCACACATAGGTACCGCTCCCATTTCCTCAACAATATTCTGAAAATCTTCCTATTTCGTTCATACATCTTCGCTTATCCTTTTACTTCCTGTGTTTGGATATATCACAATTCTTTATGCCTTTTGATGAACACTTAAATTGTATCTAGTCTTAGGAACAATGCTGAGCAGATTTCCTTGTTCCTTGGTTTCAGGCAGGGCAATATGTAAAATAATCCTAGCAAAACCTTGAACAGGCACTTACATGGGTAGCTAACTTAATGTTCACAATGTCTCTATTATTATTTATCCCGTTTTACAGACGAGGGAGAGGAAGCATAATGAGATTAAGAAATGGCCCAGGGTTACACCCCTGGTCAGGGACAGAACACAGTACCAACCCAAGCAAGAAGAGTGTTGCCTTTATGTCTCAGAAGAAATTTAATTGATGGCTGGGCGCACTGGCTCACACCTGTAATCCCAGCACTTTGGGAGGCCGAGGTGGAAGCATGGCTTGAACCCAGGAGTTTGAAACCAGCTTGGGCAAAAAAGTGAGACGCCCTCTGCAAACCCGTCCCACCAACCTCCCTGCTCGTCCCCACCAACCCTGCCACAGCTCCTTTCAAAACAGCTTGTATCAAATTACACTCACACCAATATGAAAGCCCTTGTTCTTCCTGTCTCTCTCAAATGAAAATAACTGAATTTTGAGTCAGCTGGAAATGGTTTATTTTGTGTTTTTTTATTGTGAGTTAGGTTGAACGTTTTTCATGTACTTAAAAGCTTCCTTTCTTCCTACTATCTGTTCACCTCTTTTGTTCAATTTTCTTATGTATATATTCTGTTAATTTATGTTTAAATTGGTTTTTAGGCCGGGCGCAGTGGCTCACGCCTGTAATCTGAGCACTTTGGGAGGCCGAGGAGGGCGGATCATGAGGTCAAGAGATCGAGACCATCCTGGCCAACATGGTGAAACCCTGTCTTTACTAAAAATACAAAAATTAGCTGGGTGTGGTGGCATGCACCTGTAATCCCAGCTACTCAGGAGGCTGAGGCAGGAGAATCGCTTGAACCTGGGAGGCGGAGGTTGCGGTGAGCCGAGATCGTGCCACTGTACTCTAGCCTGGTGACAGAGCGAGACTCCGTCTCTAAATAAATAAATAAATAAATAGGTTTTTAGGTGCTCTTTGTAAATTCAGATTTAGGATATATTTTGCAAATGTATCCAGAGTTGCCATTTGTCTTTTGATTATATTTTTGATATTCCGTGCGATGTAGAAATTAAACATTTTTTTGAAGTCAATTTCATCATCTTTTTGGGGGGGGTGCAGGAGAGGGGCTTTTAACATTTCCTGCCTAGAAAATACTTACTCACTTTGAGATTATATTTCAAAAATTATTCTATATTTTCTCCTGATTGTTGTATAGTTAAACATTTTCTAATGTTTCAACCTTCTGTCAGAGGCCTTGGAACCAGAGCAACTGCATCTTGAATAGGGGCTGGGTAAAATAGGGCTGAGACCTACTGGGCTGCATTCCCAGGAGATTAAGGCATTCTAAGTCACAGGATGAGATAGGAGGTCGGCACAAGATACAGGTCATAAAGACCTTTCTGATAAAACAGGCTGTGGTAAAGAAGCTGGCCAAAACCCACAAAACCAGGATGGCAAAGAGAGTGACCTCTGGTGCCCTCACTGCTCATTATATGCTAATTATACTGCATTAACATGTTAAAAGACACTCCCACCAGCACCATGACAGTTTACAGATGCCATGACAATGTCAGGAAGTTACCCTATATGGTCTAAAAAGATGAGGAACTCTCAGTTCTGGGAATTGTCCCCCACTTTCCCAGAAAACTCATGAATAATCCACCCCTTGTTTAGCATATAATCAGGAAATGACCATAAAGGTGGACAGCCAGCAGCCCTAGTGGGCTGCTCTGCCTAAGGAGTAGTGATTCTTTATTCCTTTGCTTTTTTTTCTTTTTCTTTTTCTTTTTCTTTTTTTTGGTGATGGAGTCTTGCTTTGTCGCCCAGGCTGGAGTGCAGTGGTGCAATCTCGACTCACTGTAACCTCCACCTCCTGAGTTCAAGTGATTCTCCTGCCTCAGCCTCCTCAGTAGCTGAGACTACAGGCACGAGCCACCACGCCGGGCTAATTTTTGTATTTTTAGTAGAGATGGGGTTTCACCATGTTGGCCAGGCTGGTCTTGAACTCCTTGACCTCAGGTGATTTACTCTCCTTGGCCTCCCAAAGTGCTGGGATTACAGGCATGAGCTACCGCGCCTGTCCTATTCCTTTACTTTCTTAATACACTTGCTTTCACTTTACTTTATGGACTTGCCCTGAATTCTTTCTTGTGCAAGATCCATGAACCCTCTCTTGGGGTCTGGATTGGGACCCCTTTCCGGTACCACTTTGATCCATATGAAATTTCTATAACTGGCATGAGATAGGAAAGATGGACTTCTTTAAAGGGATTTTATATAGCACTCTGGATAATCTAGGTGTGTATGCATAAATCGGTCACCCTGGTAAAATCCCAACAATTCCAGAAATGAAGCTGGTCCTGCCTGTAACATGTTGCTTAATGTCCTTTCCTTAGAACTTTCCAGAAGTTCTGCTGACCTAGACTTTCCTGCACATCCTCCTTGAGTTCATCAAACTCCCTTCTGCTTTCCTGCGTTCCTTAGGTTGGGTTAGTTCCCTTCTCATAAACAGCATAGTTTTGGGCAGTGTGGTGTAGACTCCAGAGATTCAACACAGGCAACCCCAGAGCCAAATCGAGGTTCAGTGTTATCTCCTCTTGGTTGTGTGAACTTACCACAGTATATACCAGTCTATGTGACCTTGGGCTAGTTGCTTAACTGCTATGGGCTAGCTTCCTCCTCTAAAATGGGGACAATAGCTCACATGATTCTGGAGAAGATTTATTTATTATTAATTAATTTATTATTATTATTATTTTTTGAGACAGTCTCGCTCTGTTGGCCAGGCCAGGCTGAAGTGCATTGGCACAATCTCAGCTCACTGCAACCTCCACCTCCTGGGCTCAAGCTATTACCCTGCCTCAGCCTCCCGAGTAGCTGGGATTACAGGCACCTGCCACCACGCCCAGCTAATTTTTGTATTTTTAGTAGAGACCGGGTTTCACCATGTTGGCCAGGCTGGTCTTGAACTCCCAGCCTCAGGTAATCCGCCTACCTTAGCCTTCCAAAGTGCTAGGATTAAATGATCTGTGTATAGTAAGCACAGAGTAAATGTCATCTACTGTTATTGTATTGCCAGGTAAGTCTGGTTCAATTTGCGTAGAACAATAAGGCTTTTCCTTGGGGACATTTCTAGAAAATGCTAATTGCTAAGCATATCAAATCTGTTTGCTCCTTGGCTTGTAAATCATTGTCCTCTGTCTCTATCGCTTCACACCGTCTTCCCTTTATGGGCATCTTGGTCTCCAAATTTCCCCTTTTTGTAAGGGACACCAATTATATAGTATCAGGGCCTACCCTAATAACCACATTTTAACGTTACCTTTATCTTAACTTTACTTTAACTTTACCTCTGTAAAGATCCTGTCTCCAAATAAAGTTATGTTCTAAGGTACTGGGGGTTGGGACTTAAACATATGAATTTCAAGGGGACAGAATTCAACCCATAGCCTAAGTTGTTAAAACAGAACATATAATTTTCCCCCCAAACATGGGCTCCTTCTGTTATTTCCCTTCTTGGTGAATGATATCACCATCTACCCAGGACTCCAGCCAGACACTGAGCGATTACCTTGTGTTTTCTCCCGCCATGCAGACAGTCACTGGAGCCTGCGGATCCTTTTGTCTGCAACTGAAACCGCCTTTGCAAAATTATGACTGAGACAGTGAAAGAGGTCCAACTTAAACGACTCCATCTTGCCTCTAACCTCCAAGCTGTCCTTGTTCATTTCTGGGCGCAGGCTGAAAAAACTTTGGGAGGAACTTAGTTTATAGTTTTAAAAAATGACAATAACAGCCCTTTCCCAGAACAAACTCCCTTCTTGCCTGGAGACTAGACTACTAAAGTTAGCCACAGTATTAGAAATTACGGTTTAGGAGTCAAGTAGTTGGAGGCCACAAGATTCTGACCTTCCCTAAACTGCTCCCAAGATCAGTGCCTGAGATGTTTTGCAGACTCTACTCTTGATGGATCAACTGGCACCACCCATATCGAGAAACCGGCCCATCTGATCTTGTGACTCACACCCAGGAACTGACTCAGCGCAGGAAGACAGGGACGCGCCGTAATTTCACCTCCGACCCAACCAATCAGCACTCTCCAACTCACTGCTCCTGCACTCCCACCACATTCTCTTTAAAAACTTTGATCCCCAAATGTTCGGGGAGACTGATTTGAGTAAAAATAAAACTCCGGTCTCCCGCTCAGCCGGCTTTGCGTGAATGGCTATTTCTTTATTGCGATTCCCCTGTCTTGAGGAATCGGCTCTGTTTAGGCAGTGGGTAAGGTGAGCCCATTGGGCGGTTTCACAACGACTTCTCCTCCATTTTGCTACTTAGTTCAGGTTTCTGTCGTCTCTGTCCTGGAATACCAAGTGTGTCCCTGTCTCCAGTTTTGCACACTCCAATCAATGCTTCACACAGCAAACAGAGTGACTTCTCTAAAGTGTAAATGTCACGTTCCATCTCCTCACCCACAAGAGCCCTCTGAGATTTCATCTCCCTCTCCAGCCTATCTTTTGCTTCATTTCCTCCCTTCCCTGGTGCCCCAGCCCTTGTCGTCTTTCTGGTATCTTCTCCCCTACCCTCATTATTATCTTTAAAACGAACTTGGCTACAGTAACCAAAACAGCATGGTACTGGTACCAAAACAGATATAGACCCATGAAGCAGAACAGAGCCCTCAGAAATAATACCACACATCTACAACCATCTGATCTTTGACAAACCTGACAAAAACAAGAAGTGGGGAAAGGATTCCCTCTTTAATAAATGGTGCTGGGAAAACTGGCTAGCCATATGTAGAAAGCTGAAACTGGATCCCTTCCTTACATCTTATACAAAAATTAATTCAAGATGGATTAAAGACTTAAATGTTAGACCTAAAGCCATAAAAACCCTAGAAGAAAACCTAGGCAATACCATTCAGGACATAGGCATGGGCAAGGACTTCATGACTAAAACCCCAAAAGGAATGGCAACAAAAGCCAAAATAGACAAATGGGATCTCATTAAGCTAAAGAGCTTCTGCACAGCAAAATAAACTACCATCAAGTGTACAGGCAACCTAAAGAATGGGAGAAAATTTGTACAATTTACCCATCTGACAAAGGGCTAATATCCAGAATCTATAAAGAACTTAAACAAATGTATAAGAAAAAATCAAACAACCCCATCAAAAAGTGGGCAAAGGATATAAACGGACACTTCTCAAAATAAGACATTTATGCAGCCAACAGACACATGAAAAAGTGCTCATCATCACTGGCCATCAGAGAAACGCAAATCAAAACTACAATGAGATACCATCTCACACCAGTTAGAATGGTGATCATTAAAAAGTCAGGAAACAACAGGTGCTGGAGAGGATGTGGAGAAATAGGAACACTTTTACACTGTTGGTGGGACTGTAAACTAGTTCAACCATTGTGGAAGACAGTGTGGCGACTCCTCAAGGATCTAGAACTGGAAATACCATTTGACCCAGCCATCCCATTCCTGGGTATATACCCAAAGGACTATAAATCATGTTGCTATAAAGACACATGCACATGTATGTTTATTGTGGCACTATTCACAATAGCAAAGACTTGGAACCAATCCAAATGTCCATCAATGATAGACTGGATTAAGAAAATGTGGCATATATACACCATGGAATACTATGCAGCCATAAAAAACGATGAGTTCATGTCCTTTGTAGAGACACGGATGAAGCTGGAAACCATCATTCTCAGCAAACTATTGCAAGGACAAAAAACCAAACACTGCATGTTCTCACTTATAGGTGGGAATTGAACAATGAGAACACTTGGACACAGGAAGGGGAACATCACACACCAGGGCCTGTTTTGGGGTGGGGGGAAGGGGGAGGGATAGCATTAGGAGATATACCTAATGTTAAATGATGAGTTAATGGGTGCAGCCCACCAACATGGCACATGTATACATATGTAACAAACCTGCACTTTGTGCACATGTACCCTAGAACATAAAGTATAATAAAATAAAATAAAATAAAATAAAATAAAACCAACTACTCCCTGTTCTTGACAGTTTGGATACAATTTTTTTCTGCAATGCTTTCTTGACTTCAGCTGCAGCCTCAGTGGCACTGGTCAACCCTTCCAGGCCCATTCAGTTTTGTGGTGTGAAGGTGAAGGAGGTCAGGGCATCTTGCTACTTATTATTTATATTATTTTAGAGACAGGGTCTTGCTCTGTCACCCAGGCTGGAGTACAGTGATGCAATCACAGCCCACTGCAGCCTCCAACTCCTGGGCTCAAGCCATCCTCCTGCCTTAGCCTCCCAAGCAGCTGGGACTATAGGGGCACATTCTCCACACCCGGCTTTTTTTTTTTTTTTTTTCTGGAGACCGACTCTTGCTTTGTGGCACAGACTGGAGTGCAATGGCAAGATTTCGGCTCACTGCAACCTCCGCCTCCTGAGTTCAAGCGATTTTCTTGCCTCAGCCTCCCCAGTAGCTGGGATTACAGGCACGTGCCACTACGCCCGGCTAATTTTTTGTATTTTTAGTAGAGACTGGGTTTCACCATGCTGGTCAGGCTGGTCTCGAACTCCTGACCTCGTGATCTACCCACCTCGGCCTCCCAAAGTGCTGGGATTACAAGTGTGAGCCACCATGCCCGGCCAATGCCCGGCTAATTTTTAAAAATTTTTAGACAGACAGGGTCTTGTTATGTTGCCCACCGTGGTCTCAACTTCTGGGCTCAGGCAATCCTCCTGCCTCAGCTTCTCAGAGTACTGGGATTAAAGCCATAAGCCACCACACTTGGTTTGTTATTTATTTTTATATATTTCTCTCTCCTACTCCCAGGAGGTATTCTTAAAGAAAAGATTATTGCAAGAGAAGAGACAGATTGGGCTTAACTCCAAATGTGGTAGAGACAGCTGGGAATTTACAGCAAAGGAGCAGAATTGGGGTGGGGTGGGGTCAGTGGATGGAAAATTAGTAACAGGAGACATCAGGGGTAAGGGGATTCTCGGTATTATCAGGATTCTTGCTGAATTAACAGGATTCTTGCTGAGGGTGGACAAGGGTGATCAGATATCAAGGGTCAGAGGGATTTCTGATACATTGAGTTAGAAGGATACTTAAAAAAACTGGACTATCTGCAAGCTGAGGATGGGACTGAGGCCAAGGTCTAGGCCTAGTCGAGAAGAGGGCTCAGAGAAGTCTGACTGAAGTCTGGTCAAGGACAGCATTTGTCAGTACCCCAGCTGGTTCCCAATCTGTAATTGGCATGTGGTTCATGCATATCCAATCAAATGTGTTTTTGAGAAAAAGACCTTTTTAATATTTAAAAATTTGGTCTTCTCATGAAGTAAATTTAATTCAACTTCTTTTGTAATTGATTTTTTTGTTTTTTTTTGACGGAGTTCTTGCTCTGTCACTCAGGCTGGAGTGCAGTGGCGCAATCTTGGCTCACTGCAACCTCTGCCTCCCGGGTTCAAGCAATTCTCTGCCTCAGCCTCCCGAGTAGCTGGGATTACAGGCACCCGCCACCACGCCTGGCTAATTTTTTTATATTTTTAGTAGAGACGGGATTTCACCATGTTGGTCAGGCTGATCTCGAACTCCTGACCTCAGGTGATCCGCCTGCCTCGGCCTCCCAAAGTGCTGCGATTACAGACGTGAGCCACGGTGCCCGGCCTGTAATTGATTTTTATCCGTCAAAGAAAAACTGATCAGCCTTTCCTGAAGTTTGTCTTTGAAGATTTTCAAACACAGCACACAGTTTGCAGGGGAATGTCTTGTTAGAGATCACTATCTTTTAAGCTTCAAAAAGGCAGGGTTTATCATACAGCAAAATGTAAAACTTGAAATTATTAGGTATTTCTTCCAGAGGAACATATAGGAGAAAAGTTTGTAATCAATGGTTGGGCAAAATTTCTTAAGCGAGACACAGTAAGTATGATCCAGAAACTAAAAAACAATTGATAAATCTGACCTCATCAAAATGACAACTTTTGCTCCTCTAAAGACATTGCTAAAGGAAAAGACAAGTCACAGATTGGAAGAAAAAAAATTGCAAAAGACTTGTCTGGTAAAAGTCTATTATTCAGACTTAAAAAAAAAACAACAAACCCTCTTACAATTAGGGAAGAAAAACAACCTAATAAAAAATGGGCATAAATATGGACATTTCACCAAAGAAAATATACAGATGGGAAATAAGAACATAAAAAGATAATTAGCACTATTAGTTATTAGGAAAATGCACATGAAAATCATAATAAAATACCACTACACATTTGTTAGAATAATTAAAACACAAAAACAGAAACAGAAAACTGCCTGCAGCGTTCAAGCAATTCTTCTGCCTCAGCCTCCCGAGTAGCTGGGACTACAGGAGCCCACCAGTAGTGATGATCCAGCCATATCCTGGATCCTGAAGATCAGTGGGCCTCTCTGGATAAACCAGGATATTCCAGCAAGTATGCAAGTCTAAGAATATAGAAGGTGAAGCTCCCAAGGACCAAGTGGTTTCAGGCATTCACTGTCATCAGCATCTTATGTTGAAGCAACCCCATAGGCCTGAGGAATCACATCATAAAGCCACCATGCCTGGCCTGATGCTATACACTTTTAAACAACCAGATCTTGGGAGAACCCTATCATGAGAACAGCACTAGGGAGATGGTGCTAAACCATTAGAACTAATGATCCAATCACCTCCCTCCAGGCCCCACCTCTAGCATTGGGGATTACATTTCAACATGAGATTTAGGGTGGGGGACACCCAAACCATATCAAACACATACTAAGAAATATATTTTATACTGGGCACGGTGGCTCATGCCTGTAGTCCCAGCATTTTGGGAGGCTGAGGTGGGCGGATCATGTGAAGTCAGGAGTTTGAGACCAGCCTGGCTAACACAGTAAAACCCCATCTCTACTAAAAGTACAAAATTAGCTGGGCGTGGTGGCACATGACTGTAATCCTAGCTACTTGAGAGGTTAAGGTAAGAGAATTGCTTGAACCCAGGAGAAGGAGGTTGCAGTCAGCCGAGATCGTGCCACTGCACTCCAGCCTGGGCAACAAAAAAGAAATATATTTTATGCACATTAAGGTGATTATATTTACATATATATCTGCAATAAAGGTTTCAGGAAATGATTCTTTAGAAAAGTAATTAATTCTTAATCGTCAAAAGCTGTATATTGCCTGGTTTGGCTCTGTGTCCCCACCCAAATCTCATGTTGAATTGTAATCCCCAGGGTTGGAGGAGGGACCTGGTGGGAGGTGACTGGCTCATGGGAGCGGATTTTCCCCTTGCTGTTCTCTTGATAGTGAGTTCTCATGCAATCTGGTTGTTTAAAAGTGTGTAGCACTTCTCTCTTCCTCCTGCTCCAGCCATATAAAATGTGCCAGTTTTCCCTTTGCCTTCTGCCATGATTGTAAGTTTCCTGAGGCCTCCCCAGCTGTGCTTCCTGTACAGCCTGTGAATCAATTAAATTTTTTTCTTCATAAATTACCCACTCTCAGGTAGTTCTTTATAGCAATATGAGAACGGACTAATACATATAGGTGTATGTTATATAACACGATGCTTTGATATATGTATTTATTGTGCAATACCCAGATAAAAGCTAATTAACATATGAATTACTTTGTAGTGAGAACGCTTAAAATCTACTCATATATATATATATATATATATGTATATATATATATATTTATTTATTTATTTATTTTTTTTTTGAGATGGAGTCGCACTCTGCCATCCAGGCTGGAGTGTAGTGGCATGATCTCGGCTCACTGCAACCTCCACCTCCTGGATTCAAGCAATTCTCCTGCCTCAGCCTCCTGAGTAGCTGGGATTACAGGCTCATGCCACCACGCCCAGCTAATTTTTGTATTTTTAGTAGAGATGGGGTTTCACCATGTTAGCCAGGCTGGTCTGGAACTCCTGACCTCAAGCGATCCACCCGCCTCAGCCTCCCAAAGTGCTGGGATTACAGGCATGAGCCACTGCACCTGGCCAGAATTTTCAAGTATACAATATATTGTTACTAATTATAGTCACGGTGATATATGATAGATCTCTTGAAGTTATTCCTCCTGTCTAGCTAAAAGTTTATATCCTTTGACCAATATCTCCTCAGTCCCCCCACTTCCCAGCCTCTGGTAGCCACCATTCTACTCTCTGCTTCTGTAAGTTCAACATTTTTTTCCAGATTCTACATATATATGAGAGCACACAGTATTTGTCTTTCTGAGCCTGGCTTATTTCACTTAATAAAATGTCTTCCAATTTCATTCTGCTGTTGCAGATGACCAGATTTCCTTCATTTTATGGATGAAGGAAATCATCCTTCATCATATATATCATATATATATCATATATATGATCCATTCAATCATTCTCTCTCTCTCTCTCTATATGGATATATATATATATCCATTCATTCATTGATGGACATTTAGGTTGATGGTTGATTACATATCTTGGCTACTATGAATAATGCTGCAGTGAACATGGAAGTGCAGATACCTCTTTGACATACTGGTCTTATTTCCTTTGGATATATACCCAGTGGTGGGAATACTGGATTGTATGGTAGTTCTATTTTTAATTTTTGAGGAATCTCCATACTGTTTTCCATAATAGCTATACTAATTTACATTCTCACCAACAGTATTCAAGGGTTCCCTTTTCTCCACATCCTTGCCAACGCTTGTTGTCTTTCATCATTTTGATACTAGGCATACTAACATGCATAAGGTGGTACAACATTGTGGTTCTGATTTATATTTCTCTGATGATTAGTGATGTAGAGCATTTTTTTATATATCTATTGGCCATCTGTATGTCTTCTTTTGAGAAATGTCTATTCAGATCCTTTGACCATTTTCAATGGGGTTATTTTTGGTTTGTTTTTGCTATTGAATTGTTTGAGTCCCTTATATATTTTGGATAGTAACCTCTTTTCAGACACATCTGAACCATACATGGTTCACAAATATTTTCTCCCATTCCATAGGTTGTCTCTTGATACCATATATATATATTCAATGAATTGTATACTTTTTCTTTTTTTTTTTGAGACTGAGTCTCGCTGTGTTGCCCAGGCTGGAGTGCAGTGGTGCTATCTGAGCTCACTGCAACCTCCACCTCCTGGGTTCAACCGATTCTCCTGCCTCAGCCTCCTGAGTAGCTGGGATGACAGGCATGCGCCACCATGTCCAGCTAACTTTTTGCATGTTTAGTAGAGGCGGAGTTTCGTCATGTTGCCAGGCTGGTCTGGAACTCCTGACCTCAAGTGATCTGCCTGCCTTGGCCTCCCAAAGTGCTGGGATTACAGGCGTGAGCCACCGCACCGGGCAAATTGTATAATTTTTTATGCTACCCTAGACTATCCTATTTCATTAAAACAAAGCATGTCCAGACCTACTAAAATGAAATCACACTCCTTGGAATGTCAGGATCTGCAGTTTGAAAAACATTGACTTTGGAACGGTTTCTCAAAGTGTGATAACACAGGTCGCCAGCCTCAGAATCATGGATGAGACAGGGAAAGGAAGGGTGAGCTGGCTAAAAATGTAGATTCCTAGTATCTAGGACAGAACTATTTAATCTTCTGCAGATGGTGCCTAGGATTTTGCATTGTCATTAAACCGCTAGGTGATGTGGCGGATTCAATGCCATAGCAGAAGTTTCCAACTCTGATCTGTGGGGCCCTAGAGGACTGCACCAGACGTACCTCAGGGAAATATTTACAGAGCTGCTCCTCTTGATCTGTGTAAGAGTTCACGTGTCCACTTCTAAGAAACAGATCTGAGGGTTTAGAGGGAGAAAACAAATGTGATATATGGGTTCTGACATTTTGTCTCCGGAAATAAAAATTTCTCCCCCTTCCCCCTTCCCCCTTCCCTCCTCCTTTTTTTTTTTTGAGACGTAATCTCCCTCTTTCGCCCAGGCTGGAGTGCAGTGGCGCAATCTCGGCTTACTGTAACCTCCGCCTCCCGGGGTTCAAGCGATTCTTCTGCCTCAGCCTCCCGAGTAGCTGGGACTACAGGAGCCCTCAACCACCTCCGGCTAATTTTTTTTTTTGTATTCTTAGTAGAGACAGGGTTTCACCGGTTCCTGAACTTCCGCCAAAGGGAAAAACAGGGAAAAGAAATAGCTCCCTCTCGTGGTGAAGAAACATTACAAAAACATTTTACTTGGTAGACGCTGCTTCTGTTTACATCCAGAGGAGAAGATTGTCTAGAAGTTCATTTTCCTTTCAGTGTGGGAAATGTGGAACAATTTAGCAAAAATTTAAATGACCCTGTATTAGAATATGCAAATTAAAAAAGTTTTATCAAGCAACAATTGCTTAATAACAATCGCAATTTTATCAATTCTCATTACCTTGAAGAAGGAATACATTTTTTATGGGGAGTAGATTTTTATGTATACTACTCATTTCCAAAGTAGCATAGTCTGAGGCCGGGAGCGGTGGCTCCCGCCGGTAATCCCAGAGCTTTGGGAGGCCGAGGCGGGCGGATCAACTGAGGTCAGGAGTTTGAGACCGGCCTGGCCAACATGGCGAAACCCTATCGCTACTAAAAATACAAAAATTAGCTGGGCGTGGTGGCAAGTGCCTGTAATCCCAGCTACTCAGGAGGCTGAGGCGGGAGAGAATCGCTTCAACCCGGGAGACGGAGGTTGCAGTGAGCCGAGATCGCGCCATTGCACTCCAGCCTGGGCAACAGAGCGAGACTCTGTCTCAAAGAAAAAAAAAAAAAGCACCATAGTCTTAGGAAACACAGAGTGTGTGTGTATATCCTGGAATAGTGCCAAAGTAAAAAGTGTACATACGTGTGCATGTATTTTAGAATTAAATATATGTTATATATTTTTCTCATATTAAGTAGTATGCATGTAAACATACACATGAATATACACAGGACACACATAGTATATATATATAAAACATATTAAATATATATATATAATATGCGTATGAAACTGAATAGTCATTTGTGAATTCTCAATTCATTATTTGCCTCTAAAAAGTAAAGCCTAAATGTTAGGATAAACTCAGGAAGAGAAGTTTAATTTTTTTTTTTTGAGACGGTGTCTTGCTTTGTCGCCCAGGTTGGAGTGCAGTGGCACAATCTCCACTCACTGCAACCTCCGCCTCCCGGGTTCAAGTGATTCTCCTGCCTCAGCCTCCCGAGTGGCCGGGACTATAGGTGCCTGCCACAACGCCTGGATAATTTTTTGGGTTTTTAGCAGAGAGGGGGTTTCACCCTGTTAGCCAGGATGATCTCCATCTCCTGACCTCGTGATCTGCCGGCCTCGGCCTCCCAAAGTACTGGGATTACAGGTGTGAGCCACCGCGCCGGGCCGGGAGTTTAATTTTTATGAAAAGCATGATTATTTTTCTGAGATGAGGTCTCACTGTATTGCCCAGGCTGGTCTCAAACTCCTGGGTGATTTCCCCACCTCGGCTTCCCAAAGTGCTGGGATTACAGGCATCAGCCACCGCCCCCAGCCTGAAAGGCATGACTTTTTAACAATAAAAATCATTCACAAGAAAGAAAATATTTGCTACTGTTGATAACATAAGGATTGATAAAATTGCGATTGTTATTAAGCAATTGTTGCTTGATAACATTTTTTTAATTTGCATACTCTTGATAACATAATGGATATGGCTGAACATGTTTCTGAACTCTGGTTCAAAGGGAAGTTTGAATGGTACCTGAAGTTTGTTCAGTGGGTAATTAGATAGAAAATTCAAGAATGAAGTCACATGTGAATGAATGGTTTAATTTTAGGCAGAAATAAAGCACTCAAAAGAAGCAAATGCATATTTTTTTCTTCTTTTTTTTCCTTTTTATTTTTTGTGAGATGGAGTCTCACTCTGTCACACAGGCTGGAGTGCAGTGAGGCCATCTTGGCTCACTGCAACCTCTGCCTCCTGGGCTCAAGTGATTCTTGTGCCTCAGCCTCCTGAGTAGTTGAGACTACAGGTGCCTGCCATGATGCCCAGTTAATTTATGTATTTTTGGTAGAGATGGGGTTTCACCATGTTGGCCAGGCTGGTATTGAACTCCTGACCTCAAGTGATCCACTCTCCTGGGCCTACAGGCTGAGATTACAGGCGTGAGCCACTGCGCCCAGCCTTAGAAATACAGATTCTTAAAAAGATATTCTTTGGCCAGGTGTGGTGGCTCATGCCTGTAATCCCAGCACTTTGGGAGGTGGATCGCTTGAGACCAGCCTGGGCAACATGGTGAAACACCATTTCTACAGAAAAATATAAAAATTAGCTGTGGTGCTAGGGTGCCTGTATTCCCAGCTACTCGGGAGATTGAGGTGGGAGGATGGCTTGAGTCCAGGAGGTGGAGATTGTAGCAAGCTGTAATTGTGCCACTGTACTCCAGCTTGGGTGACAGAGCAAGACCCTGCCTCAAATTAATAATATAATATTAATAATAAAATAAAAAATAAAGACATACTCTAACTTTAATAAGGCACCCATGTGTCCAGGATCATACATAAGCAAGTGTGAATTTTGTCAACAGTGTCTGCCTTGCTTTGACTAGGCCACTGTGCTGAAGCATTCCATCCTCTGTAATTGGGCCCCTCAGGCTACCTTTGACACTCTGGGCTTGGATTTGTTCCCCTCAGGTCCACCCACTGAAGCTTTTCTGTTCTACATCTCCTTTACCCTGGATGACCCCTGGGGCCTTTCAGAAGTCACCTAGACCATGTGAAGTTAATCCCTTGAGAGGCATTACTGAGAACAGACTTAGGCATGCTCCTGCCCCTCCAACCCCTCCATCGCAGCTACCATGTTTTTCAGGTTGCTTTGACTGGAACTATATGATTTGTGGAGCTGTGGCATTGTATGTAACATGGCCTCTGTGAACCGTGTGTAATTTATCAAATATCTCAAGAGCAGGAATTTCAGGCCAGCACTACCAGAGACACAGTGGGCAGTGTTACGCCTGGTTGGGATGGGCCATGCTTTAAGGCAAGTTTTCCTTGCTTGTGTTTCCTCCTCAATCACACTGAGCAAATGGTTCTTTACTTCTCTTACATGGTTCCAGCCACAGGTACGTCAGGATTGCCTGGGAGGGAAGACTGGAATTTTACAGGTCAGTCAGCATTTCCAGTCTAAGTTTTAGTTTGTTATCAATTTCAACTATTTGCTTCACAAAGAACTAGATTTCCAGGAGACCAGTTGGAATTTAGTCTTGTTTTCTATTCCCTTAGGTTAAGGAGGAGGTGCTAAAGAATAGGATAGAAAGAGGAATGAGGAGGAATTTGAAAGGGGCTGCTTTGTGATCCTCTAGCTAATCAGTCCCTGGATGATGAAAAGAGTTTTCTTAAGCCTTTGCATCTTGTGGACATGTGAACTAGGCATATTCTTTTTTTTGGAGACAGAGTCTCGCTGTGTTGCCCAGGCTGGAGTGCAGTGGCATGATCTTGGCTCACTGCAACCTCTGCCTCTCGGGTTCAAGCAATTCTCCTGCCTCAGCCTCCCAAGTAGCTGGGATTACAGGCACCTGCCACCATGCCTGGCTAATTTTTATATATTAGTAGAGATGGGATTTCACCATGTTGGCCAGGTTGGTCTCGAACTCCTGACCTCAGGTGATCTGCCCGCCTCGGCCTCCCAAAGTGCTGGGATTACAGGCATGAGCCACCGTGCCCAGCTGAATTAGGCATGTTCTAGAGATGCAGGCAGGATAGGGTTTCTTCCTCCCTCGAGGTCTGGCCAGGAATGAATGGCCGTAAAATGACATTGAAATTCTTAGAGGGATCTGAAGCCCTGCAATACGTACTATTTGGTCAGGTGAAAAGGACAACCAAGTGCCTTTCATGACACTACAATAGAGGAGGCATTTTTATAAATGAGCTTGTTTCAGACTGCATCAAACCCTGCATGAAGCAGCAGCAGTAGTTAAACATGCACTTAAATGAAGGTCAGATATGACAGATCTAGCTGTGCCTCTGCCGTTAATTAGCTAAAAGTTTTTTTTTTTTTTTTTTTTTTTGAGATGGGGTCTTGCTCTGTCACCCAGGCAAGAGTGGTGCAGTGGCACGATCTTGGCTCACTGCAGCCTTCACCTCCCAGGCTCAAGCTATTCTCCCACCTCAGCCTCTCAAGTAGCTGGGACTACAGGTACAACCACCATGCCTGGCTCATTTGACACTTTTTTTTTTTTTGTAGAGATGACCTCTCACTATGTTGCCCAAGCAGGTCTCAAACTCCTGGACTCAAGTGATCCTCCTGCCTTGGCCTCCCAAAGTGCTGGGATTATAGGCATGAACCACTGTGCTGGGCGATCTTTGGTAAAATATGAAACTTCTTAACTTTGGCAACGGGAATTCAGAGGCTTCCTTAGAAAAACGGAACTTGAATCATCTAAGGTTAGCAATGGAAAACCAATATTTTTCATAGGGAGAGGTTACTGGATTTTATAGCCTTGACTCCTGGTCCCTGGAAGTGATTTTACTAATGATTGCCTGGGCAACACATGGTACAGCCATAGCTCAAGAATTGAGAGATAATTTCCTCTCAGGCTCCATTTCCTCACCTGTAAAATGAGGTGTTTGGGTGATAGAAGCTTTAAAGTTCCTTTAGGAGCTGACAGTTTAGAGATCTGAAACTCTAAGCTGCCAACAACCTCACTGTGAGAAAACCCTAAAGTGATGATGGACTCAGGAAAGCCTTATCAGAGGACTCTGCTCTAGGACAAAGATAAAACTTTGGCCTCTAGATGGCCTATTGATTGAAGCCTTCTATTGTGTTATGAAGAAATACTTTTCAGTTCTGATTTTCCAATCTGGACTTCGTAGCATCTATCCCTTTCCAGAAGGTCTTTTCTTCCGCCTCCTCAAGGCTGACTTCATCTCCTGGTTCCTCAGGGTGTAGATCATGGGGTTCAGGACAGGAATAATGACTGTAAAGGTGATGGAGACAGCTCTGTCCGTGGGGAGGGCAGTGAAGGCTGGGCATGCACATAGATGCAGGGCACGAAATGCAGGGTCACCACAGTGATGTGGGAGGTGCAGGTGGCGATGGCTTTCCTCCTGCCTTCCTCAGTGTGAGACCTCAGCATCATCAAGATGACCGTGTAAGATATGAGGAGAAAGATGAACCACAGCATAGAGATCAAGCCATTATTGGAAATCATTAAGACCTCAAGAGCAAAGGTGTGGGTGCAGGCAAGTTTGAGGACCTGGGGGACATCACAGTAGAAACCATCAATCATATGATGTCCACAGAAGGGAGTGGGAGCAACAGAAATACCTGCACAATGGAGTGGACAAACCCCCCACCCAGGAAGCCATGATGAGGCCTGCGCCTCACTCACGCCCCCTACTCACGATGTAGGGGAGCACTGTCCCCTACTCACGATGGTCACACAGTGCAGGGGCTTGAAGATGGCCATGTATTGGTCAAACGCCATCACAAAGAGAGAAAAAACGTCTGTCCCACCGAGGAGGTGGAAGAAAAACATCTGTGTCATGCAACCATTGAAGGAGATGGTCTTTCTGCTTGAAAGGTCTATTAGCACCTTCCGAGCAGTGATGGAGGAGAAGCAGATAACCAACACAGAGAGATTGCAGAGCAGGAAGTACGTGGGGGTGTGAAGGCGAGACTCACAGGTCACCACGACCATGATGAGGAGGTTACCCAGCACAGTTGCTGAGTACACAAAAAATAAGAAAAGAAATAAGACCAAGCTCAGCTCTTGGGACTGGGTCAGTCCTTGAAAAAAGAGATTCCTTCACCCTGGTGTAATTTCCCTGCTCAATGGGATCATGTTTCTTCTTGTTCTTCAACCACCTGGGGAGAGATTTTGTTATAGAAGGCCTATCATTCAAAACAAAAGAAATGTGAGTTGTATGCTTTGGGGTATTTTTTTTATTTTTGAGACGGAGTCTTCCTCTGTTGCCCAGGCTGGAGTGCAGTGGCGCGATCTCGGCTCACTGGAAGCTCCGCCTCCCGGGTTCACGCCATTCTCCTGCCTCAGCCTCCCGAGTAGCTGGGACTACAGGTGCCTGCCACCACGCCCAGCTAATTTTTTGTATTTTTAGTAGAGACGGGGTTTCACCGTGTTAGCCAGGATGGTCTCAATCTCCTGACCTCGTGATCTGCCCGCCTCGGCCTCCCAAAGTGCTGGGATTACAGGCGTGAGCCACCAAGCCTCGCCACTTTGGGGTTATTTTAAGGGTTTATTTCCCTTTTAAACATAGATGCCTACACTTCAGGGCACTGTCTCCGGTGGACGGTGTTTCTTGAGTTTTCTCAGAGCACATCGAAGAGTGGGCTTCCCAGAGTATAATTAATTGAAGCATATATGTATCAGTGTATTCATATAATTCTATTAAAACTTTCATTTTGCAAAATGTTATATATTCTCTGTTCCTCTTGAAAATTTACTGAATTCTGGCTGGTGCAGAGGCTGACGCCTATAATCCCAGCACTTTGGGAGGCCAAGGCAAGTGGATCGCTTGAGGCCAGGAGTTTGAGACCACCCTGACCAACATGGTGAAACCCTGACTCTACTAAAAATTAGCTGGGTGTAGTGGTGCGCGTCTGTAGTCCCAGCTACGTGGGAAGGACCAAGTGAGCCCCTGGAGGTTGAGGTTGCAGTTAGCTGAGATTGCACCACTGCACTCCACCCTGGGTGACAGAGAGAGACCCTGTCTCAAAAAACAAAACAAAACAAAACAAACAAAAAAACTAAAACGCCTGGCGCGGTGGCTCACGCCTGTTATCCCAGCACTTTGGGAGCCCGAGGTGGGCGGATCACGAGGTCAGGAAATCGAGACCATCCTGGCTAACACGGTGAAGTCCTGTCTCTACTAAAAATACAAAAAAAAAAAAAAAAAAATAGCTAGATGTGGTGGCAGGCGCCTGTAGTCCCAGCTACTCGGTAGGCTGAGGCAGGAGAATGGTGTGAACCCGGGAGGTGGAGCTTGCAGTGAGCCGAGATCGCACCACTGCACTCCAGCCTGGGCGACAGTGCGAGACTCCATCTCAAAAAAAAAAAAAAAAAAGAAGAAAAAAAAAGTATCAATATGGATTCAACTGTTAACAAATGAGGGATAACTGTGGTGTTGGAGGGGTGAGGAGGTATATGGGAACCCTATAATTTCAGTTTAATTTTTCTGTGAATCTAAAGCTGCTTTAAGAAATAAAAGCCAGCCGGGCATGGTGGCTCACGCTTGTAGCCCCAGCAGCACTTTGGGAGGCCGAGGCAGGCGGATCACGAGGTCAGGAGATCGAGACCATTCTGGCTAACACGGTGAAACCCCGTCTGTACTAAAAATACAAAAAATTAGCCAGGCGTGGTGGCGGGCGCCTGTAGTCCCAGCTACTCGGGAGGCTGAGGCAGGAGAATGGCGTGAACCCGGGAGGCAGAGCTTGCAGTGAGCCGAGATTGTCCCACTGCACTCTAGCCTGGGCAACAGAGCGAGACTCCGTCTCAAAAAAAAAAAAAAAAAAAAAAAAGAAATAAAAGCTGTGCGTGGTGGCTCCTGCCTGTAATCCCAGCACTTTGGGAGGCCAAGGCGGGTAGATTTTCTGAGTTCAGGAGTTCCAGACCAGCCTGGGCAACATGATGAAAACTAGTCTGTATTAAAATACAAAAAATTACCTGGGCGTGGTGGTGGGCACCTGTAGTTCCAGCTACTTGGGAGGCTGAAGCACAAGAATTGCTTGCATCCGGGAGGCGGAGGTTGCACTGAGCCGAGATTGTGCCGCTGCCCTCGAGCCTGGGCGACAGAGTGAGACCATTGTTTCAAAAAAAAAAAAAAAAAAAGATATTAACTTTTAAAAAGTAGATAAGTCAAAGGATAAAACAATTAGAGTACAAAGTAAAGAAACACTCTTTTTAACTTTTATTGCCAAACATCACTTCTTGTAAATCCTAATTTAACTCCTCCTGCTTTCCACTCTGTTTTAAAAAGAACATTTAAAATAAATACCAGTTTGGGTGCTGACAGGCTTCTGGATGTCTTTTGTGTTTTGCAAACTGCTTAAAATGAAATTGCCCCTTGCTTTGCTAAAGTATAACTTATATATTATAAGCTGCACATATTTAAAGGGTACAACTTGATGAGTTTTCACACACACACACACACTTACACACACACACACCTGTGAAACTGACACTACAATTAGGATAATGAGTATCTCCATTATCCCCCAAACCTCATGCTCCTGAGAACTGCAGAACTCTCCGCATATAGCTCCGTCGAAACCCCTGAACTAGACCAAACTCTCACATGGCTTCTAGCAGCATAAGGCTGTTTCCTTAGAATGACCGCAGCCCCCCATTAAATGCCTGCTTGAGTAAGCTCAATACTGCCAGGAGAATTTACGGTTTGTTTTACCCGAACCCTGATGATAGGCCTCTGACCTCCCTTACTTAGAGCATTTACAAAAAAGGGCTTATGATTGTGAACATGCATCTCTTAGAACTCAGAAATGTCTTTCTTAAGGACCTGGGAGCCATTCCTTTGAAATGTAATTATCAAAAAGGATGAAGCCTCTGTCTTCCAGTCTCTGTGGGAGGGTGGAATCCTTTGATGATTGCCAGCTAGCAGACACAGCTGGCCTCATCGCATTGACACTGACGAACCGTTTGCAATTTTTCACTTCTCTGACTCTATTGAGACCTCACACTCGCCCATTCTTCATTCATTCTCCCTGTAAAATGCTCGAACCACCTCTGCACGAATCACAATGGAGCCCAGCTCATTCCCCTACTGTCAGTAGTTACTGAATAAAATCTGTTTTTGCCGCTTTAACTAATGTCCCACTGTGTGTATGTTTGATGTGCCTTTGTACACTTTCCCTCCATGTTCTGCCCATACTGAGGCCAATGTCTGGTCCTGCTGCTAACCGCTGAGCTCTCTGGATTTCACAGTACTTTACCTCTCATTGTTTCATCAGAGCACAACTTCTACTCAGCTAATTTACCTCCTATGATCTTCCCTTTGAAGTTCAAGCAACACAAAGCCAATTTTCTAGGCTGACTCCCAATTAATTATTAATCCATCAATAACTCAGCGAATGTCATCATTTTCAAACATTTTTCGTTTTTAAAAGGCCAGGTATTTTCTTCAGAGTAAATATTTAAAAGTATTAAGAAAAATCAGAACACAAGATAATGCATACAAGTTTTTTTTTTTTGTTTTGTTTTTTTGCTTTTGTGTTGAACTATAATCAGAAGTAATAGGGTATAGAGAAAAGACACCATCTTGGAAGTCATGAGATTTGGATGCCAACCTTGCTACATTCATAGAGCAATGGTAGAATATTTATTTTTTCGAACTCCTGCCTCAGCCTTCCAAAGCGGTGGGATTACAGGCATAAGCCACTGTGCCCTATCTTGAGAAAGATTTTTAACAAAGTGTGGAAAGAAGGGAGGTCTTTGTTAGCCTGGAGTTAGCTATAACATTCAAAGAATTAGAAATTCCCAAATGTAAAGAAGGAGCAAGCAGATTGAAATAGTCAGTTTTTTGCACCTTAAATCACAGCGGAGGGCTCCTATCCCCAGGGACGTCTGTTAGAAGGAAGCAACCTGTTAGTGCCCCTGAGGCACAAGGGCCTCTTCTTGCCATTCCAGGATCGAGTGGAAAACTGCATCTCACCCCTGCAGATGCCATTTTGAATGTAAATGTGATTTGTTTGTTAAAGAGATTACCTGGCACCAATATATTCACAGGTCAGGTTTGTCTAGAAATAAAATCTTAGTTTTGAATGTGGTTTATGCAGCACTTCACTGGTACCTGTATTATGAAATTCTAAAAAGATGAAATCTATGACAGACCTATGTTAGTACATTTGACTCAGTCCCAGGGGTTCCAGTTCTGAGGAGGCCTTGGTCTGGCTAGAGGATTAAAATTGGATTTCTCATGAGGCTAATGGAGCTTAAGCCTTGTAGCCCCTTATTTGAGGAGCCCAAGGCCCTGGGAAGTGCCCTAGCAATATGCTCACAGGGTCACATGTTTTTGTAGAGCTTGCAATAGTAAAATATTATAACCACAATCAGCTGGGGCTCCTGTTTCTTCTCTGAACTCCCTTCCATCACAATTCTTAGTTTGGTGGCTTTAGAGAGGTCACAGGCATTTTGGGGATCTAGTTAAGGTGAGGTTGAGTTAGGATACACTTATTTTGGATCTAGCAGCATGCATTTATGTGATTTGCAGTCACTTCCGTGTATTAATGTCAAGATTTTCATGGGTCAGTAAATGATAGAAGTAGGATTAAAACTGAGCTTGACATTCATATGCTTAACGATTAATCAGTAAGCCTTGGGTACCTTTGCTTAAAGGTATGCTAATGTCTTCCGAGTCAACTTCTAGCATTTGACCCCAGTTCCTACCTTCTTACCTGGCTCCAACACTTTCCTTTCCTTTCTTGGTTTTTCTTTCTTCTTTTTTGGTTACTGCCCTGCCCATACAGTGCTGTTCCTCCAAATTGAAGTTTGCTGGACCATATCTGTGCTCATGCTCTTCCTCGGCCCCAAATGCCCTCAACTAATTATATTTATGCTGGTCCTTATTCCATTTTTATTACTTTAAATTGAGATACTAGCAAAAGGCCAGGTGCAGTGGCTCAGACCTGTAACCCTAGCACTTTGGGAGGCCGAGGTGGGCGAATCACTTGAGTCAGGAGTTTGAGACCAGCCTGGCCAACATGGTGAAACCTCGTCTGTACTAAAAATCTAAAAATACAAAAATTAGCCGGGTATGGTGGCAGGCGCCTGTAATCCCAGCTTCTCGGGAGCCTGAGGCAAGAGAATTGCTTGATCCTGGGAGGCAGAGGTTACAGAGAGCCGAGATCATGCCACTGCACTCCAGCCTGGGTGACAGAGTGAAACTCTGTTTAAAACAACAACAAGGCCGGGCGCGGTGGCTCATGCCTGTAATCCTAGCACTGTGGGAGCCCGAGGTGGGTGGATCACGAAGTCAGGAGATCGAGACCACCCTGGCTAGCATGGCGAAACCCTGTCTCTACTAAAAAATACAAAAAGTAGCCAGGCATCCTGGCGCATGCCTGTAGTCCCAGCTGAGGCAGGAGAATCGCTTGAACCCGGGAGGCGGAGGTTGCAGTGAGCTGAGATTACGCCACTGCACTCCATCCTGGGCAACAGAGCGAGACTCCATCTCAAAACAAACAAACAAAACAACAACAAAATGCAATACCAGCATCAATGAAGGTAAAATAAAACTGAAAACAAGAAAGATATTGATGATTAAGGGGTTGATGAGTATCATCAATTCATGGAGTGTTTAAGATTATTCAATGCTCTGGCTGGGCTCGGTGGCTCACGCCTGTAATCCCAGCACTTTGGGAGGCCACAGCAGGCAGATTGCTTGTGGCCAGGAGTTTGAGACTAGCCTGCCCAAAATGAAAAACCCTTTCTCTACTAAAAAAGCACAAAAATTAGCCAGGCGTGGTGGCACACGCCTGTAATCCCAGCTACTCAGGAGGCTGAGGCAGGAGAGTTGTTTGAACCTGGGAGGCAGAGGTTTCAGTGAGCTGAGATCGTGTCACTGCATTCCAGCTTGGGCAACAGAGTGAGACTGTCTGAAAAAAAAAAAGCCTTAAAGTAAGTGATCAAAGGTGTTAACAGATCTCTTAGAAATAAATTAATGTTGGAGATTTCCATATTGTTTATACACATATATGTGATATATCCCATTGTTTGAATATATAACAATCTCTATATTATTCCATATTATTTGAGTATATAGGTATATTAATATACATATATATTCAATCACATCAATAACCATGTGTAATCAGAAAAAAATAGTGAAAATACTTAACAAACGGATTTCTTTTTCTTTGTCTCTTCAACTGAGGGTTGGCAGTTAAGGGCTATCTAGTCTACATCTGACTCTAGAATATATTCATTCTGCAGTATCCAAACTGCTACAGATATATACAAAAATCTAGATTATTTGCACGACTCCAACTGTGTTTCTCATACCTCACATAGGCAGGTTTATAAGCTGTTATTGAAAAGACCAATACACATGATAAAAAAAGAAACAATTCAAGGATCAGGGTTAAACTCAGATCCAGAGCATATTTAAGAACCAAGGGGTGTGTGAGTTATCATACTTAGGGCCATCCAAATGCAGGTGGGGAGGGGCAGACAGCAAATCTGAACTGAGCTATTTTTTCTGGGTTCTTTGCTTGCTGCAGCTCATTTAGCTCTGACAGCAATACTTTGAGGTAAATCCTTTGTTTTACAGATAAGGAAACTGAGGCTAGGAAAAGATAAGTTATTTGGCCAAGGGTATACAGCTAGTAAGTGGTGGACCCATGTGGATTGGGATGATTCAGAATTCCGTGTGGGTTTGATTGGAGATCTGCAGAAGAGCTGAACAGAGGCTCCTAGATTTCCTGCAACCTCTGCCTGTGTTAGGTGCTTGGGACAGTCCAAGGGCACTGAATTGGGTCGGGAAAAATTGAAAATGAGAAGTGTTTGATGTTCCTTGGGCTCCACACATGGAAAATTAAGAAATTGGGAAGCAGATAAAACTTGCATGGTGGGGCCGGGCGCAGTGGCTCACACCTGTAATCCCAGCACTTTGGGGGACCGAGGTCGACAGATCACTGGAGGTCAGGAGCTCAAGACCAGCCTGGCCAACATAGGGAAACCTTGTCTCTACTAGAAACACAAAAATTAGCCGCATGCGGAGGCGCACGCCTGTAATCCCAGCTACTTGGCAGGCGGAGGCAGGAGAATCTCTTGAGCCCGGAAGGTGGAGGTTGCAGTGAGCCAAGATCATAGCACTGTATGCCAGTATGGGCGACAGGGCGAGATTCTGTCTCAAAAAACAAAATAAAACAAAACAAAACCCAACCAAACAACAACAACAACAACGACAAACACTTGCATGGTGGGATGTGTGTGGTTCAGTAACTTCAGGTGAAAGAAAAATATGAGGTGGATCTAAAAATATTCTATCATTGCTTTCTGTCTTAAAAATGGGACTAATGGAGTCCATTCATTATGTGAGATTCTGTAAAGAAGTGAAAGTGATCAAATCACCAATTCAACTGAAAAATGCCAAAATGGTGCTCTTCCATGCATAACATTTATGCACAATTAAAGATAAAAGATAGAGAGTGGAAGGATCAGTGGGAAGCCCTGTGAATGCATGTGTCTGTTTGCAACAGGAAAGAAGAAAACAGAGAAGTATAGTTTATGAGTTTTCTCCTGTTTTTGTTTTTGGCAAGAACAAACTGAGGACCCCCCAGTTTGTTTCTTAGAAATATGCCTACGTAAATCCATTCTACTAAAACAGGCTTACTGAATTTTACAGCATCTCCAACCTGGAGAACCCCTCGACTCTATTGTCCACAAAGCATATATTGCTCTCTTTCTCTTAACGAGTTGACCTTTCTATGCACTTCAAGTCACCTTGCTAATATTGAACAACTAATTATTCTGCTCTGCACCCCTACAATTTTTAGCTTTAATGTATGTCATTCTACACCTAGTAAAAGCATCATTAGCATTCAATACATTTCTAAGTAATCTACAATAATACTTCAAAATTGTCTGTGCATGGGTGCACCTGCATAGATAAACATTTAGACATACAAGCACACACCACAAAGCTCTAACTTAACACAATGTTCTCATTTGAAGTCCCCACCTCTAATACCTACCCAAGAAGCAGAACTGGCCATTTGTTCTGACCTTAGGAGTCATTACTTGTCAAGGGCTATTCTCCTTTAAGGCAGATCTGCATCTGAGGGTTGGTTGGTTCAGTGTCTTCTCCCCTGCAGGCTCCAAGAATCGCCTCTGCATGGCTCCAACACACTGCCCCACAGTGGGCCTGCCATGAATACCAGTCCATTTGTATCAGAGCCAGGGAAATGATCACCAAAGGGAATATATTTTTGGATGTGGTTTTTGAAGTTGAGCAGCCAGAATTTCCTATTGAGAAGAAGTTCCACTGGGAGTTAGTAAGAAGTCAGACATCACTGGTAGGTGTGTGCAACACACATATTTTGCTTTTGCAATTCTCCCAATGTAGGGGATGAGATGAATCCTTACAGACTTTGTGCTTAGAGCCCCAAGCTTTCCCTAAAGAGGTCATAGGGGACTAAACTGGAGTCTATCTTCTTAAGAGGTAGGAACTTAGGGAAAAGGAATAGAACTCCTAGTATTGTGTGTTTTATCCCATCCTCTTTTTTTTCTGGGCAGATGATTTTCTTGTTGTCCTTTTTTTTTTTTTTTTTTTTTTAATTTGGAGATAGAGTCTCACTCTGTCACCCAGGCTAGAGTGCAGTGGTACGAACTCGGCTCACTGCAACCTGCGCCTCCCAGGTTCAAGCAATTCTCCTGCCTCAGCCTCCTGAGTAGCTGGGATCACAGGCATGCGCCACCATGCTGGGCTACTTTTTGTATTTTAGTAGAGATGGGGTTTCATCATGTTGGTCAGGCTGGTCTCGAACTCCTGATCTCAGGTGATCTGCCCACCTCGGCCTCCCAAAGTGCTGGGATTACAAGTGTGAGCCACCACACTGGCCTGCTTGTTGTCCTTTTAATGTAGATAATCAGAGGATCATAAAGTCTAGGAAACACATTTTCTTCCTTGTTTTCCACCAAACTTCTCATGTGAAGAGAGGAAATATACAGACATATGATGCGTTGGTACCACTCATTCACCAGATATTTAATTGTGATCTATTTTTTGAATACCCATCATCTTCCAGTCCTGAGGATTCTGAGGTCCTAAAAGCAAATAATTTCATTTTTTTCCCCTCAAAAACTCTTGATCTCAGCTCACCCCCAATGTAATTTTTGAAAACTCATCTCTGAAAACTGAGAATAGCCTCCAGCAACAGCCACTAAGGAACTGAAGCCCTCAGTTCAACAACTCATAATTCTGCCCCACAATTGTATGTGTGAGTTTGGAAATGGATCCTTCTCTAGTTGAATCTTGAGATGAGACTGTGGCTCCCAGCTGACACCTTGATGGTAGCCTGTGAGAGACCCTGAAGCCCACAACTTAGCTAAGTTGTGTCAAATTCATGATCCACAGAAACTGTGACATAAAAAGTATGTTGGTTTTTTGGTTTGTTTTAAACCACAAACTTTTGGGGTAATATGTTATGCAGCCATAGATTCCTAATATAACACTGAATGAATAATCTGTTTTATTGAGCAGGAACTATGTTGAAAACATTTTCTTTCAGACTTGAAAAACAAGCAATGCAACAACAACAACAAAACTCTGTAGACTTCTCCAGAGTAGCACTTTGTGATGGAATTTTGTGGATGCTTACCCATGGGTTCTGTGGTTCTGACTATAGTAGCATCTTAGAAACTAAGCCAAAGCAATCTGAATCTTCTTTCAATTTCTTAAAGAAGACCCAAATGTCAGCATCATTCCTAAACCAGGATAACTCCTATGTCAGTTTGAATATATAGATGCATTTATTTGCTTATGAAAAAATACTGCAGAAATTTAAAAGAAGCCTTCCTTGCATAGAAAAAACAAAATATGCTAGGACCATTTACATGATCTATGTAGGTGAAGCTAGAATCAGTTTAATATTTAATAGTTTCCTAAGACAAGCCTTTATCTGAAGCAAAATATAGATTAATCCAAGTAATTATTTGATGTTATATTAAAAGAGAAGTATTTTTACCAGAAGTATATAGCATCAAATAACTACTTGGATTAATCTGTATTTTGTTTCAGATAGAGGCATCTTGATGATGCTGAGATCACCAGAGTAACTTAACTTGGTGTTCTTTTGCTTTCCTTTCCTTTCCCTTCCCTTCCTTTCCCTTCCCTTCCCTTCTCCTTCCCCTTCCCCTTCCCTTTCCCTTTCTCTTCCTTTCCCTTTTTTTGGAGTCTCGCTCTGTGGCCCAGGAGTGCAGTGGCATGATCTCAGCTCACTGCAACCTCCACCTCCTGGGTTCAAGTGATTATCCTGCCTCAGCCTCCCAAGTAGCCGGGACTACAGGCACCTGTCACAACACCGAGCTAATTTTTGTATTTTTAGTAGAGGCGGGGTTTCACCATGTTGGCCAGGCTGGTCTTGAACTCCTGACCTCATGTGATCCATCCACCTTGGCCTCTCAAAGTGCTGGGATTATAGGCGTGAGCCACTGCGCCTGGCCCAATTGCTTTTCTTCACTCTATCAGATTGTTTTGCATGTATTTTTGATACCTTGTCTCTCACCATAGATTTATTTCACTTGCGTATGGTGCACACCTCTAATTTCAAATGTCTAAAACTGATCTGATCATTATTATCCAGAGCTGAACCCTTCCTTTCCTGTAGCTGGCTCTGTCACTCTCCTTGTCCAAAGGATTCAGTATCTCTGAATTACTCTGATACTCTCTCCACTTCTCCAATTAGTCCAAAGCAGCTGCACGGGCAGCTTTTGCCGGGTTGCTATCATTTGTGAGATCCTACAATCAGGAACACAAACTAAGATTGTGCGGATTTTTGGTCACTTAAAATTCTTCCCAGTCACAAAGTTCTTGTTTTCGGTAAAACCAACAGGGAAGTAGGAAAAAAGATATCATTGCAAAAAGTACTAGATGATGAGGGGAACAATTATACTGGAACAAGGATGGAGCCAGGCAGGAAGTGGTGATTCGATAGCTGCAGCTGGATCCAGCTGAAAACTAATTTGTGTCTATATTAGCATTTTCATACTTGGGGAAAGATATCCAATATTGGAAAATAATTCAGAACATTTTTTTTTTTTAGTTTTAACCATATTTTTTTTATTTCCAGATTCTATTACAACTCCACTTCAATGTGGTCTCTATTTTTCCAATATAAAATTGCCTTGTCCAAAGCACATTGTAACAATCATTGCAAGGAAAAGAAAAAATAAAACCCTATTATCTCCTCAATTGACTTCATTTATCTTTTCTTTTTTTTGTTATTATTATACTTTAAGTTTTAGGGTACATGTGCACAATGTGCAGGTTAGTTACATACATATACATGTGCCATGCTGGTGTGCTGTGCCCATTAACTCGTCATTTAGCATTAGGTATATCTCCTAATGCTATCCCTCCCCCCTCCCCCCACCCCACAACAGTCCCTAGAGTGTGATGTTCCCCTTCCTGTGTCCATGTGTTCTCATTGTTCAATTCCCATCTATGAGTGAGAAATTCAGAACATTTTTGAGTGGTAGAAATAGAACACAGGAAATGTCAATCAGCAAAGAAGATAACATTGATTTCATTTTTGTTTAACTTTTATTTTAGGTTCAACGGGTGCATGTGTAGGCTTGTTACATGAGTAAATTGTGTGTTGCTGGGGTTTGGTGTACAAATGATTTTGTCACCCAGGTAGTGACTAGAAGGGCAGGGTTCCATGAGATAGAACATTAGGGTAGAGTGCCCAAAGAAGATTGGCCAAGAAGACAATCTTGGTAGTGAGCATAGTACCTAATAGGTAGTTTTCTGACCTCACACTCTTCCCACCCTCCTCCCCTCAAGTAGGCCTCAGTGTCTTTTGTTCCCATCTTTGTGTCCATGTGTAAATCGATGGTTAGCTCTCACCCATAAGTGAGAACATGTGGTATTCGATTTTTTGTTCCTGCATTAATTTGCTTAGGATCACGGCCTCCAGCTGCATCCATGTTACTGTAAAGCACATGAATTCATTTTTAAAAATGTCTGCATAGTACCCCATGGTGTATAATGTATCACATTTTCTTCATCTAGTCCACCATTGATGGGCACCTAGGCTGATTCCTTGTCTTTGCTACTGTGAACATACAGGTGCATGTGTCTTTTTGGTAGAATAATTTATTTTCTTTTGGGTATATACCCAGCAATGGGATTGCTGCGTCAAATGGTAGTTTTGGAGAACATTCATTGCTAAAGGAGCTTCTGCATTAATCGAACTTGTTTACAACAAGCCCATGAAAAGTTTGGGAATAAGTGAGAGTTGCTTTCTATGAGGATTGTCTTCTTGGCCTATCTTCTTGGGGCACTCTACCCTAATGTTCTATCTCATGGAACCCTGCCCTTCTAGTCTACTGTCATCCTAATCCCAGGGTTTACCTTGATCATTTCCCTCTTCCTTTAAGTTAAGAAAAATTTTCCCCCATCTCCTTCATTTCGGTTTGGCTCTCTGTGTGTTCTAAGGGTCTAGTTGCCTTTCCAGCAAACTTTTTCTTTTTTTTTTTTTGAGACAGGGTCTCACTCTTTTGCCCAGGTGGGAGTACGGTGGGGCATTCATGGCTCGCTGCACCCTTGACTTCCCCAGGCTCAAGTGATCCTCCCAGCTCAGTCTCCTGAGTAGCTAGGACTACAGGCGTGTGCCACCATGCTCTGCTAATTTTTATATTTTTTGTAGAGATGGGGTTTTGCCATGTTGCCCAGGCTGTTCTGAAACTCCTGAGCTCAAGCAATCCACCCTCCCTGGCCTCCCAAGGTGCTGAGATTACAGGCATGAGCCACCGCAGCCAGCCCTGTAGCAAACATTTTTATGTATTAAGAGAATCCTTTTATAGACAAAGTCTTAATCTTTGTAATGTAACCCAACTGTGATTTCTTAGCAGTGAATCTTACATGTGGAAGAGATCACTAGAGTTCATTCTTCATATTTTCTTCTTTCTGAGAGCAGAGTTTGATTTCATTCTCCAGGCTCCCTTGCTGTCAGGTGAGGCTATGTGACCAAGGGCTGGCCAATGAAAGTGGTCATAAGTAGTTCACACCACTTCCAGGACTGTCCCATAAAGACACACCCCTCCCTTCCCCATAATTCTTAATTTCTCTCCCTTTCTCTATCTGCTGGATGCATGAACAGGATTATGAGGATCTAGAGACTGTGGAGCATAAGACAGCATGAGCATGTTCAGGTGAGGTGTCTCATGCCTGTAATTCTAGCATTTTGGGAGGCTGAAGTGGAGGGATCATTTGAGTCCAAGAATTTCAACCAGCCTGGGCAACTTAGTGAGACCTCATCTCTATGAAAATAAAAATATACAAAATTAGCCAGATATAGTGGTGCATGTCTGTAGTCCCAGCTACTCAAGAGGCTGAGGCAGGAGAATCACTTATTCTTAATTCTCTCTCCCTTTCTCCATCTGCTGGATCATGGACAGGATTCTGAGGATCTAGAGAATGTGGAGCCCAAGACGGGAGAAGCCTGCATTTCTGAATGACAGTGTGGCACTGTGCCCTCTTTCTGCAGACCAGCATTGGCCTGTGACATGAGCAAGAAGTAAACTTTTGTTGTGGCTAACTACTTAGACCGTGGACATTTTTGTTGCAGTGGTTGGCCTACTCTGATTGATAAATGTGTGCCAGCTGCTATGGCTTGAGCTTTATCATAGTGGGGAACACAGTATGGTGAAGTCAATAGATCTTAGCAGAGTATCAGCTGGATTGTCAGATAAATCTTCTCCTAGCACTATCCCTGTCTCTTTCACAACAGAGACTGGCAAATTCTCAGGTTCACTAATTAAACTATCATGCTTTTTATACCCTTTCTTTACCTTCTAATAGATTGAGTGGCACAGGTAAAGGAGTGGTGAGATCACTGTGTATAGAAACAACAGGAAATTTGGATCTGGCTAATCCTGCTATATAAGGGGGAGTCAGTTGCTTCCCATTTGAGAGCTTGGCATCTGCCTTTGCTCATTTTTTTCTCAAAATCAAAGGAGCTGTCCACAGCCTCAACAGTGATTCTTCTCCTTTTTTTTTTTTGAGTTGGAGTCTCGCTCTGTCGCCCAGGCTGGAGTGCAGTGGCACAATCTTGGCTCACTGCAACCTCCGCCTCCCAGGTTCAAGCAATTCTCCTGCCTTAGCCTCCTGAGTAGCTGGGATTACAGGCGCTTACCACCACACCCGGCTTAATTTTTGTATTTTTAGTAGAAATGGGGTTTCACCATGTTGGTCAAGCTGGCCTCGATCTCCTAACCTCGTGATCCACCCGCCTCAGCCTCCCAAAGTGCTGGGATTACAGGCGTGAGCCACTGCGCCCGGCAACAGTGATTCTTCTTTATGAACACTCTCACTAACAGCATTATTTCCTTCTCCTAGGAGGAAATTATGTCCTTGAAGTGAATTGGGGATCCTCTCTCCTCAACAGAAATCATGGGCTTGCATTGTTCAGGTGGTCATAAATGGAGTTATTCTTCCCAACTTTTCTTTTAAAGGTCCAGTACCAGTATTCACCCCAAGAGTGTATTACGCCATGGCTGCACTGAGTTCACTGTTACACAAATGTGGCACAATCTCACCTCATTTTCTTTCTTTGCGCATGCTGGTTTCTTTTTGTCTTTTCTTTTCTTTTTTTTTTTTGACAAGTGTCTTGATCTGTTGCTCAGGCTGGAGTGCAGTGAAGTGAACATGGCTCACTGCAGCCTCAACCTCTCCTGCCTCAGTCTCTCAAGTAGCTGGGACTACAGGTGTGCATCATCATGTCTGGTTAATTTTTATTTATTTATTAATTATTATTATTATTTTTGGACAGAGTCTTGCTCTGTTGCCCAGGCTGGAGTACAGTGGTGTGATCTCGGCTCACTGCAAGCTCTGCTTCCCGGGTTCATGCCATTCTCCCGCCTCAGCCTCCCCAGTAGCTGGGACTACAGGCACCCACCACCAAGCCTGGCTAATTTTGTTTTTGTATTTTTAGTAGAGATGGGCTTTCACCATGTTAGCCGGGATGGTCTCGATCTCCTGACCTTGTGATCCACCCGCCTTGGCCTCCCAAAGTGCTGGGATTACAGGCATAAGCCACCGCGCCCGGCCTATTATCATGATTTTTTGTAGAGATGAGGTTTCACTAAGTTGCCCAGGCTGGTCTTGAACTCTTGGGCTCAAGTGATCCCTCCACCTCAGCCTCCCAAAGTGCTAAGATTACAGGCATAAGACACCTCATGTGGACAAGTACATGTTGTTTTCCTTGCTTGGATTGTTCTTTTCTGATCTTTTTCCCCTTGAAAATGTCTACTGGCTGTTAAATGTCTTTGGAAACTCTCAAGTAATATTGTGGCTACAGTTCCCCTAGCACTTTGTTTATTTATTTTTTATTTTTTTTATTTTTTTGAGATGGAGTTTCGCTCTTGTTGCCCAGGCTGGAGTGTGATGGTGTGATCTCAGCTTACTGCAACCTCTGCCTCCCGGGTTCAAGTGATTCTCCTGCCTCAGCCTTCCGAGTAGCTGGGATTACAGGCATGCGCCACCATGCCTGGCCTATTTTTCTTTGTATTTTTAGTAGAGACTGAGTTTCTCCATGTTGGTCAGGCTGGTCTTGAACTCCCGACCTCAGGTCATCTGCCTGCCTTGGCCTCCCAAAGTGCTGGGATTACAGGTGTGAGCCACCACGCCTGGCCTGTTTATATTTTTTAATAAGTATTTTGGGTTATGCCTCCAGGAAGGTGACTACATTTAATCTTTTTGCAGCAATCTGAATCCCAGTACTTTCAGACATATAGTGTATGCTCTATAAAAATTTGTGGAATGAATAATTGAAAGTGAGTAGGGAAAGACTTGAGTGGATTTTGTCTTAGAGCAGTATCATCCACGTGGTCCCCAACATATATGATGGAATAACTTCTTTTAGGACTCGATGGTGGCCATAGGTATCTCTTTGTTTTGGGCATGAACAAGCTCCTTTCCCATTTTGAGAAAGTGAAATTTAATGTCTATCTTTAAATATGGGTACTATCTTACCCTTATTGAATTAAAATCCTTTCTGATTGTCCTAGCCGTCTCTTCAGTTTCCTCATGGCCAACTTCATTTCCTGATTCCTCAGCGTGTAAATTATAGGATTGAGCAAAGGGGAGATGACAGTGAAGGTGACAGAGATGGCAGTGTCTGTGGGGAGGGCAGTGAAGGGCCGGGCATAGACATAGATGCAGGGCACGAAATGCAGGGTCACCACGGTGATGTGGGAGGTGCAGGTGGAGATGGCTTTCCTCCTGCCTTCCCCAGTGTGAGACCTCAGCATCATCAAGATGACCGTGTAAGATATGAGGAGAAAGAAGAATACAAACCAACTGACTAACCCATTATTTGAAATCATCAGGAGCTCCAGAGTGAAGGTGTCAGTGCAGGCAAGTTTGAGGACCTGGGGGACATCGCAGTAGAAAGTGTCAAGAACATTGGGTCCACAGAAAGGGAGTGGGAGCAATAGAGAAATCTGCGCTATGGAGTGGACAAAGCCCCCCACCCAGGAAGCCACGATGAGGCCTGTGCATCGCCCCCTACTCATGATGGTCATATAGTGCAGGGGCTTGGAGATGGCTATATAGCGGTCAAACGCCATCACAGAGAGAGAAAAAACGTCTGCTCCCCCCAGAAGGTGGAAGAAGAACATTTGAGTGACACAGCCACTGAAGGAGATGGTTTTTGTCTCTGATAGAAGATCTATCAGGACCTTAGGAGCTGTGATGGAGGAAAAGCAGATGTCAAGAATAGACAGGTTGCGGAGCAGGAAGTACATGGGCGTATGAAGGTGAGATTCACAGGTAACTGTAACCATGATGAGGAAGTTTCCCATTAGAGTTGTCATGTACACCAAAAACAGGAAGGTAAATAAGACCTGGCTCAGTTCTCGGGACTGAGTAATTCCCAGGAAGGTAAATTCTTTCACTCTGGTGTAATTTCTCTGATCCATTGAATCACAGATCCTTTATCAGGTTCATCTCTGGAAGAAATAATAGTGCAGTTAAATAATATTGATAGGTCCTAAAATCTAGTGTTGTCTTTTCACTTAAGATTTGGCTCAGAATTAGGAGGAAGCTCTTTTCCCTATGCACTCACTGTGTCTGCAAGTCAGTATGCCACCACTGGATGAAAGATTACCCAGGTTTTTGATTCAGTCATCCCAGGAGACAAAGTTCTCTCACTGCTGCTGCTGAAACAGAGGTTGCAAGTCCGTGAATCTATTCAATTGTACTTTCACTATAAAATCTGACACTTAAAATAATAAATAATAAGAAGAAATCTGAATATATTAGGATTTCTGTTCATAAAAGCATCATTATGAGAATTCAAAGATAACCTGCAAATGGAGCAAGATATTTACAATACATTTATCTGAGAAATGACTCATGTTCAGAATATATAAAGAGCCTCTACAAATCAGTAAAAAAGCTGGATGACCCAACCTCAAAATGGCGAAAGATTGAAACCAATACTTCACAAAAGGCATATCCAAATGCCAATTCAACTTCATTAGTTATAGCAATAAGCCACAATATACATGCCAGATTGGCTAAATTGAAAAAGATAGAAACTGAAAAGATGAAAAAGTGGTGGTGAAGATGTGGAACAGTTGGAACTCTAATACACTGCTAGTGGGTGTGTAAAATTGGTATAACCACTTTGCTATTTGATTATCTCTGCTAAGACAGTATATAAATATAGTTTTATACATAGGAGGATATGTATATATCTACATGTATGATGATATATCTCTTTTAAAGGATCTATCTGTATATCATTACCTATATATCTCTTAAGGACATATTTCTACTTCTAGGAAATATGTACATATGTTCATCAAAAGACATGTCCTAGAATATTCATAGCAGCACTGTTATTTTTTATATTTTTTGAGACAGGGTCTCACTCTGTCGCCCAGGCTGGAGTGCAGTGGTGAGCTTATAGCTCACTGTAGCCTCAAACTCCTGAGCTCAAGCGATCCTCCCACTTCAGCCTCCCTAGTTGTTGGGACTTACAGGTGCCTGTCACCACACCTGAATAATTTTTTTCTTTTTATTTATTTTTTTATGCTGGAATAATTTTTAATTTTTTTATAGAGTTGGGGTCTCCCTATGTTACCCAGGCTGGTCTCAAACTCCTGGCCTCGGGTGATCTTCCTACTTTGGCCTCTTAAGTTTGATTACAAGCATGAGCCACCACACCTCACCAGTAGCACTGATTATAATTTCTTCAAACTGGAAAATGACTCAGAAATCCATCAACAGTAGAAAAGATAAATAAACTGTGTTACGTTCACACAATACTATACAGCAATGAGAATGATTTACACTATACGTAATAATATAAGAGAATCCCACAAACATAATGTTGTGCTGAATAATCCAGGGACCAAAGAGTATGCACTCTTCCATTTTATTCATATGTACAAAACTGAAGGGAGCCTAAGGGAGGCTTCTGGGTGCTGGTTTACACCAGTAGGCATATTCTGCTGGTGTAAAAACATTCATTGAGTTGGCCGGGCATGGTGACTCCCGCCTGTAATCCCAGCACTTTGGGAGGCTGAGGTGAGTGGAGGCCTGGCCAACATGTTAAAACCCCGTCTCTACTAAAAATACAAAAATTAGCTGGGCGTGGTGGCACACGCCTGTAGTCCCAGCTACTTGGGAGGCTGAGGCAGGAGAATCACTTGAACACAGGAGACGGAGGTTGTCATGAGCTGAGATCATGCCACTGCACTCCAGCCTGGTGACAGAGCGAGACTCCATCTCAAAAAAAAAAAATTCATTGAGCTGTACATGTATGTGCGTTTTTCTGTATGTTAGCATATCATACTTCAGTATAAAGTTTTAACTAACAAACATAACATTTATCATTTATAACACTTTAATCTCATGTTTAAAGAATGAATTACATTTAAAGCAAAATTTAATGGACCACTCACTTTTATAAGTTACTTTTATAGTTACGTGGTTATAGTCATCACCAGCTATCATCTGAGAGTAAACATTTTGTTGTGTTGTTGTTTTTTTGAGACAGGATCTCACTCCCATTGCCTAGGCTGGAGTGCAGTGGTGCAGTCGTGGCTCACTGCAACCTCCGCTTCCTGGGCTCAATTGATCCTCCCACCTCAGCCTCCCCAGTAGCTGGGACTACAGGTTGTACCATCATGCCTGGCTGTTTTTTTTTTTTTTGTATTTTTACAAAAAGACTGAGTTTCACCATGTTGCTCAGGCTGGTCTCAAACTCCTGGGCTCAAGTGAACCACCTGCCTGGACCTCCCAAAGTGCTGAGATTACAGGCATGGGCCACTGTGACCAACTCAAGAGTTACCGTTTTATTTTTTACTCACGTATGGATTTGAGATGTTCTTTTTTTTTTTTTTTTTGAGATGGAGTCTCGCTGTGTCGCCCAGGCTGGAGTGCAGTGGCACAATCTCGGCTCACTGCAAGCTCCGCCTCCCAAGTTCACGCCATTCTCCTGCCTCAGCCTCTCGAGTAGCTGGGACTACAGGCTCCAGCCTGGGTGACAAAGTGAGACTCTGTCTCAAAAAAAAAAAAAAAAGAAAAAAGAAAAAAAATCATCCCAAAGGGGACCCTTCTTTGGAAACAAGCTTATCAAGTATCTTGGACAGAGCCTGCAAACTGAGGATTCCCCCCCATACCCCAGCATCCCATTGAGCAAATTCTTCCTCATTCTCTACATTAAGTTGACTTTCTAGGATGCCACACATATCACGGTTTTCTATTTTCCAATTTTGAAAATCCCTTATTCTTGATTGAATCCCTAAAACTTTTACTAGAAGCATTATTCTTATTCAGTGGTACATGAAGGCACAGATAATCTTGTCATTAAAACATCTTACTCAAATCTTCCAAAATTTCATTCCCAGCCAAGAGGCAAAACTGCATCTACTAAACTCAGGAATTACTGCCTTTAAAAGCTGTTTTTCCAAGGCAGTCATCCTCCTGAGAGCTGGTGACGTCAGCACCTTCTCAACTACCTTTAATAAATTTTGAACCTCAATATCCCAACAAGTAAAACACAGCCAAGCCAACTGACCATCTTCCTATATTTTGCAAGCCACACTTTCCCTCTTTCTAATAGTGAAAAACTACCTCTTTTCTTTGCTTCTTAAGAGTCTTGACTTCCATAGGAACATTCTACACATTTGCAGCATTTCTCAAAATTCAGCACAAACAGCTTTTCAGTTTCAGAAGTTCATAGGCACTAATACTAACTGCTGGTTTAATCTTTAAGTGGGAAATTGATCCTCTTATGATGCCTCAGCTGCATTTTAGAAGAAGTAGGTACTGGGGAAATTCTCTGTTTAATGTAAAGCCTACCTCAAAGTGAGTGATTTTATTATCTTCTTTCCTCAGATGGGAAAAAGCAACCTCAGGTAATTACAGTATTCTGACTCTTTTCTACTTTACTACATTTTGGCCACCTGTATTAGTCTCCAGCCACAGCCCAATATAGGAATTAGCAAAGGGAATATTGTTAGGTATGAATGTGGAAGCTGAGTGGCCAATATAATACGCTACAATACAACTCAGGAGTTCCTTTGGGAGTCATTAAAATGTCACCAAGTACTCTCTGTCTTGTACTCTCTCTTTTGTTCTCTCTCCCTCTTTCTCATTTTTTCTCTGTTCTCTCTCATACATACATGCAGAGGCACCCGTGCACTCAGGACATACCCTTTCCTCTAGAGGAAACACATGAGACAGTGTATTTTCCTCTTTGGCTCAGGAAGAGAGTGTTTTGTTAAACCACACCAATGACTGTGCAGTCTTCCTCTTGACTAAAGTCACTTTGCCTGCAATCAGCTAGGAAATGAAACTTAAATAAATAAAAGAGTAACAGTGAAAAATTCAAAGCTCTGTGGCTACTGTCAGAGCAGCTCTCAGAGACTGTATGGATTTATACGTGCATTTTCTATTTTATTCATTTATTTATTTTTTGAGATGAAGTTTTGCTCTTGTTGCCCAGGCTGGAGTTCAATGGTGCGATCTTGGCTCACTGCAACCGCTGCCTCCCGGGTTCAAGCCATTCCCCTGCCTCAGCCTCCCAAGTGGCTGGGATTACAGGAGCCTGCCACCATGCCTGGCCAATTTTGTATTTTTAATAGAAGTGGGGCTTCACTATGTTGGTCAGGCTGTTCTCAAACTCCTGACCTCAGGTGATGCAACTGCCTTTGCCTCCCAAAGTGCTGGGATTACAAGCATGAGCCACGGCGCCTGGCCACATTTTCTGTTTAAAGCAACATGTACATTGTCCCAGGACATTTTTTTTTCTTTAAACAGTGTCTTGCTCTGTTGTCCGGGCTGGAGTGGTACTGTGGCATGATCCCAACTCACTGCAACCTCTGCCTCCCGGCTTCAAGTGATCCTCCTGTCTCACCCTCCCAAGTAGCTGGGATTACAGGCATGAGCCACTGTGCCTGGTTAATTTTTGTATTTTTAGTACAGATGAGATTTCACTATGTTGGCCAGGCTGGTCTTGAACTCCTGGCCTCAAGTGATCCGCCTGCTTCGGCTTCCCAAAGTGCTGAGATTATAGGCATGAGCCACTGCGCCCCGTCAGCCCCCACAGTTATTTTAACCTACATCTCTGAAATGTATAGCTCACTTTACATCTAGGTACAGCTCTTGATATTCATCAACTCAGTTACTGCATAATTATTTTATGTTATTTTTTCATGCGTACCCAGAGATATTCACTATGAAAACATTTAATTTGGGGAGCACATATATAAAAGAGCAGTTTGAAATCCACGTGTGTGCCCAGAGTCAGTTGACTTTTCTACAGTTCTTAGCAGCAGAGCTTAAAAAATAATGAAAGCATACAACAATCATTTCACAATGTATATGTATAATAAAACATCACATTGTACTGTTCACTGTAAATATATACAATTTTTATTTATTGATGACAGCTGCTTGGGAGGCTGAGGCAGGAGAATTACTGGAACCTGGGAGGCAGAGGTTGCAGTGAGCCAAGATCGCGCCACAGCACTCCAGCCTGGGTGACAGAGCAAGACTCCATCTCAAAAAAAAAAAAAAAAAAAGTAAAAACTAGGCTGGGCACGGTGGCTCACGCCTGTAATCCTAACATTTTGGGAGGCTGAGGTGGGCAGATCACCTGAGGTCAGGAGTTTGATGCCAGCCTGGCCAACATGGTGAAACCCCATCTCTACTAAAAATACAAAAATTAGCTGGTATGGTGGTGTGTGCCTGTAATCCCAGCTACCTAGGAGGCTGAGACAGGAGAATCGTTGGAAACCGGGAGGCGAAGCCTGCAGTGAGCTGAGATCATGCCACTGCACTCCAGCCTAGGTGACAAAACGAGACTCCATCTCAAAAAACAAACAACAAAACAAAACAAACAAAAACTAGTCAAAACTAATGTAAGTGGGAAAAATGCTGCTCAACTTGTGATTTTATGTCACTGCCAATAAGTGTTTGTGTGATCAGATGCAATTGCTTTTTCTGTCCTGAGTTATTGAATCAGGTTATGTTGCATGTTTAGACACGGTCATGAGGAAGTCAACAGGGACAATGATATGCCAAGAGTTCCTGGGTTCTTGATCTCTTGGGATTGTGTTTCTTAATCAGGCCCTATAGATCTGTGGAGTCATCTGATTCTGATATAGAGATAAAAACTTGATCTGAGTGAGTCACAAGAGTTAGGAAAGAAAGAAAAGGGCAAAGGACGGATTTGCGTGAAATGGGCTATTAAGTGGCTTGTAGTGTGTATTTTTCATAAGCAATTTCATAAAGAAAAGCCTAGGGACTCTTGAGACCAAAGCTACTTGGGCAAAGGTAGCAGGACCCTATGAATAGTGATCTGGCAAGTGTGACTTTTTATTAGAATCTGTTTGCTTGCAGAAGTAAGTTAATATTGTAAGAAGTTAGGTTTTGTTGATCAGGTGACAGGAAGTGGCAAACATTTGAGCCAGTTAGTTCATGAATGCTTACAGGGCCAGGCCAGATCCAATGAGGGACTTAAGTAAAGTTTGTCTTCAACATTCACTATCCTTCAACATTCATTATCCTTTGGCTAATTTACTCTCCTTGGGCTCTCTGTTCCATCCCATGGGGCCTGTCCTCTTGGCTACTCTATAAGCCAGGGTTTATTTTTGACCCATTATCTTCTTTTGATATTAAATTCTCCTGTGCTGTTTCTCTCATCAGCTTCAGGGTGACTTTTTTTTTTTTTTTTTCGTGAGACAGAGTCTCGCTCTGTCGCCTAGGCTGGAGTGCAATGGCACAATCTTGCCTCACTGCAACCTCTGCCTCCCAGGTTCAAATGATTCTCCTGCCTCAGCCTCCTGAGTAGCTGGGATTACAGGTGCCCACCACGATGCCCGGCTACTTTTTGTGTCTGTGTTTTTAGTAGAGATGGGGTTTCACTATGTTGGGCAGGCTGGTCTTGAACTCCTGACCTCAGGTGATCTGCCCTCCTCGGCCTCCCAAAGTGCTGGGATTACTGACATGAGCCACTGTGCCTGCCCAGGGCGACTCTTTAAGCCTTATGAATAACAAGCAAACCTATTGTCATGTTTTGATAATAGAAAGCATTCCCTATTTAATAAAAGGTGCTGGGAAAACTGGCTAGCCATATGTAGAAAGCTGAAACTGGATCCCTTCCTTACACCTTATACAAAAATCAATTCAAGATGGATTAAAGACTTAAACGTTAGACCTAAAACCATAAAAACCCTAGAAGAAAACCTAGGCATTACCATTCAGGACATAGGCATGGGCAAGGACTTCATGTCTAGAACACCAAAAGCAATGGCAACAAAAGCCAAAATTGACAAATGGGATCTAATTAAACTAAAGAGCTTCTGCACAGCAAAAGAAACTACCATCAGAGTGAACAGGCAACCTACAAAATGGGAGAAAATTTTCGCAACCTACTCATCTGACAAAGGGCTAATATCCAGAATCTGCAGTGAACTCAAACAAATTTACAAGAAAAAAACAAACAACCCCATCAAAAAGTGGGCAAAGGAAATGAACAGACACTTCTCAAAAGAAGACATTTATGCAGCCAAAAAACACATGAAAAAATGCTCATCATCACTGGCCATCAGAGAAATGCAAATCAAAACCACAATGAGATACCATCTCACACCAGTTAGAATGGCGATCATTAAAAAGTCAGGAAACAACAGGTGCTGGAGAGGAAGTGGAGAAATAGGAACACTTTTACACTGTTGGTGGGACTGTAAACTAGTTCAACCATTGTGGAAGTCAGTGTGGCGATTCCTCAGGGATCTAGAACTAGAAATACCATTTGACCCAGCCATCCCATTACTGGGTATAAACCCAAAGGACTATAAATCATGCTGTTATAAAGACACATGCACACGTATGTTTATTGCGGCATTATTCACAATAGCAAAGACTTGGAACCAACCCAAATGTCCAACAATGATAGACTGGATTAAGAAAATGTGGCACATATACACCATGGAATACTATGCAGCCATAAAAAATGATGAGTTCATGTCCTTTGTAGGGACATGAATGAAATTGGAAATCATCATTCTCAGTAAACTATCGCAAGAACAAAAAACGAAACACCGCATATTCTCACTCATAGGTGGGAATTGAACAATGAGATCACATGGACACAGGAAGGGGAATATCACACTCTGGGGACTGTTGTGGGGTGGGGGGGGCAGGGATAGCGTCGGGAGATATACCTAATGCTAGATGACGAGTTAGTGGGTGCAGCGCACCAGCATGGCACATGTATACATACGTAACTAACCTGCACAATGTGTACATGTACCCTAAAACTTAAAGTATATATAAAAAAGAAACCTTTCTTTCTAGTTATAAGCATTCTACATAAAATGTAAATAAAAATAAAAGATTAAATTGTAAAAAAAAAAAAGTTTACAAAAAAGCTTTCCTGGGACTTCGGTAAGAATTGCATTAAACTTATACATTTTGGGAGAATTGGGATCTTTACTATGTTGAATCATCCAGTCCATGAACACAGTATGCTTCTCCACTTGTTTAGGTCTTGATTGATTTCTTTCATCAACATTTTGTAATTTCCAGCATACACAGTCTATACATTTTTTTGTTGTTTATAACTAAGTATTTCATTTTTAGTGACTATTAATGGTGTTGTTTTTAATTTTGGTTTGCACATGTTTATTGTCGGTATACAGAAATATGATTGATCTCTGTACATTGGTCTTGTATCCTAAGACCTTGCAGAAGTCATTTATTAGTCCTAAGAGTATTTTTCTATATTTTCTTGACAATGTGGACAATTGTGTTATCTGTATGATTTCTTCCTTTTTAAACTTTTCTTTTGTTAAAAAAAAAAGAAAGCTAGACATTTTAACATGATGGATGTTTTGAACTCAATATACATTTTCATGTTTTCTACTCAACCAGTTTTTATCTAAAAATAAGGAGTATGGGTCATATAGGAAAAGGGTGTTACAGGCCAATGGGAAACAGAAGGCGTGTTAGGTAAAGCAATAAAGGTGATATTAATAATGACATTTATCTTTGGTTGCACATTTATTCTCTGCCAGGTATCATATATTTCATGTATACCATCTCATTTTGTCCTTTACAACAACCTCATGAGATGGATATTATAACGAGAATCTTTGCGTAGGTGAACTATGACCTTTGGAGAGAGAGGTGAAATAACTTGCTCAAGATCGCACAGCTGGTGGATGGCAGAGATAGGATTCATACCTGGGTCTGTATGACTCTGAAATTAGAGCTTTCATCCACCATGCTTTACTGCTCTCCCAGATAATAACACTAGCCTATACTGCCTCTTCACAAACACTAGAAGTTTGAAAAAATAGACCGGGTAGAGTTTTTTCTTCTTAAACTCTCCCATTCTCTCTTTCCAGTGAAAAGAAATGTGAATTCTCAATGGTGAGGCCAAGGCAAAACTGACCCTTGTAAGGCTGCAACTGGAAAATCGGTCCTTTGATGGTAGAGATAAATTGCTTCATGTGTGTGGTTTCTGAAGTTTTGCCTTTATCCAAACTCATCATGAGAATGTGTGGCATGTCTAGTTCTGCATTAAGATATATACCTTTAGGCCATGATGAGAAATCTTCCCAAGCCTCATCAATCTTGATAGGAATCCAGGAGGATAACCATTATGTTCCTATGAAGTTCTCAGTAGCTCATGAGCCCACTTTAGTTTAATTCAGCAGAGGCCAATTTCTCAATCTGCAATAGGCTATGCATACCCACATATATGTACTCCAGAGGCATTGATCATGAGATCCTTCTGGAACAGGATTATAGTTTGGTATAGACAGGTCCAACAATGTAATAAATTACATTCATGTGGTGGAAGAACAATGGGTTGAGCATCTGAAGATGTCTCTGTAATTAACTTAATATAAGACCTTGAACACATCACTTTATCTCTCTGGGCTTTTATTTCCTTATCTTCTGAAAAAAATGTTGGACTTAATCATCTTATCTGCCTGCCATATAGCTGTCTTGATTGACATAAGGTTACTTGGTCTTTGGAAAAGTAACAGTCAGTTCACTCCTATAACACTAGTTAGTTCATGCTGCACAGAAGCTTAGGTTATCAGTTATCTACTAACTGAAATAGGAAGACAAATTGTTCATAGTCAGTATAGTTGGTTTACTGACAATGTATCTGAGTATGTAAATGTGAATTCATGGGAAAAATAATATAAGGTGTCCTTGGTGATGAAGAGCTGAATTTGTTTTCTTTTCTTTTTTTTTTTTTTTGAGACAGAGTCTCACTGTGTTACCAGGTTGGAATGCAGTGGCGCGATCTCGGCTCACTGCAACCTCTGCCTCTTGGGTTCAAGTAATTCTCCTGCCTCAGCCTCCCGAGTAGCTGGGACCACAGGCGCCTGCCACCACGCCCAGCTAATTTTTTGTATTTTTAGTAGAGACGAGGTTTCACCGTGTTAACCAGGATGGTCTCGATCTCCTGACCTCGTGATCTGCCCGCCTCGGCCTCCCAAAAAAATTACAGGCATGAGCCACCGCGCCCGGCCTCTTTTTTTTTTTTTTTTTGAGATGGAGTCTTGCTGTGTTGCCAGGCTGGAATGCAGTGACGCAATCTTGGCTCACTGCAACCTCTGCCTCCTGGGTTCAAGTAATTCTCCTGCCTCAGCCTCCTGGTAGCTGGGACTACAGGTGCGCACCATCATGCCCAGCTAATTTTTGTATTTTTAGTAGAGACAGGGTTTCACCATGTTGGCCAGGATGGTCTCGATCTCTTGACCTCATGATCCACCCGCCTTGGCCTCCCAAAGTGCTGGGGTTACAGCTGTGAGCCACCGCGCCTGGCCTGGATTTGTTTTCTATTCCCTTTCAGAAGGCACGAGTCTTCTCTTCAGTCTTCTCATGGCTGACTTCATTTCCTGGTTCCTCAGAGTGTAGATCAAAGGGTTCAGCAGAGGGGAGATGACAGTGAAGGTGACAGAGATGGCCTTTTCTGTGGGGAGGGCAGTGAAGGGCCGGGCATAGACATAGATGCAGGGCACAAAATGCAGGGTCACCACAGTGATGTGGGAGGTGCAAGTGGAGATGGCTTTCCTCCTGCCCCCTCCTGCCTGAGACCTCAGCGTCATTAGGATGACTGTGTAGGACACAAGCAGGAAGATAAACCACAGGGTAGTGACCAGGCCATTGTTGGAAATCATCAAGAACTCAAGAGCAAAAGTGTCAGTGCAAGTGAGTTTGAGGACCTGGGGGACATCGCAGTAGAAAGTGTCAAGAACATTGGGTCCACAGAAAGGGAGAGGCAGCAACAGGGAGATCTGCACGATGGAGTGGACAAAGCCCCCCATCCAAGAGGCAGAGATGAGGGCAGTGCATTGCCCTCTACTCATGATGGTCACATAGTGCAGGGGCTTGGAGATGGCCATGTAGCAGTCAAACGCCATCACAGAGAGAGAAAAAATGTCTGCCCCACCAAGGAGGTGGAAGAGAAATATCTGTGTCATGCAGCTTGTATAGGATATGGTCTTTTTCTTTGACAGAAGGTCCAGCAAGACTTTAGGAGCAGTTGTGGAGGAGAAGCAGATGTCAAGGATGGCTAGATTGCGGAGCAGGAAGTACATGGGGGTGTGAAGGCGAGACTCACAGGTCACGGTGACCATGATGAGGAGGTTTCCCAGCAGAGTCGTCATGTACACAAGACATAAAAAAAGAAACAAGACCAAACTCTGGTCTTGGGATTGAGTAAGTCCCAGAAATATAAATTCTTTTACTCTGGTGACATTTCCCAACTCCATTGAATCATGTTTTCTCTTTCCTGAATATCTTGGAAAAAATAATGTTATTTCAGAAAGTGTTTACTCTCTCTTAACAGATTCAAGTATTAGGTCTGAAAACTTGTGAGATATTACAATTTCAAGTTTATTGCCAATGCATGTAAAATGACATCTTATTATACAATCATGCATACACTTATATAAATTACAATTTTAAAAAATGTATAAAAATAATGTTGCAGTTATTCAAGATACTTAGGACATTATTCAAGATAAACAGAGGGGGATATTAATTATTTAGAAAGAGACTATTGTGGCATGGGAAATATAAAAATGGGATTAGTTTGTTGTGAGAATAAGGCAGTGCTTACTTTGTGTGACTAGAACACCTTGAGTTTCACAGGGCTGAGGATTTTGTTGTTTTTTCCCAGACTGGATGCTCCATTTAAATGGTTCTAAGAACCCCTGTCTGCAAAGAGGCCCCCCACTGGATTGAATTGTATGGAAGCAGCACCCCTCTCTTCTTAAATCACAAACTTATTTCCATGAAAAATTAGAAAATGTTTAAGCCATAAAATTTGTTTCTATTGCTCTATTCTTCTTTAAGGGGACTGCTTTGTTTCTTTCTTTACTTTAATCTACTTTAGGTACTGAAACCCCGGGGTGGTGAATAGCTCCTTAGCAATGGAAATAAAAATATTACTCAGAGCTTCTCTTCTGTTGTTTCAATTTCTTTCTTAAAAAATAATTTTTGTTGAGCTATCATTGACATACCATAGACTGCACATATTTGAATTCACACTTCGATAATGTTTTTTTTTTTTTTTGAGACAGAGTCTTACTCTGTCGCCCAGGCTGGAGTGCAGTGGCGTGATCTCGGCTCACTGCAACCTCTGCCTCCCAGGTTCAAGTGATTCTCCCACCTCAGCCTCCTGAGTGGCTGGGATTAAAGGCGTGTGCCGCCACGCCTGGCTAATTTTTGTATTTTCAGTAAAGACAGGGTTTCACCATATTGGCCCAGCTGGTCTCGAAATCCTGACCTTGTGATCCACCCACCTCGGCCTCCCAAAGTGCTGGGATTACAGGCATGAGCCACTGCTCCCGGCTGATAAGTTTTGACATATATACCTGTGACACCATCTCTATAGTTAAGAGAGTGAATATATCTATCACCCAGAAAATGTCCTTGTGCCCCTTTGTAGCCTGTCCCCTTTACCCTTCCTTCTTCAGGCAACAACTGATCTGCTTTCTGTCATTATACATTAGTTTGTATTTTCTATAATATTCTATAAGTGAAATTCTACTATTTGTATTTTCTTCTTGTCTGCCTTCTTTCAACCATGAAATTCATCCGTTGTTTTGTGTGTACTGCTATTTTGTTCCTTTCTATTGTATGAATATACCACAGTTTGCTTATCCACTCACTTGTAGGTGAACATTTGGGTTATTTGTGGCTTCTGAATATTACTCATAAAGCTGCTATGAACATTCACATTTGGGTCTTTGTGTGGACATATGTTTTCAGTTCTCTTGGGTAAGTAGCTAGGAGTGGAATGGCTGTAACTCTTAACATTCAATAGTATGAGAACAAACAACCAATTAAGCAACAAGGACAAATTATTTTAACAAAATGAAGTCACTAAAAGAAGTTAAAAAAAAAGAAGAGAAAAAAGGACAAATTATTTGAACAGACACTTCAGCAAGAAGACACAGAGAGAGCAAATAAGCACATGAAAAGGCTCAACATCATTTATCACTGAGAAAATATAAATTGAAACCACGTTGTAATTTAAAAATAGTATACATTAGAGTCACTGGAATGAAAAAGATTGATATATCAAGAGTGGACAAAGATGTAGACCAATGGAACTCCAGTAGGAATGTAAAATGGTACAATCAATTTGAAAATATTTTGGCAGTTTTTTTTTTTTTTAGATGGAGTCTTGCTCTGTCACCCAGGCTGGAGTGCAGTGGCACAATCTTGGCTCACAGCAACCTCTGCCTCCCAGGTTCAAGCGATTCTCCCACCTCAGCCTCCTGAGTAGCTGGGATTACAGGCTCCCACCACCATGCCCAGCTAATTTTTGTATTTTTAATAGAGGCAGGGTTTCACCATGTTGGCCAGGCTGGTCTTGAAATCCTGACCTCAGGTAATCCATCCGCCTTGACCTCCCAAAGTGCTGGGATTACAGGCATGAGCCACCGCGCCTGGCTGGCAATTTTTTAAAAAACTGTTACACATACACTTACCTTATAACTGTGTTGCTTTTGAATTCCTTTCTTTCTTTCTTTCTTTTTTTTTTTGGTAAATCTTTGTAATGGGCCTTATTTTCTTTCTTCCTAGTTTATCTCCTTTTTCTTTCCATAATTAGAAACAAATGAAGGGCAAAAGTCCCTTTTTTCCCGTTCTTTGGGTGTGTTCTCCAATTTAAATGAAGATATTTCTTCTCACTTAGCTCGCTTTGTCTTCAAGTTTTCTTTCCTCTCTAGGCAATTTTGTCCAAAATCTATTTAATGGGTAAATCCGAAAACAAGCTGCCAAGAAGTATTCTACCTTCGAGGTAGATGCCTACTAGACTCTGGCACCACGCAGCCTGTTCAAATCCCAGCTGAGTACTTACTGGTTGTGCTAACATGAGCAAATTGCTTCATCCCTTGACCTCATTCTCTATATCAGTAATTTGGAGACAATAGCATCTCCTTCATTAGACTTTTGTGAGGGTTAAATAAGTTAATCTATGTAGAGCATCAGTACTTAGAGCGTTGCCTAATCTGTAATAAGTGTAATTATATGTGTGCTACCTTAAAGACAACTCCAGGTTAATAATTCCCACACACAGCTTCTTCAATAAATATATCTCCAATATATTTATGGACATTCTTTTAGAGGAGCTGCATGTTTCCCACACGTGTGTCCTCAACCACTTCATCAGAACATTTGCTGTTTTGAAGGAATTAGGAGATATTTGCCTTCCAGTGACCCAGAGAGTCGTGACAGTGTATGACAGTAAAAAGAGCACTTGCTTGGTTTGGCTTCTTCTCTGACATCTTATTAGCAGACCAGAGAAATTGTTCAGTGCAAGGGCTCTGGGATCAAGACTCATCTGGGTTCAAGTCCTGGCTTTGCCACTGTGTGATTTGGGCAAGTGCATAACCTCATTGAGCCTCTATTTTTTCATCTGTAGGATGGGGATAATAATAATACTCACCTCACAGGGAAGTTAAGAGGGTTGGAGAATTAACTTGTGTACTCTTCTCAGCATATGGGCTGGTTATCTGTCGTGATTAGTGCTATGCTGGGTAACCCTAACAGTGAAGCCTCATCAGTAAATGGAGTGTATTGAACTAAATGGTAGTTATCAATCCTGATTAGCTTAAAGAGAGAGGAAATGGTCACTAGGAACACCAACTCAGTATGGTTACTAGAGATGTGAAGAAAACCAATTTAGTTATTAAGCTCTTCAAAGGGACCCCCATGTAAACAGCACATTGTTTACACACACATGGGTGGAAGGTAAACCATATCCCAGACCCCAGGCCAGGACTATTGGTCTGAAAGAAATAGGTCTCATGTTCACAAACTGCCTTTGGTAATTTAAAGACAACATCCCCTAGCTTCTGCTCCACCCTTCTGCTACTTTTAATCTATCCAATTATTTAGCAAATATTGATGGAGTATGGGAAGAGTTCTAGGTTATTTGAGAGAAAGGAATATAATCTAAATACAGTGGGAAAAGCATTGAAATCTAATAGTTACATGGGAGTGATGGGGACAATTTAAGGACAGATGAAGAGCTGAGTGTGAAAAGAGGATGATTTCCAAATAAGAGGCTCAGTGAAGCTGTATGGAGGAAGTGGTGTTTACATTTGGGACATATAGGAACGGGGAGAAAGGACATTCTGGCCTTACAGGACTATTTAAATATATGAAAGTTGCTAATGAGTGGGAAGTTTGACTGGAAAGAAAGGGTGCAAACATGACAGCATGGAAAGACAGAGAAAAGAAAATCATTGCTATCATAAGGTTTCAGAAAACAATACCCTATAATGAAGGCCTCAGAAGTAGCCTCAGAAGTAAAAGTTTTTCTCTGACCTCCTCCTGCCTTCCTGTGTCAGGTGGCTGGTACTTCATTCTTCCCCAAGGTTAGCTGTAGAAACTACAATATCTCTTCCCTAAGGCGGGTCATGGAAACCAGAACCCCTTTTCTCCAAAGCCAGCTATAAAACCTAAACATATTTTTCTAACTTCCCTGTGACTCCACCTTTCTGTGTAAGAGTGGGTCATAAATAAATTCTCAGGTCTACTTTGTTTGACTGTAGGTCATAAGAACCCCATTCCAGAGAGACAGAGAGAGAGAAAGAGAGAGAGAGAGAGAGAGAGAGAGAGAGAGAGCGAGCACTGCCTCATACCCAGGAGCAAGGAATTGCTGCACAGAGAGGCCAAATAAGATCTAAACAGACAGGACTTGCTGGGTTTCACTATTGTCCATTAGCATTAGATGATACCATTTTTTTAAATTTAAAATTTTTATTTTTATGTAGCGCTTCACTAAATTGCGTGCCATCCTGGTAAAGGGGCCATGCTAATCTCCTCTACATTGTTGCATTGTTCCAATTTTAGTATGTGCTGCCAAAGCAAGCTATCATACCTTTTTTGTCCAATCCTATTTCTACATGGCTGTCCACACCTTGTTGAACCTAAGCATAAAAATGAACATTTTCCTTGTATCTTTGGGTCTTCATTCTGAGGGCTCCCATGTCATGTAAAACTATGATCAAATAAATTTGTATTCCTTTTCTCCTAATTGTCTGCCTTTGTCAGCTGATTTTCAGTGAACTTTCAGAGGATGAAGGGGAAGTTTTCCCCTGTCCCCTACACTATAAACTTCTTATTTTTGTGTTAGATCTAAAGAAGGGTAGACAGGTGTTTATTGTCTGAGTCTCTCAACTTTTGTGAGCGTTTGTTACTGCAGGTTTAAGTTCAGGGTAAGAATCACCTCTGTTGATTTCAGCCTGAGAAGATCCGTCTAGAGAAAAGAAGACTGAGAAAAATCTCTTCTCTGTACTATTCAAGAGGTCGCAGAAAGCAAAAGCTGCCTTTTCCCCAATTCCAAATTGACCTCAACTCTTTCTCTCATTCCACAACGTACTCTTTGTTACTATTTCTAGCTTATGCTGTCTGTTACTAAAGGAAGGTTCTCCCAGAATGCAGCATCTTGTATACATATTACATTATTTGTAGTCATAGTGTATTTGTGAATCTTAATGATTACATCTAGATTTCAATTTTTTTTCTTATTTCTCACTCTATGCATAAACACCCAGACACCCCAGGCACACACACACATGCAGACTTTTATTTTTTTACCTAAAATCTGCAATCTTCTTCCAAGAATTCCAGCATCTTAAATAATGTTCACATGAATCTCAGGAATCATCCAACTTCAGAAAATTCTGCTCAACACCCCTCTGAAGGCCGGTTATTTCAATGGCATCTCTTCTATCTTAATGTGGAAAGGACTTAGGGAATGATATTTTCTTGGCTCTTCCACACTGATTCACAGTGTCCCATCATATTTACCAGTTCCTTAATCCCAGAACTAGTGTGAGAATTATCAGAGGGATTACAGTTGGATGCAGTTGTGGAAAAATTCTGCTGATGGTGAGGTTGTTTCAGTGGGAGTAATTAAGAAGTCACTCAGACACATATGCTTAGGAACACACATTTTGTCTGGAGCCTAAAATTTTTCAGAGGCAACTGAAAGAATTAATCCCCTTATCTTCTGGCTTCAAAAGGAAGAAAGGTTGTGTGGAAACAAGTCAAGCTGTATTCCTGAGAAAGTCCAAAAAGTGCTGTTCTTGGCGATCAGAGGGCACCCTTCCACGAGTGCCCATGGTGCAGAGAAACTTGGAGGTGACGAGGGCACTGGACTCACTGCCCGGTCTTCCATCCTATTCTATTTCCAAGTCTAACAACTTGCACAAAGAGAACTGGAAATGGAACCTTTAGTAACAAACAGTACATGGGCATGCAAGCTTTGGGGAAGGCTCATCCCTTCTCCAGATCTCAACACTTACTTTACTGACTAGGAATCCCCAGTCTGGGAAGAGGTTGAAGCAGGCACAGGACAGAGTAGTGTGGTTGGCTGTCTATACTAAGAAAAATAAAGTCAAATGAAACGAGACACCAAGATGGCCACACAGTGAGAAATGTGATTCTACTCAATAGCTAGCTTCATTGTTTGACCATCTTTAAGATCTACAGCTTTAAGCTTCTAAAAATGGAATATTGGCCATAATTGCTTCCATTGTTTCCCTTGTTTTTGATGACCTTGACAGTACTGAGAGTCATTGTCAAGTATTGTATAGAACAGGGGTCCCCAACCACCAGGCCATGAACTGTTACCAGCTTTTGGCCTGTTAGAAACCAGGCCACACAGCAGGAGGTGAGTAGGGGGTAAGCAAGTGACAGAAGCTTCATCTGTATTTACAGCTGCTCCTCACTGCTGGCATTACTGCCTGAGCTCCACCTCCTGTCAGATCAGTGGGGACATTAGATTCTTATAGGAGTGGGAACAATACTGTGAACTCTGCATGCAAGGGATCTAGGTTGGTTGCTCCTTATAAGACTCTAACGCCTGATGATCTGTCACTGTCTCCCATCATTCCCAGATGGGACCATCTTGTTGCAGAAAAACAAGCCCTGGGCTACCACTGATTCTACATTATGGCAAGTTGTATAATTATTTCATCGTATATTACATGTAATAATAATAAAGTGCAGGATATATGTAACGCACATGAATCATCCCAAAACCTTCCCCACCACCTTCATTTGTGGAAAAATTATCCTCTGTGAAACCAGCCCATGATGCCAAAAAGGTTGGGGACTGCTGTTATATGATGTTCTTCAGTTTGGCTGGTCCTGATGATTTTCTCATGGTTAGACAGGGGTTGCAGATGTCTGGGAGAAAGAACACAGAGGCCAAATGCCACTCTCATCACATCATATCAAATGGTATGTATTAGTGTGTTTTTGCACTGCTGATGAAGACATACCAGAGACCGGGTACTTATAAAGGAAGGAGGTTTAATTGACTCACAGTTCCACATGGCTGGGGAAACCTCACAGTCATGGCGGAAGGCAAGGAGGAGCAAGTCATGTCTTACATGGTGGCAGGGAAGAGAGAATGAGAACCAAGAAAAAGGAGAAACCCCTTATAAAACCATCAGATCTCGTGAGACTTATTCACTACCATGAGAACAGTATGGAGGAAACCACCCCCATGATTCAATTATCTCCCACCAAATCCCTCCCACAACACATGGGAATTATGGGAACTACAATTCAAGATGAGATTTGGGTGAGGACATAGTCAAACCATATTAGGGTACATGCCACTAACATGATTGATCACTGATGATGTTAACTTTGAACACCCGGCTGAGGTAGTCTTTGTCAGGTTTCCCCAGGATTTTAAAAAACTGTACTCTTTGGAGAGAGGAGATAACTATTTATAACTCACACTTAGAGAGTTGGGGCTGGGTGTGGTGGCCTGTGCCTGCAATTCCAGCAATTTGGGAGGCCAAGGCAGGAGTATTGTTTGAGCTCAGGAGTTTGAAACCAGTCTGGGAAACAGGGTGAAACCCTGTCTCTACTAAAAATACAACAATTAGCCAGGCATGGTGGCACCTGCCTATAGTCCCAGCTACTTGTGAGGCTGAGGTGGGAGGATCGCCTGAGCCTAGGAGGTTGAGGCTGCAATAAGCCAAGATGCACCACTGCCCTCCAGCCTGGGCAACAGAGTGAGATCATGTCTCAATTAAAAAAAAAATCGGGAGTCATGCTCCACGTCCTTGAGGGTGGACAATCTACATACATTATTTGGAATTCTCCTGCATGCAAGACTTGTCTATTATCCTCCATTTATTGATTTATTTAATCGTTTATTTATGACTGGGCTCATGGATATTTATTTTATACTTTGGGTTATAATCCTTGACTACATTATGTATTTTGTCGTTCCAACTTTGGCCATGGGAAATTCTTTCAGTTGGCTCCTGTGCCCCTTTGACATACCTCCACTGTTTTGCTTTTTAAACATTTCCTTGTTTTTTGGTGCTAAAAGGTGCTCCAGGCTTATATTGTATATTCCCTGCCCCAGTCCTAAAATCAGTCATTTCTCCAAGAAAAACTGGTGCCTATGTTAAAAAAAATTTATTAAGTGATTTGAAAATATAAATAAATGACACAATAAATGGTACCAACCAAAGAAAACAAAACAAAAACCTGACTTTTTATATTATTATTTCCAGGTACAGCATTTATTCATGAATATAAAAAGTTAATTTTATTTTAATTTATTTATTTTCCTAGCTTGGATTACCTGGATGCTTTCTGGAGAGCGTGAGTCCTGAAGAAGATTCCACAGCTATACTGACTCCTACAATATGACTAGAAGAGGTTAACCTCTGGCTTCTGCTGGGAAATAAGTTTCTATTCTTGCAGTCCCATGCATGCAAGATGAGTCTGAAGTGTGACACATAAGTACTGGAAGGAGATATTGGATCTGAAGGGATCGTGTAGGTGAGAATGAAGGAACTTTCAATGGCCTGATGACAAAATTGGATGATGGAGTTCTCACGGGATGCATAGTAGTCAGGAAACCTATGTTGGGTTCATCTGCAAATCATGCCAACTTGACCTTCAACGTTTTTCAAACTTCTCACCATGACCACCATTACCATTCTAAGTCATGTCTTCATTCTTTCTCTCATGGGGCTATTATAGTAGGCTCTGAATTGCTGCCTGGTTTTTGTCCTTACACCTCTTCTGCTCCTTGAAGGCCTCCAAATGTGCCACATCTTACTCAGTGTGAAAGCTAAAAGCTGTGCAGTGGTCCACAAAGTTGCGATGAACTGGCCCCATGACCCTACCATCTCTCTGAACTCAACTACAGGCACTTCCTCTCTCTTACTTGCTTCTTCTCACTTAGTCCCAAGGGCCTCCTTGCTGTTTCTTTGACCTTGTGGACACATCCCCATCTCAGGGCCTTTGCATATCTGATTTGTGAATTGAGATTTGTATACCGACATACACATTTTGCTAGTTTCAACAATTTTAAGATATCTAGGATCTACCTCCAGAAATGGGCAAAACAAAAAACAAAAGAATAACTCCCAGCAGCTGTAATAGCACATTAAGTAAACAAATAAAAACCAACTTGATATATCGAATAATATTTTCCATTTTATTCCAGCTTTTTGAATAAGTATGCACAGTCCGAAGCAGCTTCAAAGATTTCAGTCATTTTTAGGAAGTCATGTCTTCAGAGAGTAAAAAATGAATTATTTTCTTTTTTTTTAATGCTTTTTTTTAATTATTATACTTTAAGTTTTAGGGTACATGTGCACAATATGCAGGTTAGTTACATATGTATACATGTGCCATGCTGGTGTGCTGCACCCATCAACTCGTCATTTAGCATTAGGTATATCTCCTAATGCCATCCCTCCCCACTTCCCCCACCCCACAACAGTCCCCAGAGTGTGATGTTCCCCTTCCTGTGTCCATGTGTTCTCATTGTTCAATTCCCACCTTTGAGTGAGAACATGCAGTGTTTGGTTTTTTGTCCTTGTGATAGTTTACTGAGAATGATGATTTCCAATTTCATCCATGTCCCTGCAAAGGATATGAACTCATCATTTTTTATGGCTGCATAGTATTCCATGGTGTATATGTGCCCCATTTTCTTAATCCAGTCTATCGTTGTTGGACATTTGGGTTGGTTCCAAGTCTTTGCTATTGTGAATAGTGCCACAATAAACATACGTGTACATGTGTCTTTATAGCACCATGATTTATAGTCCTTTGGGTATATACCCAGTAATGGGATGGCTGGGTCAAATGGTATTTCTAGTTCTAGATCCCTGAGGAATCGCCACACTGACTTCCACAATGGTTGAACTAGTTTACAGTCCCACCAACAGTGTAAAAGTGTTCCTATTTCTCCACATCCTCTCCAGCACCTGTTGTTTCCTGACTTTTTAATGATTGCCATTCTAACTGGTGTGAGATGATATCTCATTGTGGTTTTGATTTGCATTTCTCTGATGGCCAATGATGGTGAGCATTTTTAATTATTTTCTTAACAATACTTTCCAATGATTTGAGTAGCAGAAATGAGTGAGAGGCAGTAGTCTTTCACTGAATGTTTTAATTCAGTAATTTTCAGTAGCGTTTATTATATTATACTTGTGCCAGGTGTTGGGGATATGACAATAAATAAAGCATAATCCTACTGGGGGAGATTGGGAGAAAGAGAACACGGAATTGAAACAGGGTCCCAAGGGTTGTGCTACAGCCAAGCACAGGCTACTGACGGAATGTCCTGGAGCGGGGGCCAGCAGACCTGGGGTTCAGAGGAAGATCAGGTTAGAACTATGTTCAAGGTCATAGAGGTCACAATAGGTGAGGTCATGTTCTAACTCAAGCTATGCTGATCCAAGCACCTGCTCTCAGCTATCGGTAGGTGGGCTTTAGATTAAAAAATCTAACAGTGATATTTATTTGGTTCATTTACAGGATTGGAGGAGGAACTTAACTTGGATGTGGTTTCTTTAATTAGGATATGATGACTCTGTGAAAGGTCTTATGGAATCCTAATGCCCAAGCTGCATCATATTTCTAATATGTGTCTCAGCTCCCTTCCTGGCAGCAGTAAAGGATTGTAGTGGAAATGTCTGAGTGTATTTTGATTTCATTTCTTTTAGGTTTTCCAAGACTGAATTACAAAAACAATATACACCTCTCCTGCTAACAATTTTATCTCTGTACTTTCTCCTGTGACACAGAACCCATCTTTTTTACATTATTATGACCTGCTAATCAGAATGTTTGAAAGTCATGTGCTTCTTATTAGTAGACTAAAAAATAATTAGAAATCAATTAGTGAGTAGAAAGTATTTGCTGGGCAAGCATTTTCAAAAGTGGTGAGAAGGAGGGAAGCACTGGTCTATTTCCTATCAGAAGGTCAGAGTCTTCAGTCTCTTCATGGTTGACTTCATCTCATGGTTTCTCAGAGTGTAGATCAAGGGTTGAGCAGAGGGGAGATGACAGTGAAGGTGACAGAGATGGCCTTATCCGTGGGGAGGGCAGTGAAAGGCCGGGCATAGACATAGATGCAGGGCACAAAATGCAGGGTCACCACAGTGATGTGGGAGGTGCAGGTGGAGATGACTTTCCTCCTGCCCTATCCTGCCTGAGACTTGAGTAATGATAATATGACCATGTAGGACACCAGGAGCAGGAAAAACCACAGTGTGGTGAGCAGTCCATTGTTGGAAATCATCAACAGCTCAAGTATGAAAATGTCTGTATGGGCGAGTTTGAGAACCTGGGGAACATCACAGTAGAAAGTGTCAAGAACATTTGGTCCACAGAAAGGGAGTGGGAGCAACAGGGTAATCTGCACAATGGAGTGGACAAAGCCCCCCAACCAGGCAGCCACTGTGAGCCCAATGCAACGGTCTCTACTCATGATGGTCGCATAGTGCAGGGACTTGGAAATGGCCACATATTGATCCAATGCCATCACTGATAGAGAAAATGCATCCACCCCTCCAATAAGGTGGAAGAGAAACATCTGAGTGAAGCAACCATTGAAGGAGATGGTCTTTCTCTCAGACAGAAGGTCCACCAGAACCTTGGGCTCTGTGATGGAGTAGAAGCAGATATCGGCAATAGATAAATTATGGAGCAAAAAATACATGGGCATGTGAAGGCAAGATTCACAGGTGACAGTGACCATGATGAGGAGGTTTCCCAGCAGAGTCGTCATGTACACCAAGAGTAGGAAAAGAAATAGGACCAATCTTGTGTCCCCATTCTGGGTTAGGCCAAGGAAAATAAATTCTTTTACCCTGGTACAGTTTTTCATCTCCATTGAATCATCCTCTTTATTCTCTTTTGTTTCAAGCTATGTCATACAACAGCACAGGGATGTTTATTTTATTGTCCTCCCAAGCACACTAGAATGCAATTCAGAAACTTCCTTCGTGATTGCAGTGTTCGCTATTTGCTGCATTGTCCACATTTTTAAGATAGCAATCAGTTTGGTGATCAAATTATCACATGCAAAGTCATTCAATAATTATTTTCCTATGAAACTATTTTGGGAAAGAATAATCGTATCATGTTTAATAGTGACATTTACATATTATATTTAATATAATTGATTATTTTTATTATATTTATTATTTATTTTTATATCCATGCAAACTTATTGGTTGCCAGGAACTGTGAAGTGTTAAATACAAAGATAAGTTAGACATAGTTCCAGCCATTAGGAAACTTATAGTCTACACACTTAATAGTCATAGTAGCTAATATTCTGTTGACTTCAAGAGAGTCTTATCTTGCTGTTCTATTTCTTATTGCAATGTTGCTGTGTCACGGATCAATTTCCTAGCTCTTGGTTGTATTCTGTCAGATTTCTTAAAATTGCAGCCTATGATTTCATTTAGTCAACTTGTCCTTGTCACTACTTTACACTAATCAGATTTTTTGCTTAATATTTATTTGAAAGCATGTTAAATTTGCTATTAGGAAACAGATTTGAAACAACATGTAAAAACAAATCTCAAAGAATACAATTAATGTTTTTGATTGTGGTAAAAACAGTTAACACGACATCTATTCTTTTAACAAATTTTTAAGTGTACCAGTAGAGGACTGTTTACTATAGGTACAATGTTGTACAGAAATTCCCTAGGACTTACACATCTTGTATATGTATAACTGAAACTTTGTGCACATTGACCAACAACTCCCCTCTTCCCTCTCCCATCAGCCCCTGGCAATTACCATTCTACTTTCAGTTTCAATGAATTTGACTATTTTAGAAGTGGAATCGTGCAGTATTTGTCCTTTTGAGAGTGAATAGCACTAAAATATGTTATTGTAATAATTTTGTTTTCTGTTTATTTTAAGAAAATATTTTCATCTCATCTTGTTACTTAATGCTGCTGTGGAGGTCAAAAGGTTCTGATTTTTCTAGATGTAAGAAGTGAAAGGACCATCAGCCGGTTCTTATTTTTGTTTTAGCTGCTGCTGTATTATTAATACTGTTATTATTATCAGTTAGTTTTCTACCCTGTGCAGGAACGCATTTTGATAAGAACCTTCAGTGATTTTGGAAATCTGAAAGGTGATTAGTTTTTTCCCAAAAGGAAGAATTTTCCTGCTGAGAGAGACAGTGAGATGTAGTGAAGAGAGCTCTGGATTTGGGAGATTGGAGCATTGGTTCCATCTAGTTCTTATTCTGCCATCAACTAGCTGAATGACTGGGGCTCTGACTCCTCATCTCTGGACTGTATCAAATGGATTCAGTGTGGACATTATCAGTTTGAACCAGCAGGGAGGAGGAGGGATCCGAGCTAAGGAGGAGATTCATTTAAGAGGTTACAAGACTGACCCTGGGGTCTTATTGTTGATCCCCAATTTCCGGCTCTGTCAAAAGGTGGGAACCAACTGGTAATCTACTTTTTTCTCCTGTCCCGTTCTTCCTCCTTTCCTGTCTCCACCATCAGTAGGTCCATTTGTAGGTGGTTGGGAGAAAACCAGTTGGAGAGTCATGATCCTCCTCTAGTATTCATACCCCAAGAGTTAAAATGTCCTGTGAACGGTTGTCTTATTTATTCCTATGAAGAAGAGTTTTTTATTTCTTCCCTACAATAAAGAAATGATGCTCAGAAAGGTGAGTTCATTTGCCCAAACTCACAACAGTGGTAAGTGATGGAACTGAACTTCCAATGTGATTCTTTTAGCTCCAAAGCCAACATTCCATCTGCTACAACATACAATCTTTGTTTAAGCATTCAGTTGACCAGAATTATGTCTTTGCATTAGGGTAAAGGTGGCAGAAAAACTGTCCCAGATGAGATATTTATAAAAAAATAATAAAATTCCAAGATAAGTTTGAGGTTAGCATGAGTTTAACCCAACCAATCTCCCACCCCTTCTGTAACAATCTCAGTAAGTTTGTGCAGCAAGAATTGATGCCATTAAAATGGAACCTGACTCTCTAAAGTTGGACTCGATTACATTCCTGAGACTGCATTTATCAGGGCAAGTGAGAAGGCATTTATTTAGCCAATGAGCCCTTTAACCCTTCAACACACATTTTGTGATCTTCGTGGGGTGGTTGGAATTCTGCATATACACATGACCACAGCAAGGTTCTTACTCAGGAGCATTTTTCACTCTAATGGAAAATACAAAAATATAAGTTTATAATCACACATGAGAGATGATGCTGGTACCAATATAGTGCTGTGGGAGCACAGCAGAGCTCTAGCTGGGAATAGCGCAGGAAGGTTTTCTAGAGGAGGTGAGTTTTTCCCCTCAGTCATGATCAATTTCCAAGAAATGGAAGCAGGATACATCATGCAAAGGAAACAGCCTGTAAAAAGTCAGTCAGTAGTGAAGATGACATACTTATACAGAAGAATATTGGAAAATGCAGTGTGGTTGGCACAGAGTGGGAGAGTGTGGAATGAAAGGAGGTTTTTATTAGTACCAAAAATTTCTTACTCTACTAATAAAGAGCTTATTATTATTATTATTATTTGAGATGGAGTCTTGCTGTCTGGCCCAGGCTGGAGTGCAGTGGCATGATCTTGGCTCACTGCAACCTCTGCCTCCTGGGTTCAAGCTATTCTCCTGCTTCAGCCTCCCCAGTAGCTGGGATTACAGATGTGTGCCACCACGCCTGGCTAATTTTTGTATTTTTAGTAGTGACGGGGTTTCACCATGTTGGCCAGGCTGATCTCGAATTCCTGACCTCATGACCCGTGGCAGCCTCCCAAAGTGCTGGGGTAATAGGCGTGAGCCACTGCGCCCCGCCAAGAGCTTATCATTACATTCAGTGTTTGTTAGGTACTGGTTGGTTAGTGCATGATTGAACTGTCTACTGACCTCCTTGTTCTCATATTCAGGATAGTAAAGCCTAAAATGTTCCTCCATGGTGGGTGGGGGCAATGTCCTTCGACTTCTTTACTCTCAACTTTGATCCATGAATTTCTAGTATCATGTGGAGGAGGGTGTTCTGGAAAGTGGTGATGGAAGGCTGTGGTTCTCGCTCCAGTGTGGAGGAGAGAAAAAGACAGTGACCCCTTCTGAGAGGCAGCCTACACTGTCTCATTAGACTTTCTTCTGCTCTTTCCCTTTTTGGATCAAAGTAAGAGGGTGTTGGGACCATGCAGCAGTGAGAGACATTGTCATCTTTAGAATAATGCCAATGTTTATAAGCTGTCATTGATCATTTGAAGGAAACATTTTAAATTATTATTACTTGCTCCACCTAGTGAATATTTATTGCAATCTTCAAATGCATATGGATAAATTGGACCACATTGTCAGTGTTTAACAAGATAGATTTGGGTGAGATTGGAAGCATGATAGAAGATATGATGATTTCCAGTAAAAACAAAAGCTTTTACTTTTCTGAGTGATTCCTATGTGTGAAGCAGCATAAAATTTGATTAATTTAATTCTTACCACCATCTATTGGGTAAGCATTGATGCTATTCCTGTACTTCACATGAAATATTTCCAGAATCTATGTTTGGCTGAAGGAACAGATGTATAAAATACAAAAGATGGAAATAGGATAAAAGAAATAGTGCCTTTTCCCCAGTATTCTACATGGGCTCTAAATTTTTCTAGAAAGATTGTTTGAAAAAAGTTGTGAAGATAAACATTTGACAGAAAGAGACCTTACCAATAAGCAACTCAAAGGGTCACAGCAAATGCATGATGCTTTCTCTCACACCGAATAAACTACATTTCTGTATCTCTCTCTTTTTTTTGAGACGGAGTCTCGTTCTGTCATCCAGGCTGGAGTGCAGTGGTGCGATCTCAGCTCACTGCAACATCCACTTCCAGGGTTCAGGTGATTCTCCTGCCTCAGCCTCCTGAGTAGCTGGGATTACAGGCACCGGCCATCATGCCCAGCTAATTTCTGTATTTTGGTAGAGACAGGGTTTCACCACGTTGGCCAGGCTAGTGAACTCCTGACCTCAGGTAATCTGCCTGCTTCAGCATCCCGAAGGGCTGGGATTACAGGCGTGAGCCACCGCACCTGGCCTCTGTATCGCTCTTAACATGAGTCTCCCCAATATTTAACACCCACCTTTCTTGTTTCTGTCAGTGAGATGATCACCTTGACTCTGAAGCATTTAATATACCTGAAAAGATAATATACCTGAAAAAAGTCAAATTATTTATATGTAATTAGTAACAACATTTCAATTTCAGTATACATAACCTTAACCTTAGCTAGCAGGTTGATGGCTTTAGTTTCTTCCTCTGATCCTGAAACTCCAAAAAAAAAAATTGGATGCTATTAGATACAGTGCATGACAGAAGATTGTTGACATTAATTCTTGAAGATTTTGTCTAAAGGTAGAGCCCTTTGGAATACCAGATATCTTGGTGTCTGCTCCACTTTCAGGAGAGAAAGGGCCGACTCAAGGTATCACATCTTTAAAATTCTTCCATTGTGTCCCTGTCTTATGCCCAAATCCCTGAGGCTCATGCTTAATTTAAGAATCGCAAAGAGAATGTTATTGGACAAGAGAGTGGAAATTAAGTGGCTGATTTTGCCGTTGGTAATGGAGTTTTAATGGGAGTTATTAAAATGTTACCAAAGCATGCACATGTACACACAGACACATACAGGCACATTTTGGTTGGTGTCCAAGTTCTTTAGAGGCAATAGAAGAAATCTATCCCCTTGACCACAGTTCACTAAAAGCTTTGTTAAAACGTTCCGAGTGCTATGCCAGCAAGACTTTGAGTCCAATTTTCACAGCTTGCAATGCTCAGAGGACACCATCTACCTGGGTTTCAACTAGATTGCCAAAAACCTAGGAGAACTGGACCTCAAATAATTTGCTACCAGTCCAGTTTCTAATTATACACAGAATGGTCGTAGCTCCATGACATTTCTATAAGCATCCACATAAATAGAATCACAATTTAGACAATGTTTGGTGGATGCATATTTTCTCATATGGGATATTTCAATTTGGAGATAGCTAGATCAGTATAACTTAGTAAAACTATCCAACAATTAACAGTGTTAATTTAGAATAACTTGTTTATTGAATGGTTTGATATATAGAACTCACATTCACTATTTCCACAATGATGATGAGTTTGGATTTTCCTGCTTTTCAACTTTTTTTTTTTGAAAGCAAGTTTATCTACAAAGATAAGAACATGAAACAGGTCATGTATGTTGAAATGGGTAATTTTTGGCCAGGAGTGATGGCTCTGGCCTGTAATCCCCTTACTTTGTGACGCCGAAGTGGGTGGATCACTTGGGGCCAGGAGATCGAGACCAGCCTGGGCAGCATCGTGAAACTCTGTCTCTACTAAAAATACAAAAATTAGCCATGCGTGGTGGCGTGTGCCTGTGGTCCCAGATGCTTAGACAGGAGAATTGTTCGAACCCAGGAGGCAGAGGTTGCCGTGAGCCAAGATCGTGCCACTGTACTCCAGTCTGGGTGACACAGCAAGCCTTCGTCTCAAGAAAAAAAAAAAAAAAGAGGTAATTTTTGTTGTTTCATGTTCAGGAGCCAGGTAATTTGGTCCCAGAGAACCACACTGAATGGAACTTTGCCTCCATCCTCTTCTGTCTGAGTAATCAAATTTTAAGTTTAATTGGAAACAAGAATTGATATGTGAATAGGATGCAGTAATCACTTTCATGTGAGACAGGGACTTAGTGATTATATAAGTTGTCTGGCATCTGTGATTTATATCAAATACACAGAAAAGTGTAAAAACCTGTTCAGTTATTACTCGAGTCTATTTTATACCCAAGACATTGAAAGTACAGCAGTGAATAAAACAGACCCAAATCCTGTCCTCATAGAGTGTTCTAGTTGGATGACCCAGATAATAAATAACGTAAATAAAATGTATGTAGTACGTTGGTGATAAACAGAACAAAAACCGTTAGGCAGGGCAGTGAGATAGGCAGCAATGGATAAAACTGCAAATTATAAAAGGGTATTAAGGTGAGGGGGGTATGTTTTTGGAACATCAACAAGGCCGGTGTTTAACAGATGACGTGAAAAGGTAATGGGTGGGTAATGTTTTGGTGAACTATTAGGCCATTGTGAGAATTTGATTTCTATTCTGAGTGAAATTGGAGGTTTTAAGAGGAAAACTCTTGCATCTGTAATTTTTCATACTTAAGAGCAGAAATGGAGGCTGGGTGCGGTGGCTCACGCCTGTAATCCCAGCACTTTCAGAGGCCAAGGTGGGCAGATTTCTTGAGTCCTGGAATTCAAGACCAGCCTGGGTAACATGGCAAAATCCTGTCTTTCCCCAAGGTACAAAAATTAGCCAGGTATGGTGGTGCATACCTGTACTCCCAGCTACTTGGGAGGCTGAGGCAGGAGGATCGTTTGATCCTGGGAGTTGAAGGTTGCAGTGAGCCAAGGTTGTGCCACTGCACTCCAGCCTGGGCGACAGACAAGACCCTCTCCGGAAAAAAAAAAAAAAAAGAGAAAACCTATATATCCACAGCCAAGTATATAAATATGTTAATATTTTGGCAAGCAAATTTCAGTTTCACTAAAAAATTAACTTTCTGGAGTTATAATATGGAGGGACTCTTTTGTGTTTGACTTTTTTCTTATGCTTTTGAGATTTATCCATTTTGTTGCAAGTTATCAGTTGTGTCATGTTTAACTTTTTAAGTAATTGCCAGACTATTTTATAAAGCAATTGCACTATTTGACAGCCCCACCAGCAGTGTTCCAGTGGCTCCCATACTCTTCCTGACTCTTGATATTGTTAGCAGCATGGATTTTAATGATCCTCATGGGCATGTGGTGGTATCTTATTATGGTGTTAATATGCATTTCCCTGATGACCAGTGATGTTGATCATCTTTTCAAGTACTGATTGACTAATCATATAATTTATTTTGTGGTGTGCCTATTCAAATTTGTAACTATTAAATTTTTTTTTCTGAATTTGAGTTTTAGGGATTTTAAATATATTTTGGATACCAGTTAATTATAAGAAATATGTATTGCAAAGAGTTTAACCTAGTCTACAGCTTGTTCTTAATTTTCTTAATAATGCTTTGGAAGAATAGAAATTTAAAAATTTGAAGTTCTATTATGTTTTTCTATTTTTTTAATCATGTCTAAGAAATATTTACTTACCTCAACATTGCAAACATCTTGTCCAATTTTCTTCAGAGGTTTTGTAGTTTGAACATTTATGTTTATATCTTTGATGTATTCCAAGTTAATTTTTTGCATAATGTGACTTTCAGGTGAAGGTTTTTTGTTTTCCACATGGATAGCCAGTTGTTTTCGCTCAATATATTAAAAAGATGAGTATTCTCTGCTCCTCTCTTGATTTACTCTGGCAGATTTATTTAAATTTAATTGATCATATACGTATGCCTGTATTTACAGACTTCTTTTCAAATGATCCATGTCTAGCTTCATGCCCATTTTATGTGGTATTGATGGTTGTAGCTGTCTAATAAATCTTGAATTCAGATAGTATAAGTTCTCTAACTTTGTTTTCTTTTACAAAGTTGTTTTATGTATTCTAGGTTCTTTGCATTTCCATAGAAAATTTACAATCAGGCATGGAGTCCTGGTTCATGCCTGCAATCCCAGCACTTTGGGAGGCTAAGGCAGGTGGATCACTTGAGCCCAGGAGTTTGAGACCAGCTTGGCAAATATGGTGAAACCCTGTCTCTACAATATTTATATATATATATATATAAAAGCTGGGCATGATGTCATGCGCCTGTATATAGTCCCAGCTAATTGGGAGGCCTAAGCTGGAGGACCACTTGAGCCTGGGAGGTTGAGGCTTCAGTGAGCTGAGATTGCACCACAGCACTCCAGCCTGGGTGACAGAGAGAGACCCTGTGAAAAAAAAAATTACAATCAGTTTAACAACCAAGAAGTCCTGCTAAAATTTGGATTTGGGTTACATTGATTGTATAGATTAATTTGGGCAGAATTGAAATCTTAACAATACTGAGGCTTTCAATTCGTGAATATAATCTACGTATGTCTTAATTTATGACATTTATTTTCTGTATTTCTGACTTTATTTTCTGTTAATTTTTTGTTCTTGTTTTTATTTTTTGGCATTTGTCTCTGTTCATGAGGTATTTTGGTCTATAGGTACTTTCATTTTTCTTTTTTTTTTTGTGACAGAGTCTCTCTGTTGCCCAGGCTGGCATGGTCTCAGCTCACTGCAACCTCTGCCTCCTGGGTTCAAGAGATTCTCATGCCTCAGCCTCCCAAGTAGTTGAGATTACAGGTATCCACCATGATGCCCGGCTAATTTTTGTATTTTTAGTAGAGATGGGGTTTCACCATGTCCAGGCTTCACCAGCCTGGACAAGGCTGGTCTCAAACTCCTGACCTCAGAAGATCCGCCCACCTCGGCCTCCCAAACTGCTGGGATTATAGGCATGAGCCACCGTGCCCAGCCAAGAAACCAGTTTTTAATATCAAGAAAAACAACTAAGAATTGGTTTTTTTAAAAAGATAAAATTGACAAAACTTTAGATTAAGAAAAAAAGATAGAATACTTTATTAAATAAAATTAGAAACCAAAGAGGAGACATTATAACTGATGCCACAAAAATACAAAGGACTATAAGAGAATACCATAAACTTTTTATATGCTAAAAATTTGGATAACCTAGAAGAAATGGACAAATTCCTAGAAACACACAAACTGTCAAGACTGAATCATGAATAAATAGAAAATATGAAATGGCTAATAACAGATTAAATCAGTAATCAAAAACCTTCCAGCAAGGAAGAGTCCAGGACCTGATGACTTCCCCAGTAAATTTTACCCAACATTTTCTATTTTACTAATTTTTAAAAATTAAGAAAATCTTATTGCTATATAATTGTTATACATATTTTGGGGGTACATGAGATATTTTGATACCTGCATACAATGTGTAATAATCAAAATTAGGGTAGTTGGGATATCCCTCTCTTCAAACATTTGTCTTTTCTTTGTGCTGGGAATATTACACATCTTCTCTTCTAGCTATTGTGAAATATAAAATAAATTATTTGTAACTATAATATTTATATTATAAATATACTTTCCTATTGAATACTGGAACTCATTTCCTCTACAGAACGGTGTTTTTGCACCGCTTCACCAAGTTAGTTCTCTCACCCGCATTCCCCTTCCAGACTCTGGTAACCACCGTTCTACTCTCTACCTCCATAAAATGCACTTTGTAAAACAAGTTTTTCTTATTTATTTATTTTATTTCAATAGGATTTGAGGGGAACAGGTGGCGTTTGGTTACATGGATACATTTTTTTTTTTTTAATTTTTTTGAGACAGGGTCTTCCTCTGTCGCACAGGCTGTAGTACAGTGGCACGATCTTGGCTCACTGCAAACTCCTCCTCCTGGATTCAAGTGATTCTCGTGCTTCAGCCTCCCAGTAGCTGGAATTACAGGCGGGTGCCACCACACCCGGCTCATTTCTGTATGTTTGGTAGAGATGGGGTTTCACAAGGTTGGCCAGGGTAGTCTGGAACTCCTGACCTCAGGTGATCCACCTGCCTCGGCCTCCCAAAGTGCTGGGATTACAAGTGTGAACAACAGTGCCTGGGCCACATGAGACTTTGGTGCAGTCATCACTTGAGCAGTGTACACTGTACCCAATGTGTAGCCTTTTACTCCTCACTCCCCTTCCACCCTCCCCAGTAACATGTTGTCCAGGCTGGTCTTGAACTCCTGGGCCCAAGCAGTCTTTCTATCTTGGCCTCCCAAAGTGCTGGGATTACAGGTGTGAGCCACCACACTTGGCCACTAAACATGCTTTCATACTGATGTCTCCAACACTAATCCATTATCACGTGCTTCATATTTACCTTCCCACCTTGGTTGCTTGTAAGCTCCTATTCCGACATTGAGAAATCTTTAATGTAGTTTTGAATACAGTTGTGCTTACAGCTACCATTTTGATTTTTTTTCTTTTTTCTTTTTTTTTTTTGAGATGGAGTCTCACTTTTTCACTCAGGCTGGAGTGCAGTGGTACAATCTCAGCTCACTGCTACCTCTGCCTCCCAGGTTCAAGCGATTCTCCTGCCTCAGCCTCCAAAGTAGCTGGGATTACAGGTACACGCCACCATGCCCAGCTACATTTTGTATTTTCGGTAGAGACTGGGTTTTATTATGTTGGCCAGGGGTGGTCTCAAACTCCGGAGCTTCAGTGATCCACTCGCCTCAGCCTCTCAAAGTGTTGGGATTACAGGAGTGAGCCACTGTGCGTGGCTCATTTTGCTTTTATTTAAAATTTTTTTCCCATTTATTTTTTGCTTCCTTTTATTATTTTTCTGCCTTCTTTGGGATAATTCAGTGTTTTTAGTTTTTTATTTTATTTCATTTATTGTCTTATTATCTGTATCTTGCAGTTTTATTCTATAGTGATTACTCTAGGGCCTACAATATGCATCTTTAACTCACATCAGATGGCCTTCATATGATATCACTTCATGATGAATATAAACCTTACAACAGTATATTTATTTTCCCACTCTTTTTTTGCCATACATTTTACTTTTATATTTAAATTTTTTTTTGTGATAAAAAATCTTTGGATAAATAACTGATGTGGCTTCTGTTGTCTTGACTTGACCCTGATTGGTAAAGTATTTGGTAACAGAAGTGATAGCAAAAAGCAGACTCTCAAAGGTGAGATTCTGAGATTACTTGAAACGTCCTTGGTCATGAACATCATGCTGAATTCCTTATCCACGGTAAATCAGATTCTGGCAATCCATGGCATACAAAGGCATTATAACTAACCAAATTGTCACATGTTATTGACCGTGACAATTTTCTTAGTGAAGCAAGTGCTTGAATCATGAGGTGACTCCTGTAATTGACTTTGTCAGTACTACAGGGACTGTGGAGGAGGGGTGGCTACTCCTAACTACATTGAATAAATTACACTAAAGAAATGACAAGCAGTTTATATGCTCAGCTCAAGGTGAAGTCTGGGAACCAGAGAGCTTTTTCTTTTTTTCTTTTTAAGAGTCTCACTTTGTCACCCAGGCTGGAGTCTAGTGGCACGATCTCAGCTCACTGCAGCTTCTGCTTCCCAGGCTGAAGTGATTCTTGTGCCTCAGCCTCCTGAGTAGCTGGGATTACAGGCATGTGCCACCACGTCCTGGCAAATTTTTGTATTTTTAGTAGAGACAAGGTTTCCCCATGTTGTCAAGGCTGGTCTCAAACTCTTGACCTCAAATGATCCACCTGCCTTGGCCTCCCAAAATGCTGTGATTATAGGTGTGAGCCACCATGCCTGGCCCCAGAGAGCTTTTATGCAAGTCTTCAGCTACTTATGTATTTCTTATTGCCATAGGGCTGACCTCATAGAAGTCAGATACATAATTTAATTGTGCAATGTCCTGAATTACATCAGGAATTGAGTTCAAAGGTTTTCTGTGTCTCTGTTGTGAAAAGTAGAGTGTTGATTGGAGTGGGAATATAAGGTAGCACTTAAATGGATTGCTTCCATTTTACCATAACATATAATTTGTGTTATAATATTTATATTGACTTTTTATTAGGTTAAGAAAGAATGCTTCTTTTCTTTATTTATTTATGAGTTTTGGCCATAAATTGGTGTTGAATATTATCAAGTGCTTTTCTATATTTACTGAGGTAATCACATTTTTCTTTAATCTGTAAGAAATATGTTAGCAGATTCTTTTTGCTTGTGAACATGAAAGGCAGAGACAATTGTACTTAGTTCATGAACACTGCCACTATTGGTTCAGGAAAGAATTTACCTTTATATAATGATGTATCACCTTTTATCCCTAGTTCCCACTCTCTTTCCCTGGAACTCAGAAACCATTAAGGGAACTTCGTAATGAAAGATTAAATTTCCAGCCACCACAACTGAATGGAAGCTTGAAATAGAAATCAAGTTATATAAAATTTTAAAACGTTACATTTCTTGCATGTCTAGGTTGTGGGACAATATTAGTATCAGATACAGAAAGAATTCCAGTTTCAATAAGAACTCCAGATCCCTATAAAAAATATTAAGTGAACAGCTAAAAACATAATTGCAGCAATGTGTAAAATAATCATTTTTCACTTTTTTCCAAGCTTTATATATGTATATGCATAGCTTAAAGTAGCTTAATGTGTTTTTGTCATTTGTAGAAACTCACAGGCCACAGAGTATATCAAGTAAGTGAAAACATTCAATCATTGAGCTATTTATTCAGCAACATATTGTTGAAGTCTTAGTATGTTTTAGCTGCTGTGACAGTAAATAAAACATAATCCCTGCTCCTGGGGAAGTCACTGCCCAGTAAGAGAAAGAGACAAGAAAATAGGAAATTTCAAAATAGAGTCCTGAGTGCAATGCTAACCCTAAGCACAGAGTGCCAAGGAAATGCGGTAGGGTGGCCAGTGAGCTTGGGGTTCAAGAAAGGGCAAGGTAATGACCTTGCCCATCATAAGGATCATGTAGGATACGTTTACCTTATGAAAATTATACAGAAAGTCAATCCCCAAACTCCATTGTGTTTCAGATACACCCCACACCTTCATTTACTGTAATAGGAGCAGAAAGGTAATGATAATGTCTGCGTGCATTTGGCTTAATTTTTCTTTAAAATTGGACTGCAAAATCATATACACATTTGCTAACAATTTTCCCTCTCTTTTCTGAATCACAAAGGCTCTGTTTAAATTATTAATATTTATGTCAACTAAATGCAGATAAGAAGATTTACTATATATAATATGCATTTGCTAGGTATATATATAATTTTATGTATTACTTATGAAAATAAAACAAATACTTAGCAATCACTAAATAAATATATTCAATTCAGCAGGCAACACTTTCAGAACTTGGAGTCCATGGAAGAAAAATCATGAAACAAAATCTTGGTGGTAAAGAGGAGGGAGCTCTGGTTTATTTTCAATTAGAAGGTGTGAATCTCTCCCTGACCAGAAGCTTATCAGTTACTTACTAACATAAATAGAAAAATTAATTATTACTAAGTGTAGTTGGTTTGACAATATATTTGAATATATGAATATGACTTCATGGGAAAAATAATAAATATAAGATATCTTTGGTGATGAAGAGCTGAGGATTTTTTTTTCTATTTTCTATCAGAAGGCACAAGTCTTCTCTTCAGTCTCCTCATGGCTGACTTCATCTCATGGTTCCTCAGAGTGTAGATCAAGGGGTTGAGCAGAGGGGAGATGACAGTGAAGGTGACAGAGATGGCCTTATCCATGGGGAGGGCAGTGAAGGGCCGGGCATAGACATAGATGCAGGGCACGAAATGCAGGGTCACCACAGTGATGTGGGAGGTGCAGGTGGAGATGGCTTTCCTCCTGCCCTCTCCTGCCTGAGACTTGGGTAATGATAATATGACTATGTAGGACACCAGGAGCAGGAAAAACCACAGTGTGGTGAGCAGTCCATTGTTGGAAATCATTAGTAGTTCAAGTATGAAAATGTCTGTATGGGCCAGTTTGAGGACCCGGTGGACATCACAGTAGAAAGTGTCAAGAACATTGGGTCCGCAGAAAGGGAGTGGGAGCAACAGGGAAATCTGCACGATGGAGTGGACAAAGCCCCCCAACCAGGCAGCCACTGTGAGCCCAATGCAATGGTCTCTACTCATGATAGTCGCATAGTGCAGGGGCTTGGAGATGGCCACATATCGATCCAATGCCATCACCGAAAGAGAAAATACATCCACCCCTCCAATAAGGTGGAATAGAAACATCTGAGTGAAGCAATGATTGAAGGAGATGGTCTTTCTTTCAGACAGAAGGTCCACCAGAACCTTGGGCACTGTGATGGAAGAGAAGCAGATATCGGCAATAGATAAATTATGGAGCAAAAAATACATGGGCGTGTGAAGGCGAGATTCACAGGTAACAGTGACCATGATGAGGAGGTTTCCCAGCAAAGTTGTCACATACACCAAGAGTAGGAAAAGAAATAAGACTAAGCTCACTTCCCGATTCTGGGTCAGGCCAAGGAAAATAAATTCTTTTACCCTGGTGCAGTTTTCCATCTCCATTCAATCATCCTCTTTATTCTCTTTGGTTTTAAACCATGTCATGTGAAAGCACTGGGATATTTATTTTGTTGTCTTCCTAAACACCTAGAATGCAGTGCAGAAACTTCCCATGCGGTTGTAGTTTTTGCAGTTTGTTGCATTGTTCACGTTTTTCAGATTTCAGTTAGTCTGGTGATAAAATCAAATTATCATATGTAAAGTCATTCAATAATTCTTCTCCTATAGAACTACTTTGGGAAAGAAAATATGTTAAGTAGTGACATAGTGTATTTTAAAAAATCAATTACCCATATTTAATTTGATGTTTTTGGTACAAAACTCCCAATGTAATAAATCTTTCCTCCCTTTATTCTGCTTTAAGGAAATCTTTTCATCTTTTCTTGTCACTTATACTGCTTTGGAGGTCAAAAGTTCTGGCTTTCTCAAAAGACAGAAGTGAAAGTACCAGGTTTTTTTTTTAATGTTGTGGCTGCTCCTGGTTTATGGTCACTATTATTATTATCAGTTTTTTTTTGCCCTGTACAGGAATACATTTTGATAGGAACCAACAGAAGTTTTGAAAATCTGAAAGGTGATTTTTTTTTCCCCCAAAGGAAGAATTTCGCTGCTGAGAGAGGCAGGGGGATGTAGTGAAGAGAGCTCTGGATTGGGGAGCTTGGAGCATTGGTTCCATCGGTCCTTATTCTGCCATCAACTAGCTGAATGACTGGGGCTCTGACTCCTCCACTCTGCCCTGTGTCAGATGGATTCTGTGTGGGTAATAACAGTTGGAGTCAGCAGAGATGAGTAGGAATCTGCGTCAAGGGAAAGATTCACCTGAGAGAATACAAGATTGAGTGAGGCAACATAGGGAGACCCTATGACTACAAAAAATAAAAAAAATTAGCCATGCGTGGTGGCATACACCTGTGGTCCCAGCTACTTAGGAAGCTGAAGTGGGAGGATCACTTGAGCCCCGGAAGTCCAGGCTGCAGTGAGGCATGATTGCACCCTGCACTCCAGCCTGGGTGACAGAGTGAGACCCTGTCTCAGAAAAGAGAAAAGTAGACTGAGTGAGGGTATAGACCCTGGGGTTTGAATGTTGATGCTCAATTTCAGGCTTTGTTGAAAGGTCTAACCTCCTGTCCTGTTTTTCCTTCACCTTTCCTGTCTTCACCAACAGTAGAACCTATCTTCACCTACTGCATGTGTCTGGGAGAAAATCAGCTGGAGAGCGTTGACGTCCCTGCAATCTCCATACCCCAAGAGTAAATGTGTCTTGTGAATTATTCTCTTATGTATTCCTATAAAGAAGATTTCTTAAAAAAATTTCTCCCCACAGATAAAGAAACGATCTTCAGAAAGGTAGGCTCATTTTCTCAAACTCACAGCAGTAGTAAGTGCTGGAACTGAACTTAGGATGTGATTCTGTTTACCTCCAAAGCTTACAACATTACATGTGTTACAACATATGATCATTGTTTAAGCATTCAGTTGATCAGTTGTTTCTTCCCATTTACTTTAGGGTAAAGGTGGCAGAAAAACAGTCTCAGATGAACTGTTTAAAAAATTATAAAATTTTCAGGTAAGTTTCGATCAGCATAGGTTCAGCCCAATATTCCACACCTCTGCAGCACCTCCGATAAGACTGTGCTGCAGAAATTGATGTCATTAAAATGGAACATGCCTCCTTAATGTTGGATTTGATTACATTCCTGACCCTCTATTTATTAGGCCAGTGAGAAGGCTTTTGTTTAGCCAATGAATCCTTCAGTCCTTCGGCACACATTTTGTAATCCCTATAGTGTGGCTGGGATTCTGCTAGTAATAGCAATATTCACATGACCACAGCAAAGTTCTTACTCTGGAGCAATTTTCGCTCTGATGGAAAATATAAACATGTAAGTGCATAATCACACATGGGAGATGATGCTGGTACCAATATAGCGCTGTGGAAGCACAGCAGCGCTCTAGCTGAGACTAGTGCGGGAAGCCTTCCTAGAGGAGGGGAAGTTTTCCCTCAATTTAGATGAATTTCCAGGAAACAGAAACAGGATGTATCATGCAAAGGAAACAGCCCGTAAAACGTCAGTCGGTGGTGAAGATGACATGCTTATACAGAGAACATTGGAAAATGCAGCGTGGTTAGTACAGAGGGAGGAAGTGTGGAATGGAAGGAGGTTTTTATTAGTAACAGAAACCTCATTAATAAAAGATTTATTATTACATTCAATGGTGCCTAGGTATCGTTTGGTTGGTGAATGAATGGTTTAAGCCTGCTGAGCTTCTTGTTCTCCTAATCAGGATAGGAAAGCCTGAAATGTTCATCCATGGTAGGTGGGACAATGTCCTTTGATTTCTTTTTTCTTTTTCCTTTTTTTTTTTTTTTTGAGACAGAGTCTCACTCTGTCACCCAGGCTGGAGTGCAGTGACGCTATCTCAGCTCACTGCAAGCTCCGCCTCCCGGGTTCACGCCATTCTCCTGCCTCAGCCTCCCTAGTACCTGGGACTACTGGTGAACGCCACCACGCCCGGCTAATTTTTTTTTTTGTATTTTTAGTAGAGACGGGGTTTCACTGTGTTAGCCAGGATGGTCTCGATCTCCTGACCTCGTGATCCGCCCGCCTCGGCCTCCCAAAGTGCTGAGATTACAGGCCTGAGCCTCTGCGCCCGGTCCCTTGGACTTCTTTACTCTCAACTCTGATCCATGAACTTCTAGTATTACATGGAGTGGGGTGTTCTGGAAAGTGGTGATGAAAGGTTATGGATCTTGCTTGAGTGTTGGGGTGAGAAAAAGACAGTGACCCCTTTCTGGGAGGCAGCGGATACTGTATCATCACACTTTCTTCTGCTCTATCCCTCTTTGGATCAAAGCTTAGAGGGTGGAGGGATCACACAGCAATGAGAGATATTGTCATCTTTCGAATAATGCCTATGTTTATAAGCTGTCATTGGTCATTTGGAATAAATTTTATAATTATTATTCACGCCACCTTATACATAGCCGGTGGACATATATCGCAATCTTCAAATGTATACAAATAAGTTGGGCCACATTTCTAAAGTGTTTACAGACCAACAGAAATGGAAGATTTGTGCAAATAAGTGAAGATGATACACGATAAAAAGTGAGACGTGTTGTAAGAGAAGATTTGGTTGGCACATCACCTGTGGTAAGAGATATGATCATTTCTGTCAGTAACAAAATCCAGTATTTGAGTCCTTTGTATATATGAAGTGGTATAAAAACTTGATTTATTTGTCACCACCACCCATTAGGTAAGTCTGCACTAGTGTAAATCTTGTCTTTCATATGGAATATAGCATGAATCTTTGTTGGGTGAAGAAAGAACGTATGAAATGGAAGGTATGGAAACAGTATGGAAGACACAATATTTCATTTTTTCCCCAAGTTCAGTCACTACAGGTTGAAACTTTGTATCAGAAAAGCATTTGAAAAAGTCTTTCCGAAGGTAAGCATTTGGCAGAAAGCCGCTCTGGAAACCCTTTTGCATTGACCTTAGGCTGAGGTGGCCTCACACATAAGCAACTCAAAGGGTCACAGTGAATGCATGATGCCTCCTCTCACACCAAATGGATCACATTTCCAGCATCTCCCTTAACACAATATCATTTTTTCCAATGTTTAACACCCACCTTTGTTGTTTCTGTCATTGAGATGATTATTTTAACTCTGAAGCATTTGATATACCTGAAAAATATTCAAAGTTAAATTAGTCATACATAATCAATAAAAACATCTGTTTCACTATGCATAACCTTAACCTTAGCTAGAAGTTTGTCTTTACCTAGTTCCTTTGATCCCAAAACTCCAACTACAAATTTGATGCTATTAGATATAGTGCATAACAGAAGACTACTGGCATTAATTCTTGAAAATCTTGTTTAAAAGTTAAGCCCTTTGCTATGCTAAATATCGCAGTGTCTTTGCTCTGCTTTTGGAGAGAAAAGTCAGATTCAAAGAATCATATCTTTTAAAGTTTTTCCATTGTGTCCTTGACTTATGTTCAAACCTCTGAGGCTCATGCTTAATTTATGAATTGGAAAGAGAATGTTATTGGACAACAGAGAAGTCAAGTGGCTGATTTTGCTGTTGGTAAGGGAGTTTCAATGGGAGTTATTAAAATGTTACCAAAGCATACCATGTATACACAGACACATATGGGTACATTTTGGTTGGTGGCCAAATTCTCTAGAGGCAATAGAGGAAACCTATCTCCTTAACCACAGTTCAATAAGAAATTTGTTAATACATGTCAAGTGCTATGCCAGAGAGACTTTGAGCCCAATTTTCACAGCTTGCAAGGCTCAGAGGACATCATCTACCTGTAGGTTCCAATTAGGTTGCCAAAAACCTAGGAGAACTGGACCTAAAGTAATTTGCTTCCAGTCCAGTTTCTAATTAAACACAGAGTGAATATAGCCCCACGATGCATTTTTTTGTTTTACACACACACACACACACACACACTTACTTACTGTCCATCTCATTTGAGTATGACCATGATGTTTTAATAAATGTCCATATAAACAGAAACAACTTAAGTGATATTTGGGGAATATATATTTTCCTCTTTCCAACACTACTTATGTGGACTCTTTCAGTTGGGAGACAGATGGGTCAGTGTAAGATAATAAAACTGTTCACATAAATGCAATACTTATTTTAGCCTAACTCAATTTATTGAAAGCTTTGATTTTCTATAGAATCCACCTCCACTCTTTCCAGAATGACAATGAGTTTGAACTTATTTGTGTTTTATTACATTAAACTAGTCTACAAAGAACAGCAGGAGACTGAACATGCATGTTGAGATGGATAATGCTTGGTGGTTTTTTTTTTTTTGCCTTTTTCTGGGTCTCACTAACCTGGTTCTGGAGTAGCAGACTGAATGGACCTTTGTCTCCATCCTCTTCTGTCTCAGTCATTAACGTCTGACTTGAGTGAGAAGCAGCAGATACAAGGAAAGGAAGATAATCAATTAATAAAAAGAACAAGAATGTACTTTACCTACAAGCTTTATGGTGAATTGTGTTACATGTGTGGAGACTCCTGATTCAGATGTATTAAATAGGCAATGAGTCTGAGGGGAGTTGATGTCTTTCAGTGAAGGTGAGAAGGATGAATTGGATCCAGACAAATCGGAATCTGTTTTGGAATTTTAGTACTGGGGAATAGAGCTTTAAATTTAATTGGAAACAAGAATTAATATGTGAATAGGATGGAGTAATGGCATTCATGTGACACAGGGACTTAGTGATTATATAAGCTCTCTGGCATCTGTGATTTATATCAAATACACAGAAAAGTGTAAAAACCTGTTTACACCACAATTACTTCTCGAGAGTCTATTTTATACCCAAGGAACTGAAAGTACAGCAGTGAATAAAACAGACCCAAATCCTGTCCTCATGGAGCTACTATTCTAGTGGGATAGCTCAGGTAATAAATAAAGTAAATCAGTAAAATGTATAGAGTATGTTGGTGGAAACAGAACAAAAACCACTAGGTAGGCAGTGAGATAGGTGGCAATGGATAGGAACTGCGTTTTACACAAGGGTATTAAGGTGAGAGGCAGCATGTTTTTGGAACATCAAAAAGACCAGTGCTTAACAGTTGATGTCAAGATTATAAAGAATGAGTAGTCCATTATGAAAATTTTATTTTTATTCTGAGTGAAATTGCAGGGTTTAAACAGAGCACTGACATAATCATACAGGATCATTCTTGCAGCTGTATAAAAGACTGAAATTGGGAGTTCAAGACCAGCCTGCTTAACATGGAGAAACCTTGTCTCTACTAAAAATACAAATTAGCTGGGCATGGTGGTATATGCCTGTAATTCCCGCTACTCGGGAGGCTGAGGCAGGAGAATCGCTTGAACCCAGGAAGTCGAGGTTGCAGTGAGCCGAGATCACGCCATTGCACTCCAGTCTGGGCAACAAGAGTGAAATTCCATCTCAAAAAAAAAAAAAAAAGACTGAAGAGAAGCGTTGGAAACATATACACCTCCCACCAAGATATATATATGTGTATATATGTGTGTATATATATGTGTATATATATGTGTATATATATATAGAGAGAGAGAGAACAGAATATATAACAAGTATATGTAAGAACAGAAATAATTTTTTAGATGTATAATAGTCAAGAAAAATATATATATTCAAGAAAATTTCATTTCTGTTCTAAAAAATCAATTTTATAGAATTATAGAGGAACTCTTTTGTATTTGGCTTTTTAAAAAAATGTTTTTGAGATTCATCTGTTTTCTTGAGTGTATTAGTTACCCCTAATTATTGTGAATGGTATTCCATTGAATAGATTTATCACAGTTCGTTTGTCCAATTAACTGTTGATGGGCATTTGAGTTGTTTCTAGTTTCTGGCTATTATGAATAAATCTACCCTAAACATACTTGTTCAAGTCTTGTGAACATAGGTTTTCATTTCTCTTGGGTAAATACCTGGAGGTGTTAGGGCATTATATGGTAATGCATGTTTAACTTTATAAGAAACTGCCCAACTGTTTTAAAAAGTGATTGCAGCAATTGACAGATCTACCAGCAGTGTTGCATTTGCTTCATGTTTTTCCCAACATTTGATATTGTTAGCATCACGAATTTTCATTATTCTCATGGGTATGTGGTAGTATCTCATTATGGTGTTTTTCTTTTTTTCTGACAGGGTCTCACTTTGTCGCTCAGGCTGGAGTGCAGTGGCGTGATCTTGGCTCACAGCAACCTCCAACTTCCTGTCTCAAGTGATCCTCCCAACACAGCTTCCCAAGCAGCTGGGACTACAGGCACATGCCACTATGCCCGGCTAATTTTTTTATTTTTTGTAGACACAGGGTTTTGCCATATTGCCTAGGCTGGTCTCGAACTCCTGGACTCAAGTGATCTGCCCGCCTAGAACTCCCAAAGTGTTGGGATTACAGGTGTGAACCACTGCACCTGGCCATGGTGTTAATTTTTATTTTCCTGACCATCAGAGATGTTGCACATTTTTTATGTACTTATCATATAGTTTATTTTGATTTTGTGTCTATTCAAATTTGTTGCTATATTAATTTTTCTTAATTTGAGTTTTAGGATATATTTGGATACAAGTCCTTTATTAGAAATATGTATTGCAAATAAATCTGCCTAGTCTACAGCTTGTTTTAATTTTCTTGATATATTTTGAAGTACACAAATTTTACTTATTGTTTTTCTGTCATTAAAACTCATATTTCTTTCTTTCTTTCTTTTTTTTTTTTTTTGAGACGGAGTTTCACTCTTGTCACCCAGGCTGGAGTGCAGTGGGTCTATCTTGGCTCACTGCAACCTCCGCCTCCCGGATTCAAGTGACTCTCCTGCCTCAGCTTCCCAAGTGGCAGGGATTACAGGCACACGCCACCATGACTGGCTAATTTTTTTTTTTTTTTTGTATTTGTAGTAGAGACAGGGTTTCACCATGCTGGCCAGGCTGGTCTCGAACTCCTGACCTCAGGTGATCCACCTGCCTCGGTGTCCTAAAGTGCTGGGATTACAGGCTTGGGCCACCACTCTTGGCCCCCCAAAAAAGGAGTTTAAACTTTATGTTTTAGGCAATAATTTTGCATGCCTCTTCAAGGTTTAGTAGCAGAAATTTAAATTTGGAAGTTTAATATTTTCTATTTTTTTAATATTCTCTAAAAAACTTTTGTCTACCCCCAAATTGCAAACTTTTTGTTTTTCCTCTTAGAAGTCTAATAGTTTGAACTTTTATATTTAACTCTTTGATGTATTTCAAGGTATTTTTTCTGCAGTGAGAGGTAAGTGTGAAGGTTTATTTTTTCTCATATGGATATCAGTTGTTTCCACATAATTTGTTGAAAAGATGATTATTCCTCCCCTTCCGCATTGATTTACCTAGATAGTTGTACTTAAATTCAATTAACCATATATGTACGTGTGTGTTTCTGGACTCTCTTCCTTTCCAATGACCTAGGTTTATTCAAGTTCATTCATATGTTATTGATGATTGTAGTTTTCCAATAGGTGTCCAATAAGTCTTGAGTTCAGGTAGTTTATGTCCTCCAACTTTGTTTTCTTTCACAAAATTGTTTTGGGTATTTAAAATCCTTCCCATGTCCATAGAAACTTACAATCAGCGTAATGAATGAGAAGTCTTGGTGGAGTTTTGACTTGGATTGTGTTTATCTATAGGTTAATATGGGAGAGAATTGAAATCTTAAAAATATGGAGTCTTTCAATCTGTGAATATGATATATTTCTCTATTTAGGACTTCTTTAATTTTTTGTAGTAATGTCTTTTGTTGTTGTTACATTTCAGAGTACCTCTACATTCATGAGGGATTTTGGTCAGTACTTTTATATTTTTATAATGTCATTGTCTGGTTTTGGTATTATTGCCATGCTATCCTCAAAAACCATACTAAATTGGGAAGTGTTCTCTTCTCTATTTTTTGAAAGAGTTTTGTAATATTGGTATTATTTCTTCCTTAAATGTTTGTTAGAATTCACCTGTGAAGCCATCTGGGCTTAGAGATTTCTTGTGTGAAGGTTTTAACTAAAATCCAATTCTTAGGCCAGGCACAATGGCTCACACCTGTAATCCCAGCATTTTGGGAGGCCAAGGAGGGTGGATCGCTTCAGCCCCAGAGTTTGAGACCAGTCTGGGCAACTTAGGGAAACTCTATCTGTTAAAAAAATTTATCTATCTATCTATCTATCTATCTATCTATCTATCTATCTATCTATCTATCTATCATCTCCAGCACAGTGGCATGTGCCTATAGTCCCAGCTACTTGGGAAGCTGAGGTGAGATTATGGCTTGAGCCTGGGAGATCAATGTGGCAGGCAGTGAGCCAAGATTGTTCCTTCACACTCCAGCCTGGGGAAGAGTAACAGACCTTGTCTCAGCAAACAAGGCCGGGCGCGGTGGCTCACGCCTGTAATCCCAGCACTTGGGGAGGCCGAGGCGGGCGGATCACGATGTCAGGAGATCGATACCATCCTGGCTAACACGGTGAAGCCCCATCTCTACTAAAAATACAAAAAATTATCCGGGCGTGGTGGCGGCCGCCTGTAGTCCCAGCTACTCGTGAGGCTGAGGCAGGAGAATGGCATGAACCCGGGAGGCGGAGCTTGCCGTGAGCCGAGATTGCGCCACTGCACTCCAGCCTGGGCGACAGAGCCAGACTCCGTCTCAAAAACAAACAAACAAAATTCAATTCTTTGTTGGGAGAAAATATTTGCAAACTATCTATTGACAAGGGATTCAGAATCAGAATATAAATGGTGCTCAAACACCTCAATAGCCAAAAATCAAATAATACAACTAAAAAAATGAACAAAACATCTGAATAAATATTTCTGAAAAGAAGACATACAAATGGCCAACAGGTATATGAAAGCATGTTCAATATCATTAATCATCAGAGAAATTCAAATCAAGACTACAATGAGATATAATCTCATCCCATTTAGAATGGTTTTAATAAAAAGACAGGGAATAATGGATGCTGGAGAGAATGAGGAGAAAGGGCAGCACTATTAGTGGGAATGTAAATTAGTTGAGCCATTGTAGAAAACTGTATGAAGTTTTTCCAAAAACTAAAAATAGAACAACCTTATGACCCAGCAATTCCACAATTGGGTATATAACCAAAAGAGAGGAAATCAATATATTGAAGAGATAACTGTAGTCTCATGTTTATTGCAGCACTATTCATAATAGTCAAAATATGGAATTAACGTAATTGTCTATTATTGGATGAATGGATAAAGAAAATATGGTAAATATACACAATGAAATATTATTTAGTCGTAGAAAGAATAAAATCCTGTAATTTGCAGCAACATAGAAAGAACTGGACATCATTATGTTATATGAAATAAGACAAGCACAGAAATAAATATCACATATTCTCACTCACATGTGGAAGCTAAAAATGTGTATGTCATGAAGATAGAGAGTAGATTAATGGTTATCAGAGGCAGGGAAGGATGGGGGAAGAAAGTTTGATTAATGAGGACAGATATGCAGTTTGACAGAAGAAATAAGACCTAGTATTAGATCAGTAGAGTGACTATACTTTACAGTAATCCATTGTAGATTTCAAAATAGCTGAAAGAGAAAAATGCAAATGGTTCCAGCAAAAAGACAAATATTTAAGATGATGGATATTCCAAGTATACTGATTTGATCTTTATAAATTATATCAATGTATTAAATTATCACATATACCCTGAAACTATGTTCATATATTATATATAAATTAAAAATTAAGATAAAAATCAATTTTTTGAACAGATAAAGAGCTGTTTAGACAAAATAATCTTCTTATGTCAGTTTTGGTAATTTGTGTCTTATGAAGAATTTGTCCAATTTATCTATATTTTTCTTTATTTTATTTTTCCATAAGTTATTGGGGTACAGGTGGTATTTGGTTACATGAGTAAGCTCTTTAGTGGTGATTTGTGAGATTTTGGTGCACCCATCACTCGAGCAGTATACACTACACCATATTTGTAGTCTTTTATACCTCGCCCCTCCCACTCTTCCCCCCAAGTCCCCAAAGTCCATTGTGTCATTCTTATGCCTTTGTGTCCTCATAGCTTAGCTCCCATGTATCAGTGAGAACATACGATGTTTGGTTTTTCATTCCTGAGTTACTTCACTTAGAGCAATATTCCCCAATCTCATCCAGGTCACTGCAAATGCTGTTAATTCATTCCTTTTTATGGCTGCATAGTATTCCATTGTATATGTGGTGGACTATACACACACACACACACAAATATATATATTTATATATAATATATAAAATATTTTATATAAATATATATATTTTATATATTATATTATATATATTATATTATATATAATATATAAATATATATATTATATAAATAGTATATTATATATAATATATAAATACTATATATTATATATTATATATTATACATAAATACTATATATAATACATATTATATATAAATACTATATATTATATATAATATATAAAATATTTTATATATTATATATATATATATATATATATATATATATCACAGTTTCTTTATTCACTCGTTGATTGATGGGCATTTGGGTTGGTTCCATGATTTTGCAATTGTGAATTGAGCTGCTATAAACATGCGTGTGCCCATGTCTTTTTTGAATAATGACTTATTTTCCTTTAGGTAGATATCCAGTAGTGGGATTGCTGGATCAAATGGTAGTTCTACTTTTAGTTCTTTAAGGAATATCCACACTGTTTTCCATAGCGGCTGTGAAAGTTTACATTCCCACCAGCAGTGTAGAAGTGTTCCCTATTCACCGCATCTATGCCAACAACTACGGTTTTTTTATTTTTTGATATGGCCATTCGTGCAGGAGTAATGTGGTATCGAATTGTGGTTTTGATTTGCATTTCCCTGATCGTTAGTGATGTTGAGCATTTTTTCATATGGCTATTGGCCATTTGTATATCTTCTTTTGAGAATTGTCTATTAATGTCCTTAGCCCACTTTTTGATGGGATTGTTTTTTTTTTTCTTACTGATCTGTTTGAGTTTGTTACAGATTCTGGATATTAGGCCTTTGTCAGATGTATAGATTGTGAAGATTTTCTCCCATTCTGTGGGTTGTCTGTTTACTCTGCCAGCTGTTCCTTTGGCCGTGCAAAAGCTCTTTAGTTTAATTAGGTCCCAGTTATTTATCTTTGTTTTTATTGCATTTGTTTTCTGGTTCTTGGTGATGAAATCCTTGCCTAAGCCGATGTCTAGAAGGGTTTTTCTGACGTTATCTCCTAGAATTTTTATAGCTTCAGGTCTTAGGTTTAAGTCTTTAATCCATCTTGAGCTGACTTTTGTATAAAGTGAGAGATGAGGATCCAGTTTCATCCTCCTACATGTGACTAGCCAATTATCCCAGCACCATTTGTTGAAAAGGGTGTCCTTTCCCCACTTGATGTTTTTGTTTGCTTTGTCAAAGATCAGTTGGCTGTGTTTGGGTTTATTTCTGGGTTCTCTACTCTGTTCCACTGGTCTATGTGCTTATTTTTATACCAGTACCATGCTGTTTTGGGGACTATGGCCTTATAGTATAGTTTGAAATCAGGTAGTGTGATGCCTCCAGATTTTGTTCTTTTTGCTTAGTCTTGCTTTGGGTATGCGGGCTCTTTTTTGATTCCATACGAATTTTAGAATTTTTTTTTCTAATTTTGTGAAGAATGATGGTGATATTTTGATGGGGATTGCATTCAACTTGTAGATTGCTTTGGGCAGTATGGTCATTTTCACTATATTGATTCTACCCATCCATGAGCATGGGATGTGTTTCCATTTGTTTGTGTCATCTGTGATTTATTTCAGCAGTGTTTTGTAGTTTTCCCTGTAGAGGACTTTCAACTCCTTGGTTAGGTATATTCCTAAGTATTTTATTTTTTTTGTAGCTATTGTAAAAGGGGTTGAGTTCTCGATTTGATTCTCTGCTTGGTCATTGTTGTTGTATAGAAGAGCTACTGATTTGTGTACATTAATCTTGTATCTGTAAACTTTGCTATTTCTTTTATCAGTTCTAGGAGCTTTCTGGAGGAGTCTTTAGGGTTTTCAAGGTAAAAGATCATATTGTCAGCAAACAGTGAAAGTTTGACTTCCTCTTTACTGATGTGGATGCCCTTTATTTCTTTCTCTTGCCTGATTGCTCTGGCTAGGACTTCCAGTACTATGTTGAAGAGGAGTGGTGAGAGTGGGCATCCTTGTCTTGTTCCAGTTCTCAGAGGGAATGCTTTCAACTTTTCCCCATTCTGTATTATGTTGGCTGTGGGTTGGTCATAGATGGCTATTATTACATTAAGGCATGTCCCTCATTATGCTGACTTTGCTCAGAGTTTTAATCATAAAGGGATGCTGGATTTTGCAGAATTTTTTTTTCTGTATCTGTTGAGATGATCATGTGGTTTTTGTTTTTAATTCTGTTTACGTGGTGTATCACATTTATTGAGCTGTGTATGTTAAACCATCCCTGCATCCCTGGTATGAAATCCACTTGATATGGTGGATTATCTTTTTGATATGTTGTTGGATTTAGTTAGCTAGTATTTTGTTAAGGATTTTAGTATCTATATGCATCAAGGATATCAGTCTGTAGTTTTCTTTTTTGGTTGTGTCCTTTCCTGGTTTTGGTATTAGGGTGATGCTGGCTTCATAGATTGAGTTAGGGAGGGTTCCTTCTTTTTCTATCTTGTGGAATACTGTCAAAAGGATTGGTACCAATTCTTCCTTGAGTGGCTGGTAGAATTAAGTTGTGAATCCATCTGGTCCTGGACTTTTTTTGTTGGTATTTTTTAAATAACCATTTCAATCTTGTTGCTTGTTATTGGTATTGGTCTGTTCAGGGTAGCTAATTCTTCCTGATTTAAGCTAGGGGGTTGTATTTTTCCAGGAATTTACCCTTCTCTTCTAGGTTTTCTAGTTTATGTGTGTAAAGGTGTTCATAGTAGCCTTGAATGATCTTTTGTATTTCAGTGGTGTCAGTTGTAATATCTCCTGTTTCGTTTCTTAGTGAGGTTGTTTGGATTTTTTCTCTTCTTTTCTTGGTTAATCTTGCTAATGGTCTATCAATTTTATTTATCTTTTCAAAGAACCAGTAACACTTTTGTTGCTTTTGGATCAATTTAAGAAAAGTAAATTTCCTGTTAGGCTGAAGTGACATGTAGGAGACCACACAGCAAGGTAGTGGTGAAGTCAGTTTTTGACTTTCAGCCCAATACATTTTCCATTCACAACACTTCAATATATATATATTTTTTCTGGAGCCTGACACCATAATTTCAATAGCTTATAAAATTTATGATGGTGGCAGCATGACAAAAGTTAACTCAGAGGAAAATAGTCATACTCAGCCTAAGCATCTGCCTGAGTCATCTGGCACCATATTACAGATAGAAGGTCCCCAGTTCAGTGCACAGCTGGGAGGCATCGTGCTTGGGCTGCGGAAAAACAAGCTTTGGAAGGGTGATAACCTTAAAAAATCGTGTGGATAAACAAACCCAAAACACACGTTGCCTCTCATCTGCTCCAGAGAATGTGACCCTTTGTTTCCTGAGTCTGTTTATTCCACATGGGCACAGTGAACTCCACAGCATGTACTGATGGGGGCAGCATTTTATCCCAATGACATATACTGAGCTACCCGCTTGGCAAAGCACCAGGACATTGTGCAAAATTAACTCTCCTAAGATTCCACTTTCTTTACTTCTCTTGTTCTGTCTTCTCCATCCTCAGTTAAAGCCTGTCATCTGTTCTTAGATTATTGCAGGAATTCCTTAACTGGTCTCCTTTTCTTTGGTCTGCATTCCTCTTACCTCATTCTCTTTGTTATTTCCAGAAATGTCTTTATATTCTAAATGAGACCATGTTATTTCTTTGTTTATTTTTTTTAATGGTAACCTACTGCCTGAAAAATAAAGTTTAAACTCCTTTTTTTTGGGTCAGGCGCAGTGGCCTAGGCAGGCAGGTCACCTGAGGTCAGGAGTTCGAGACCAGCCTGGCCAACATGGTGAAACCATGTCTCTACTAAAAATACAAAAATTAGCTAGGCATGGTGGTGTGCACCTATAATCCCAGCTACTCAGGAGGCTGAGGCAGGAGAATCGCTTGAACCCGGGAGGTGGATATTGCAGTGAGCCGAGATCGCACCACTGCACTCCAGCCTGGGTGACAGAGCGAGACTCTGTCTCAAAAAACAACCAAAAAAGCCCCCAAACTCCTTTTTTTTTTCTCATCCAAGACTTTTCTTCATCTTGAATATTATCTGGTGCCTTGTTTCCTTTGACTCTGGTTTCAGTGGCTCAAATATTATGCAAATTATTGTTTGCCTATGCTTTTGGGTCTACGTTCCTGTTGCTGCCTCTGCCTGCCATGTCCTTCCCATTCTCAGAATATCCCAACTATCTGCCTTGACAAATCCTGGGCTTTCAACACTCAGGTTCAGGGTATACTCCTTTGACCACATGTTCCTAACACTCCTCACCTAGGTCCCTCCTTTGTGTCTCTGCCATTCTCTGCCCTGACATCTATCATGGTTTATAGCATCTAATTTCTTATATGTCTGTCTCTCCTTAATTCGGTATAATTTTCCTATTAAGCCTCAAGTTCATCCTGTCTGCTCAATGTTTTATTCATCCTAATGTTGTTAAAGCCTCACCTAGTCTGGGGCACATGTTAGGTGCTTATTAATGTTTTTTACATTAATGAATAAATCTAGTTGATAAATGCACATCATGACTTATATGTATTGGCCTTTGAGTCTGAGTGACTGAGAAGGATCTTGACGAACACAGGCTAAGAAACTATATTGCTCATATATGTATATATACTATATATATATATATTTTTTTTTTTTTGAGATGGAGTTTCACTCTTGTCACTCAGGCTGGAGTGCAATGGTGCGATCTCGGCTCACTGCAACCTCTGCCTCCTGGGTTCAAGCAATTCTCCTGCCTCATCTTCCCGAGTGCCTGAGGTTACAGGTGCATACCACTACGCCCAGATAATTTTTGTATTTTTAGTAGAGATGGGGTTTCACCATATTGGCCAGGCTGGTCTTGAACTCCTGACTTCAGGTGATCCTCCCACCTTGGCCTCCCAAAGTGCTGGGATTACAGGCGTGATCCACCGTGCCCAGCCTATGTTGCTCATATCTTTGACTTGGTTTCAGATGCTAGGTAAAGATTCATGCTCTGATCCAGGCCATGAAAATGTTCTGTGACTTTGAGAAAGCCACTTTGCCTCTTTGTGCCTGAGATCCTCAGTGGTGAAATGCCATGGCAGTCTATGATAATGCAGTGTGGGATAATGTTAAGAGCTTTGGAGTAGGGCACACTGGGGTTGGAATTCTGTCTCTTCCTACTTTGTTACCTCGACAAATCTTTTATTTTTCTTTAGTTTACTCCTCTGGAAACTGGGAAGCATAACACTTTGTTAGGTAGCATAAGGAGTAAATGAGGTAGTATTTGTAAAGTACCCGTCATTCAGTAGTAGGCATTCAGTTAACTTGGTTCCTTTCCGTTTCTCCTAAAACCAAATCTTTCCTGCCTATCATGAAAGGTTATTTATGAAGACATTTGCAAAATGTAAAATGCTATTCTGTGAAAGGACAGCTTCTCTTTGAATCAGCTTGCTTATTTTTGTTTCAGTGAACATGTGTGAATTGACCGAGTGGAACCGAGGCTTCAGCACTGGGTGAATGGGTTTGGGACTAAGGCTGTCACCAAATCAAAGAGAAATGACACCCAGTGAGCCATGGGCAAAGTATGCATATGGAGCTGACTTTGAAACCTTCACAGTTGTTAAGGGAATTTGAGGTTAAAGTCATGTTTTTTTTAAGGAAGCACCTATTTGGTAGAAAGAGCTTCATGATCCTCATGGGCAAACCCTAAACTGAAACAAAATCTGCTCCTTTCTTTTTCTTATTGTATTTTATTTTACTTTAATTTATTTTTTGGAGACAGAGTCTCATTCTGCTGCCCAGGCTGGGGTGCAGTGGCGTGATCTTTGCTCATTGCAACCTCTGCCTCCCGGGTTCAAGCAATTCTCGTGCCTCAGCCTCCTGAGTAGCTGGGACTGCAGGGGTGCGCCACCATGCTTGGCTAATTTTTTGTGTTTTTTGGTAGAGATGGGGTTTCACTATGTTGGCCAGGCTGGTCTTGAACTCTCAACTGAGTTCAGGCAATCTGCTCATCTCAGCTTCTCAAAGGATCACAGATGTGAGCCACTGCCTGGTCTATTTTTCTATCAAATACAAACTGCCTTCTCTTTTATTATGCTGACCCCATTGCTGTGGTTCCTTTCCATGAAGATATTACTTATTTCCCGGTGTTTAACATCCATTTTTTTTTGGTTTCCTGTTGCTAAAGTTTTCAACTATTTTTGCCATATCTTAGACACTTGACACATTTTTCATGCTCATCATATTCATGTATAATCCATAATATCTCACACTCTGACAGTTCAATATTCTTACCTAAATCCTTCAGTGTCCAACATGAATTTACACCATCTGAGACTGGGTAGCTGGGCCTCAGCATATATAATGGTGGGGAAATATGGTGCTTGAAGGCAAAGTCCTCCTGAAAATAAATTATACCAGATTTCAATGTCTTCTCTTCAGCCTTCATGTTGGAAAGGGCTGACTAAGAGAGTTACATCATTGTTGGCTCTTCTCTTTGGCTTAAAATGTCCTTGCTACGTGCACTAATGTCTCAGGCTCAGGCCTAATATGAGAATTAGCAAAGGAAATTTTATTGGATGTGAGTGTGGAAATAGAATGGGCATTCTTCTGGTAGTGTCAGAGTTCCAGAGGGAGTTATTAAACAGTTTCCAAGTTATTACTGCAAGCAAGTCCACACATATGCACACACACACACACATACATACACACAGACACGCACAAGGATGCCGTTTCTCTGCTTTCTAAATTCTTGCAAGGCCCCAGAACACATGGACATGAATCTACCTATTCTGTGATTCTCTGAGTTTTGGGGAAATATTGGTCTCTGGAAACATCTAATGTCATATAATCATTCATACTCAATGAGAGCCTGACATGCCCAAAGAGACAATTTGTTCTCAGGGGAGCAACAAAACTTATATATTACAATGATGTATGGCCTCAGTACACATAAATATATACAGTATATTTTTGGTATTGAATTTCCTCATAAGGGAGCAATTAGGAAAAATAGCGAATAAAGCTCCCTGAGGGGGCTAATAATTTTTTTTGTGTGTGTGGAAACAAGGTCTTGCAGTATTGTCCAAGCTGGTCTCCAACTCCTGGGTTCAAATGATCCTTTTGCCATGAGTAGCTGCGACTCTAGGCCCTTGGGGCTGCAGGGGGAGCTGATGCGGAGTCTTGGCTCAATATCTCTGTCTTGTAGGACTCAGGGAGGATCATGGATGTATGTCAACTACTAGGATCTTCTTGGCCAAATATTAATGCGTTATAACAGTTTGGTACCTCGCAAAACTTTTTTCAATGTGTTGCAATTTCTTGAGCTTCCTTACTTCTCTTGGATAATTTTTGAATGACTGTTGAAGGCTGAAGGGTGGATTTGAGGTGAGTATAGAGGAAGAAGGAGGATTCATTGTCTTTAGATATCTACTCTCTTGGAATCCTTCCCTTGAGAGAGAGGTGGATTCTAACACAGACCCAGTGGCTATTCCCAAATGACCCCGAATACAATGTGTTTCTTTTCTCTCCTGGAACAAAAAGTGGGCCATGAAGGCATAAAGTGTATTTATTAGACAGGTTTTGTTTTCTTGAACCACCATGATTTGTCTTGAATTGTCTACCCATACATAAACAAAAACTACGGTTTTATTCCAGTCATAAAAGCCCTGAGGGTGAAATGTAAGGAGGGTATAAAGAAGAAAAGGAAGTTCAGGTTAACATAAAAAAAATTGTCTCTGCGCATGTATGTACCAAAACTATACAAGCATCTTTTTAATTTCAGCTGGTAAATCAGTAGACTAGACCTGAGAACAGGAAATACTTGGTCCATGTATAAATTTGTCCATGTACATATTTGACTTACAGTTTAAAATATTCCTTCCATTTTCACTAATTGGTGAAATATACTTAAGATTCTGTACTTAAAATATAAAATCAAGGCCAGGCGCAGTGGCTCACGCCTGTAATCCCAGCACTTTGGGAGGCCGAGGCGGGTGGATCACGAGGTCAGGAGATTGAGACCATCCTGGCTAAAATGGTGAAACTCCATCCCTACTAAAAATACAAAAAATTAGCCGGGCGTCATGGCGGGCGCCTGTAGTCCCAGCTACTCAGGAGGCTGAGGCAGGAGAATGGCGTGAACCCAGGAGGTGGAGTTTGCAGTGAGCCAAGATCGCGCCACTGCACTCCAGCCTGGGCAACAGAGCAAGACTCCGTCCCAAAAAAATAAAATAAAATAAAATAAAATAAAATAAAATAAAATCAAGTGATTTCAATAATTGACTGGATATAGCAGAGTCACCAGAGAAAGCATATATGAAATAAATGTGTCTATATTCTGTGTATATGCACATTTAGGAAGAGAGGGGTAGGTAATAGGGAATGTTGATTGAATACCTGATTAATGCCAGGAGCAGTACTAACCTTCACAACTATCATCCTCACAGCATTGATCACATTTCATTCTTTTGACAAACTTGTGAGCAAGTAATGATATTTCCATATTACTGGTGCTAAAAGTGAGATAAGTGTTGGTATGAGTCACAGGTAACACCAAAAAGCATTTAGGGTATTGATTTCAACCTTATACCCTCTTCTTCTCCTGAGTCCACAAGCTCGATAGCTCACATTGTTTAATCTCATTTCTTCTTTTTGTTTGTATACTCCCGCTAATAGAATCGAGCGGCTATGAAGATATACAATGAAGTAGTGGAAGAAGAGCTAGCGACCTGTTACTCTTAGGCTAGCATTTTGAGAAAACTAAGTCAGACAGACTTCCACTCTCCATCTGACTGCTCACCCCCATTTTCTGCTCTCGGAAGGCCCAAGTCTCCTCTGCAGCCTCTGCATGGCTGACTTCATCTCTTGATTTCTCAGGGAATAGATGATGGGGTTCAGCATGGGGGTAATGACCGTGTTATTAATGGATATGGTTGTGTCCATGGGCAGCGTCATGAAGGGCCGGCAGTAGATGTAAACACAAGGCACGAAGTGAAGAGTCACCACCAGCATGTGGGACGTGCACGTGGAGAGGGCCTTGTTCCGCCCCTCCCCAGAGTGGGATCTCAGCATCACCAGAATGACAGTGTAGGAGCCCAGGAGCAGGAGGAACCAGAGCAGGGTCACCAGTCCGTTGTTAGAGATCATGAAAAGCTCCAAAGCAAAGGTGTCAGTGCAGGCCAGTTTTACCACCTGGAGCACATAACAGTAGAAGGCATCCAGTGTGTTGGGGCCACAGAAGGGGAATGGAAGCATCAGAATTACCTGGATGATTGAATGCAAACCACCACTCACCCAAGAAGCCACCACCAAGGCCACCCACACCTCTTTCCTCATCATGGTCACATAGTGCAGGGGCTTGGCGATTGCAAGGTATCTGTCATAGGCCATCACAGAGAGGAAAAAAATATCTGCCCCACCAGCAAAGTGGAAGAAAAAGATCTGTGCCATGCAGTCATTGTAGGAGATGGTTTTCCTGTCTGATAAAAGATCCACCAGGAACTTGGGGACGGTGATAGATGAAAAAACGATGTCCAGGACTGATTTGTTCCGCAGGAGAAAGTACATAGGAGTGTGTAGGCGGGACTCACAGGTAATAGTGACCACAATGAGTGCATTTCCCAGGACTGTTGCTACATACACAGCAAAGAAGACCACAAACAAGAAAAACTCCAGCTCTCGGGAACGTGTAAGTTCCAGGAAGAAAAACTCCTTCACATTAGTGTGGTTGATCTGGTCCATGATGGGGATGACTCTCTTCCAGGTCCTACCTTTGATGAAGATATGTTAGAACTTGGATTATGGTGACATGAGGTGGCAAAATCATTGATCACATACTGCTCTCAAGCATCCAGGTCATCATGACTACACAGAAAAACTGGGCCAGTCTTCTCTTTGTGGTCTGGAAATTCTTCTTTCATATGGTTCTTCTTTCTTATTGTAAATACCTTGGGTTAACAGGAAAAAACCATCACATGTCTGTATCCTCACTCTGACCAGAGAGAGATGGATGGACTATGGCCATTTGCCTATGCTTTACCAAGGGCTTTCACCTGCAATAGCTCATACTGATTTCAATTCTCATGAAGTTTCTGAAGAGTCTTTAGTATGGTTATCTCCATTTTATATACGGGGAAACTGAAGCTTTACAGCAGTTAATGACTTACATCTGCATAGTCGCAAAATTAGTGAATTGTAAATTGAGGATTCAAATACAAATCAATCTCCTGACTTGAGAAAGATTCCCTCCTTGACCAAATGTTGGTTAGGCTCCTCTGAGCCCTTTTCTTGACTATGACTCAACCTTGACCTTCTGTGTCTGTCTTTGCTGAGCCCAATTTTAACAGGAATCTTGCCAAGTCAGTTTAATGAGAATTCCACACCCTTGAAATCTAATCAAATTCCTCACCCCTTACCCTTTTATATATTTATTATTTTTAACCTCATCCCTCACCCTCAATATCTAAGTCCTTGGCCAGTCTTTAGCAAGAATTCTTTTATGCCAGTTTAGCAAGAACCACCCTACCTTTGATATCACTTCTTAGTAATTTTCAATCCACTGACCTCCCTCACTCTGCTCATTGCTTATAAATCTTCACTTGTTTTCACTATATTTCGAGTTGAGCTCAATCTTTTTCTTCTATTGCAAGAGTTTTAAATGAAATCTATCTTCCTGTCTTTAATAATTGTCTGGTGAATAATTTTTCTTTAACATAACAGTCTCCAGAGGTTTTTCCACTGTACAACTCTGAGAAATCAGAGAGTCTGGGGCTTACTTTGGCTTACCGGAATTCTAGTGTGTATATAAGGCTTAAACAGTTTATTAAGTAGTTTGACTACCTAATCCTTATCTCATCCCTTATAAAAAGAGAAGGGTCAGGCCCTCATAAGTACTCCTCTTTGGCACTCTGGGAAGCCTGGACCTTGCTATTGACACACAGGGCTCTTTGTATAGAGCCACAGTCATTGTTCAGGGCATGTTTTAGTATCACAGAAAAACTGATCATTAGAGCGTCACAGGACTTCAGAGATAAATTAGTCTAATGTTTCTTACTTTAGAAGTGACTAGAGAAGGACATTTATTTTTTTCAGAATCAGAGTTTGAATTGGTGAAATATAGAGAACTGTAAACAGGTTTGTTGACTCAAATTCCAGGGATATTCTACTATTGCTATATAATAGCAATTTACTATATTGATACTTCTTTTTCCCAAATCAGAAATTCAGTCATATGAGGACAAACTTCTTTCAGTAAGAATATCTGTATGAACCAGGTGCAGTGGCTAATGCCTGTAATCCCAGCACTTTGGGAGGTCAAGGCAGGCAGATTGCTTGAGTTCAGGAGTTTGAGACCAGCCAGGACAATAGTGAGACCCTGTCTTAACAACAACAACAAATTAAAAAAAAATTAGCCAGGCATGGTGGTGTGCACCTGCAGTCCCAGCTACTCAGGAGGCTGAAGTGGGGGGATCGCTTGAGCCCAGGAATTCGAGGCTGCAGTGAGCTATGATTGTGCCATTGTACTGCAGCCTGGGTGACAGAGCAAGTCCCTGTCTCTACAAAACAACAACCCCGCCCCCAAACCATTTGATACAGCAGGCATGTGAAACAAAAGAATATCTGTATGTTCCAAGGACTCATATTCTAGATGATTTTAAAAAATTTAAGGGGCCGGGTGCGGTGGTTCACGCCTGTAATCCCAGCACTTTGGGAGGACGAGGCAGGCAGATCACGAGGTCAGGAGATCGAGACCATCCTGACTAACATGGTGAAACCCCATCTCTACTAAAAATACAAAAAATTAGCCAGGTGTGGTGGTGGGCGCCTGTAGTCCCAGCTACTCGGGAGGCTGAGGCAGGAGAATGGCATGAACCCAGGAGGCAAAGTGTGCAGTGAGCCAAGATTGCGCCACTGAACTCCAGCCTGGGCGACGGAGTGATACTCTGCCTCAAAAAAAAAAAAAAAATTTAAATAATTGAGATGACCAAAATCTAATTCAACAATAAAAAGTAGGCAATTGGCATTGGAAAAAAACATAATTATGTCTGAGAAAGATAGGAAAAGAAAGAAGACAGTATACCAGATGAAAAAAGGATACAGCATTTTCCCTGAAATAAAAGCAAAAGAAAGTATTCCATAAGAAACATAGTTCTTAATTTTTCTCATTTCAGTTCTCTTACAGTTGAGTGTATTTTATAGTTTAGTTTGAGGGGTTAGAACATACAGAATTCCTCTTAAACAAAAATCTTGTGATCTTCTTAGATCCCTGATGTTTCCACCATTAGAATAATTTCATTCCTGTGGAAGTGAGTTGCCTCTTTTATTTTTATTTATTTATTTTTAATTAAAAAACTTTTTACAGTCTTTTAAAAATTGCACATATTTAAGGTATACAGCCCAAAAGAAATCTTACTTTAATATGCCAGCATCCAGTAACACACTAACTGGTACAATGTATTTGGAATTATGTTATTGCCTTTTATTAGAGTGTCTACAAGGAGAAGCATCCATCTTTGGATTGTACTCAGGCCAAGATCTATTTGGTTCTTCCCAGGAGACTCCAAAGAAGACAGTTATCCTAGACCCAAGTGCAAGGCAGAGCTCCCGTGGGACATCAATGTGCGTTCTTTTTTGAGGCAATAAGAATTGTGTAACTGACTGCGTATCTTTGTGTGTGTGTGTGTGTGTGTGTGTGTGTTTAAGACAGAGTCTTGCTCTGTTGCCCAGGCTGGAGTGCAGTGGTGCGATCTTGGCTGACTGCAACCTCCGCCTCCCAGTTCAAGCAATTCTCCTGCTTCATCCTCCCAAGTAGCTGGGATTGCAGGCACGCGCCACCATGCCTGGCTAATTTCTGTATTTTTAATAGAGACAGGGTTTTGCAATGTTGGCCAGGCTGGTCCGGAACTCCTGACCTCAGGTGATCTACCCACTTCAGCCTCCCAAAGTGCTGGGATTACAGGCGTGAGCCACCGCGCCAGGCCCTGACTATGTATCTTTGCTTTGGCTTTCATACATTCAAAAACGTATGAGTGACTTAATTTTCTACTCCATAATTTTTCACATGTAGCCTCTTAACAGTTCCTTATTTACATTCTATTGTTTTACTGTAGGTAGTTCTTTGTTATTGCTGCAAGATCTCCCTGATCCCTTGTGGAATGTGATGGGAAATACATTGGTTACTAAGGTAGAGAGAGGTTTTCATAGGTATGTGGGAATCAGGCAGGTGAAGAATAAGCGTCAGTCATGATGGCTAAAATGGAACGAGACACCAGCCAGGAGAGCACAGCAGTTTGGGACTCAGGACTTAAGATAGAAAGTATGGAAACCAGGGTGAGTGGGTGGCATTTTGAGTCAGGCTTGTAGAATGTACAGGAAGTGAGGGGCTACAAAAGCCATACCTTGATCTCTTCAGTTGCCTAGTCGGTCCCTGATTAGTATTTTTGAATAATCCTGCACTTAACATTTTGTAAATGCATTTTCATGTGCATCTATGATTTCTTTTTAAGATACATTCCCAGAAATGAACTTACTAGTTCAAATGCCACGTTAGTTTTCTAATTTTAACTGATGATAAAGGTATTGTAAATAGCTGCCGCACAGCAAAAGAAACGACCAACAGAGTAAACAGACAACCTGCAGAATGGAAGAAAATTTTTTGCAAACTATGCATCCAACAGAGGTCTAATATCCAGCATCTATAAGGAACTTAAATAAATTTACAAGAAAAAACCAAACAACTCCATAAAAAAACAGGCAAAGACGTGAACAGACACTTTTCAAAAGAGGATGCACATGCAGCCAACAATCGTGAAAAAAAGCTAAACATTACTGATCATTACAGAAATGCAAATCAAAACCACAATGAAATACCACCTAATACCAGTCAGAATGGCTACTATTAAAAAGTCAAAAAATAACAGATGTTGGCAAGGTTGTGGAGAAAAAGTATGCTTATAAACTATTGGTGGGAATGTAAATTAGTTCAGCCATTGTGGAAGACAGTGTGGCGATTTCTCAAAGATCTAAAGACAGAAATACCATTTCATCCAGCAATTCTATTACTAGGTATACACCCAAAGAAATATAAATCATCATATTGTAAACACATGCACGTGTATGTTCACTGCAACACTATTCACAATAGCAAAGACATGGAATCAACCTAAATGCCCATCAATGATAGATTGAGTTAAGAAAATGTGGTACATATACACCATGGATTACTATGCAGCTATAAAAAAGAATGAGATCATGTCCTTTGCAGAGACATGGGTGGAACTGGAGGCCATTATCCTTAGCAAACTAACGCAGGAAGAGAAAAACCAAATACTGCGTGTTTTCACTTATAAGTGGGAGCTAAGTGATGAGAACACAGGAAAACACAGAGGGGAACAACACATACTGGGACCTTTTGGAGAGTGGAGGGTGGGAGGAGAGAGATGATCAGGAAAAATAACTAATGGACACTAGGCTTAATACCTTGGTGATGAAATAATCTGTACAACAAGTTTACCTATGTAACAAACCTGCACTTACACCCCTGAACTTAAAATAAAAGTGAAAAAAAAAAAAAAAAAGAAACAGACTGGGTGTGGTGGCTCACACCTTTAATCCCAGCAATTTGGGAGATGGAGGTGGGCAGATCACTTGAGGCCAGGAGTTTGAGACCAGCCTGAAACCCTGTCTCTACAAAAAATATTAGCTGGGCCTGGTGGTGGTGTATGCTGTAGTCTCAGATATGCAGGAGGCTGAACTGGGCAGATCAATTCTGCCTGGGACATCGAAACTCTTCAGTGAACTGTGATTGCACCACTGTACTCCAGTCTGGGTGATGGAGCGAGAACCTGTCTCCAAAAAAAAAAAAGGACACAGCCCAATTCTAATTGTGTTTGAATGTTTAATTTCTTTTTATATATAGATACCATGAGTTGAAATAAATTGCAACACTCTTTAACTTCTTACAGAAATGGAAGACAAGAAGATTTTATCACCTTAATAATATAAATACCAAAATATAAAACAATTAAAATATTAGAATAAAACTTAGGTAAGTGTTTTCATAATTTTTGGAGTAGAGGAGCATTACACCAATAATTATTATATTTGACTAAGTAAAAATATAAAACTTTTACATTTTAAAAGCATTATAAATAAGCCTAAAACTATAAATAAAAAACTTGGGAAAATATCTAAAAACATGTAAAACAAGCTTAACATCTTTGCTATATAAAGAACTCTTATAAATCTGTAAGACACAGACATTTTGATACTTTAAAACAAAAATGAGTCATGATTCACAGAAAAATGCAGTTGGTTAGCCCACATGTGAAAAGACAGTCAATCAACTATTGATCAGATAAATATATTAGGAGGCCAAGGAGGGAGGATCTCTTGAGCTCATGAGTTTGAGACCAGCCTGGGCAACATAGGAAGATCCTGTCTCTATTAAAAAAGGGAAAGAAAGAAAGAAAAAAGGAAATACAAATTAAATTACAATGAGGTATCATTTCTCATCTAGAAGATTAACCAATGTTGAAAAGTCCACTGTTGGCATAGATGTGGGGAAAGTGACACTTTCATATGATTAATAGGAGTGCACACATAGGCAGCATTTCTGGGGTCATTCTGGAAATATGTGTCAAAATGTAATATGTACAAACCCCGTGACTCAAAATTTCTACTTTAGGAATTTATGCTAAAGAGTTAATAAACCAAATGTTTAATGTCCTAAATATAAACAAAGCTCATCACATTGCTGTTTCAAATAGTAGAAATTAGAATTTAAGTTAGCGTCTGATATAGAAAATTTGTTCAATAAATATGGCACAATAGTACAATTAAGTATTTGCAGACATTCAAAGTGATAACGTAGAATTGTACTTTTAAACATGGAAAGATTTCTTTTTAGTGACAGATTAAAACACTGAATATGTCACATGATGTTATTTTTGGGAAAAATATCTACATGGCTAGAAGTCTGAAAAGATGTATTAATATATCACAACAGTAGTAGCCATTATCTGTTGGTAATTGGATTTTGGCATTTTTATTTTAAAAAGACGTTCTGTTGTGTCTAATTAAAAAAATGATTTTAAATGGCTTCTGATTATGAAAATCAGAAAAAGTATTATACCTATTTACAATTTGAAGTAAAAAGTTCTCCATTAATTTGAGCTCTGATATTATGTATCTTGTATTTTTCTGTTTTTTGTTTTTAAAATTGTTCTAAGAAGCTGACTTATTATGGAAAAGGGTGTGTGGGAAAGACAGCTCTAATTTTTCTTTTGGTGTGTTATGGCTCCATGAGGCATTGGCTGGAGGCACCCAGAGGAGAACCTGGAATCAGCCAACTCAGGTCTCTGGGAACTGAGGTCAAATCTACTTACTGTTGACTTCTCTTTCAGATTAACATTATTCCACCTACTCTTCTGGTCAATCACCTTAGAAGGTTCTGGACTATCAGGCTCAATGTGAGGTCAGGATCAAACGATAGCCTTTCTATTTTGTAACCTCAGGGTTGCATGATTGAACATAGAATTAGCTTGTTCAAAAGAGCACAGCCTTCGAAGTCAGGTTCCAGTATTTTAAACTGTGCCTCTTGTGACCCGGAGCAAGTTAACCTTTATGAACCCCAGGACCTTATTCCATGAAATGGGGAACATACACCTTACTTTGCATAGTGAGGCTTGCTTGTGATAATCTAGCACTTTTTACTCCTTGCCTTTATGGGTCTATGTGTGTCTGCCTTTTCCTCCCAATGTAAACTCCCTGAAGGCAAGGATTTCTTTTGTCACTATTGTATCCCCAGCTCCTACCTGGAACATAGCAGTTATTCAATAATTCTTTTTGAAGATGAATGAACAAAGGGGTGTCCATTTGCAACTCCTGATGTGCAGTAGTTCCCCAACAAGTATTTGTTTTCCTTTACGCCATTTTCAGCCTCATCTTACATCCCCTATTCACTTATGTTGCTGTATAAGTCAATTAAATGGCTTAATGCATATGAGAGAATACTGCAAACTTCAAAGCATTATACAAATGTAGGGTATTAATATTATCATAATCCTAATATCATTATATAGTTGTCTTTTTGCTGCCATCTAACTTTTAATCACCTTTTAAGAAAGAGATCATGCTAGTTATTATTTTTTTACACATGGTAGGGGCTTAGTAATGTTTATGGAATGAGTTTTAATTTTTGAAAAATTACCTTATTTGAATGTGTCTTAGGAAGCCCAGTATTTTAGGTTAGAAGTAGGAGATCTTAATCAGCCTGAAGCTTCTAGTTCAAGATGACATATACTTCCAGAATTGCAAATGGACATTTTGCCTTTCAGAGACACTATTGAAATCATAAGTTTGTAGGTGTGCAAAATTTTCAGGACGCCCTCACCTACCTTTGCATTGGTAAAGTGAGCCTGACAACTTCCCCATCATCACTGCTCTGCCCTTCTTCACCCAAACACATGAACAGTTTACACTGTTCCTAACTGATGCTGAATAAGAAGTCTACTATAATGATTAGCATAGGGAGTAATATTGGATATTTGTAGGAAATATATTTTCAGTGGAGAAGTTGGCAGTTGCAGATGCAATGGGAGTTATTAAAAAGTTACTAAGCAACACGTGTGCATGTTTTTTCTCTCCTTTTCACACACACACACACACACCCATTATGATAGCACATCTAATAAGGAGGTGATGAAACTGTGTACAGGGAAGTCTGAGGAATCTCCAAAGGCTCCTTCTCTAAATTATATCAACATCAAATTTGATGCAAAGTCCTTGTATGATAACGATTACAGAAATTTCATCAACAATATTATAGTTCAAGAGTCAATTTCATGTGACAATGGTCACAATTTGGGTCACATAATTGATTTTTTTCCAACAGATCAATTATAATAATTGACCAAAAATGCATATTTATTGCGTTTTGTATATCAGGCAGTTCTAGATGCTGAGAATATATTTGTGAAGAGACAGATGTGACCCCACCCTCAAGCATGAACTTACAACTGTGATGATTCACACCAAAGGGCAAGAATGGGGCGAGATTGGCCCAGGGATTTAGTGAGGTCCAGGGAGTCTGGGAATGCTTCCTTGGGGGAAGTGGCATTTGATAATAACAGGAATCCCTGGTATTTATATAATGTTTTAAATTTTTTCTAAGAGATTTCTAAAAATCAATTTTCTTTTTTTGGGCTCATAATAATCCTGTAAGATCCAAGCATTGGATGAGACCAACGTCATCATAAAGAGGCCTTGACTGAGACCTGGAGATACTGACAAATTGGATTCCACTAGATGAGGCTCCTGGTCTAGTGGCCCCTCATAGTCGTGGATGGAACTTCAGTTTAGGACTTCTTAGAGGATCAGAGTGAAGTAACCTTAAAGATCTTAGTATGTGTATGGGGAGTTCCTTCCCTTTTCCTCCTGTTTTCCTGGAGAGGGACTTACGCTGAAATGGCATGCAGGTTTTGTGCCTCCTCCTTCACTCAGTCCTTTCTAGGAAGGTAGGAGTGATGTAAAGCAAGCTTGCACAACCCACAGCCCGTGGGCTTCATGCGGCCCAGGACGGCTTTGAATGTGGACCAATACAAATTTGTAAACTTCCTTAACACATTAAGAGTTTTTTTGTGATTTTTTTAAAGCTCATCAGCTATCATTAGTGTGTTTTTTTGTGTGGCCCAAGACAAATTCTTCCAATGTTGCCCAGGGAAGCCAAAAGATTGGACACCCCTGATTTAAAGGAGTGGTGAATCTGGGAAAAAAATTAGGCAGGAGAACTTGGCCTTCTGATCTTCCTTCTCTTTCTTTGGGATCTGTCTCCCTGCAGGGAGCATGTAGTCTGATTTTCTCTCATCTACGCAATTAGTGCAACAGGGCAAGCCTGCTTCTCCTGGGTTAGCCTGTCTAATTCTGGTGTACACTGTGGGGCAGCCACAGGACCAGATCAAAGCCATGTCCTCCAACAGAACATTATCTGTCGATTTAACATTATTAAACTGATATTTTGATTTTTGTCTCCCTGCTTCCTGCTGTTCTCTACTACCCAATAATGCCTGAAGAAGCTAATGATGTAACTGCAACCAAATAGGGGTGAGGATCAGACAATCTCTCCTTCTCATATTCTTTCTTGAATTTCCCTTGTAATGGTAAAATGCCTGTAAATTTTTGATTCATTTGCTGATATTTCTGTAAAGCAAGTATCCCTTAATATACAGATATAGTGTCAACTTTTCATTCCTAAAATTTTACTGGCCTAATTGTTGCAGTTTCATACACTAGCCTGACCCCAGTGGCAGTTGTTCTGTAGTTCTAGGCATAGCTGTGGCCTCTGCTTCTGGGCCTACATTTTGGAAGATGTGCAATAGAAAAATGGAGGCATGGGATACTTCCAGTAGACAGAAATGGGAGGCATATGTTGAGTTTCTCTAGTATTTTCCCTGGGTGGTATATTTGGCTGCCACTATAAAACCTCCCCACTTCAACCTAATCAGGGGCCCACTTGGGGGAAATGTCACAAAGTGTTTATGAGTTTAGTCTCAGGAGCCATGCTGAGTCAGCTTCCACTCAATGGCTGTGTCAATAGGGATTCAATGGCTTAACATGTATGAAATGTTCAGAATAGAACTTGAAATTTAGTAAGCACTCAGCAAATTTCAACTCTCTCTCTCTGAGTACCTGTATATACGATTTGTAGGAGTCATTCTACGTTTTATTGGCCGTGGATGGGAATGAATTTAGAGGATGAAGAACCCAGGAAACCTGAGAAGGGATCTCTGCTTTCCTATGCATTGTTTATGTTCTTCCAGATATGGAGGAAATAATTAATTCTGTTATATGAACAATCAAATCAAATATCTACTTATCCAATTGACCTACATCAATGGAAAAGTGAATGCGTTACAAGTAGCCAGAGAGAGAGATTTACCAGCAGAAATAGTTGTGTGGGACAATTCCACTGTGAGTGCCTGAAATGAAAGGGTAATTATCTGGAGGTGGGAACCTGGGATATACTTCCCTGAGATGATGGCAAATAAATTACACCCAATGTGGGCTGCAAGGTTTAATTTATTCAAGAGGAGAAACAGGAATTTTATAGGAGCAATGGGTTCAGATAGAAGATAGCAAGGGGAATTCAGGGTGTGGTGATCAAAAAGGACACCAAACTGTGAAATGGAGGCAGGTCCTGAACTGGTAAAGGAATGGCATGGTTAAAATCAAGGAGCTAGTATAGTCAAGACAATCCTAAGCAAAAAGAACAAAGCCGGAGGCATTACACTCCCTGACTTCAAACTATACTACAAGTCTATGGTAACCAAAACAACATGGTACTTGTACAAAAACAGACACGTAGACCAATAGAACACAATAGAGATCTCAGAAATAAGACTGCACATCTACAACCATTGAATCTTTGACAAACCTGATAAAGACAAGCAATGGGGAAAGGATTCCCTATCTAATAAATGGTGCTGGGAAAACTGGCTAGCCATATACAGAAAATTGAAAATGGACCAGTTCCTTAAACTTTATACAAAAATTAACTCAAGATGGATTAAAGATTTAAATGTAAAGCCCCAAACTATAAAAATCCTAGAAGAAAATCTAGGCAATGCCATTTAGGACATAGGCACTGGCAAAGATTTCATGATGAAAACGTCAAAAGCAATTGCAACAAAAGCAAACATTGGCAAATGGGATCTAATTAAACTAAAGAGATTCTGCAAAAGAAGCTATCATTAGAATGAACAGACAACCTACAGAATGGGAGAAAATTTTTGCAATCTATCTATCTGACAAAGGTAACTTAAACAAATTTACAAGAAAAAAACAAACAACCCTATCTAAAAGTGGGCAAATGACATGAACAGACACTTCTCAAAAGAAGACATTTGTATGGCCAACAAACATATGAAAAAAAGCTCAACATCACTAATTATTAGAGAAATGCAAATAAAAAATCACAATGAGATACCATCTCATGCTAGTCAGAATGGCAATTATTAAAAAGTCAAGAAACAACAGATGCTGGCGAGGCTGTGGAGAAATAGGAACACTTTTATACTGTTGGTGGGAATGTAAATTAGTTCAACCATTGTGGAAGACAGTGTGGCGAGTCCTCAAAGACCTAGAAATGGAAATATCATTTGACCCAGCAATCTTATTACTGGGTATATATCCAAAGGAATATAAATAATTCTATTATAAATATACATGCATGTGTATGTTCATTGCAGCACTATTCACAATAGCAAAGACATGGAATCAACCCAAATTCCCATCAATGAGAGACTGGATAAAGAAAATATGGTACATACATACCATGGAATACTATGCAGCCATAAAAGGAAGGAATTAGTGTTCTTTGCAGGGACATGGATAGAGCTGGAAGCCATTATCCTCAGCAAACTAACCCAAGAACAGATAACCAAATATCCAATGTTCTCACTTGTAAGTAAGAGCTAAACAATGAGAACACATGGACACAGAGAGGGGAACAATGCACATTGGGGCCTGTCAGGAGGCAGGGAGGAGGGAGAGCATCGGGATAAATAGCTAACGGATGTGGGGCTTAATACCTAGGTGATGGGTGGATAGGTGCAGCAAATCACCATGACATATGTTTACCTATGTAACAAACCTGCACATCCTGCATATGTATCCCGGAACTTAAAATAAAATAAAATTAAATTAAATTAAAAGAAAAAAAATACAACATTTAGTGAAATATTAAAGAAAAATCAAGGAGGTACTGACTGATAGGCAGTTTAGGGGACTGAGACTGAGAAAAGAAGAGTATTGGTATGACACCATTGGACTCAAATTTCCCAGCCCTTACATAGCTGAGAAAGAGAGAAATGGCAGCCAAGGGGAATGTCCTTCAGCATTTGCTTAGCAAATTACTCAGTAGCCATAATTGGAATTCAACAGGGAGATCCTAGAGAGGGCATTTGATGAGGTAGGCATCTTGTTTTTCTAATTTACCTTAACTACACATAGTGTATCTTTTCAGATTCTGCCATATGCCAGTAACAAGAGTTATATACTCGTACTACTTTTGGGCTATTTTTTTGTTGAATGTGGAGTGCAGCGTTTGGGCAGAACGTGGGCTCTGGAGTCAGGAAGACCTTGGTGTGAATGAGAGTTCTGCCTCTTCCTTGGTGACCCTGAGCAAGTTAATTTTCCTTGCTGACACACTGTTTCCTTATTTTGTAACATACAGATAGTTCATTGTGTATTTTAGTACTGCAATGAGTATTTAATTAAATAACTTTTGTGCCTGGTACATACTAAGGGCCCAATAAAGGCTAGTTATTGTGATTATTGTGAAAATAGGTTATCCTGGGGAGGTTCTTTTTTTTTTTTTTTTTTTTCTGAAGAAATTCCTTCCCTTTTTGGCTATCTATGGCACAGTCAGTAGACAAGTGACCATGAGGAAGGGTGAGAGGAATCTGGAGGGAAGAGTCTCCACAAATGAGAGCACCAAATATCTCCCTTGCCTGAGGCAGAGGTGGAGGTGAAGGCTTGGATTGTTTAATTCTCCAGCAGTTTGGATAAATAAGTTTCTACGCATGACCTAAGAAAACACTTTCTTCCTTTCCAACACCTTCCACAGGGCATCCTTGATCTCTTTGTTCCTCAAACTGTAAATGAGAGGGTTCAGCATGGGGATCACCAATGAATAGAAAACAGACACCACCTTGTCCCTGCCTAGCAAGTAGCTGGAGCTGGGTCGCAAGTACACGAAAAGGGCTGTCCCAAACAGCAGAGTCACCACCATCAGATGCGAGGCACACGTGTTGCAGGCTTTCCATCGGCCCTCTGCTGAAGGGATCTTCAGGACCGCAGACACTATGTAACCATAGGAGATAAGGAGTTGGAGGAACGATGTTCCTCCGACAGTGACCACCACGAGGAAATTCACCACTTGACTGAGGAAGGTGTCAGAGCAAGACAGAGCCAGGACTGGTGGGAGGTCGCAGAAGAAGTGGTTGATGATGTTGGGTCCGCAAAAGTGAAGCCTAAATATGGAGCTGGCCTGGATCAGGGAGCTCAGGAAGCCACCAACATATGCCCCAACCACCATGCGTGTACAGAGGCCCTGGGTCATGATAGTGGGGTAGAGAAGGGGGCTGGAGATGGCTGCATATCGGTCGTATGCCATAGCAGTCAGGAGGAGGCACTCAGACAGACCCATGCCGACAAAGAAAAAAAACTGAGCAGCACAGCCCACAAATGATATGGTCTTCTGCTCCCAGAAGAAGTCAGTGAGCATATTGGGAGCCACAGCAGAAGAGTAGCAGATGTCAATGAAAGATAAGTTGCTTAGGAAGAAGTACATGGGTGTGTGCAGATGGGTGTCACCTCTGATCAGAAAAATGAGGGCCAGGTTCCAGGCCAGGGTGGTAAGATAGATGCCCAGGAAGGTCACAAAGAGGAGGGCCTGGAGTTCTGGATGGTCTGTGAATCCCAGGAGGATGAACATGGTCACTGATGAGCTGTTCCAGGCTTTGGTTATGGACATGCTTCCCGTGGACCACAAGGACAAGATGCAGACCTGGGATAGTAATGACAGTCCACATTATAGGTGGTATTAGCAAATAACTACAAAATGCCTGAGAGGGAGGGCAGAGGATTACAGGTTACAGCTTTATGCAAAGACTCTCTTTCTCTTTCTCAGTCTCAGTCTCAGTCTCTCTCTCTCAAAGAAGGGAGTTGCAGTCATCATCTTAAATATTTAGGTAGTATAGTGTAGTTGATAATGAATCTAACTTTTGAACCCAAAATCCCTGGGATCAACTCCTGCCTCCACCATTTTGGGTGAGATAGCTAACATCTCTGGCTTCAATTTATTTATCCTTAAAACTGGATGATAGCAATTAATTCACAGATTTGTTTTAAGTGCCTGGCACATAACAAGTGACCAGTGAGTAATTATTAGGACAGTTCTGTGTGCCTCAGGTAAGTCAGGTCATGTCTTGGAATAACTATTCATCTACTTTACCTAAGTTTCAATATTAGGAAGGAAAGATCAACGGAACTAGGTTCAGCTATGTAGTTGTGAAACGATTAATCAGATAGAATGTTTTTAATGCAAAGGATTAGCCCACATATATGTAAAAATGCTCTTAATTGTCGAATATTGGGTCCAAATATACTAATGTAGGTTGAATTTCAAATTTATCTTAGTCTGAGCATTCTGAGTTATTATTTTATTTATTTATTTATTTCTTATTTTTTATTTTTTTTTGAGATGGAGTTTCGCTCTTGTTGCCCAGGCTAGAGTGCAATGGCAGTATCTCAGGTCACCGCAACCTCCGCCTCCTGGGTTCAAGCGATTCTCCCGCTTCAGCCTCCTGAGTAGCTGGGATTACAGGCATACGCCACCGCGACTGGCTAATTTTGTATTTTAAGTAGAGACGGAGTTTCTCCATGTTGGTCAGGCTGGTCTCGAACGACCTTGGGCGATCCGCCCGCCTCAGCCTCCCAAAGTGCTGGGATTACAGGCTTGAGCCACTGCCCCTGGCCTGAGTTGTTTAGTTGTTGAGTGTGGGCTCTGGATCTAGACTGCCTGGATTTAATTCTCAGCTTCACTTAGTAGATGTGCGATGTTGACCAGGTCACTTGAACTCTCTCTCTCTGTAAAATTAGAGATAATAATAGTATTTACTTTGTTATAGGATCTGTCTAATTATCATCTATCATCTATCTATCTATCTATCTATCTATCTATCTATCTATCTATCTATCTATCATCTCTCTATCCATCTTTATCTATCTGTCTATCATCTATCTACCATCTATCATCATCATCATGTATCATCTAATCTTCTTAGATCATGCCTGGCCCATAGTAACTGTTCTATAAGTATTTGTTGTTGTTGCTGTTGTTATTTTAAACCTAAGTTACAAAGTATCCTCAATCAAATTATTTGAATTTTTAGTGCATGAAGCATCTTTCAAGATCAGGGACTTGATTTTATTAAATCCACACCAGTAAGGACTCCCATTGCCCCCTCACACAGCCACACTGAGTCTCAATGCACATTAATCAGAAGAGAACTGTAGTCATCAGGTCTCTGAAACTGGTAGGTTTCCCTAATCCTATAGAAAGTACCAGGAAAAATGTGGTCAGAGGGCCATGTGGCTTATGGTGAATGACCCTTAAAGGTTTGGAATATATCTTGATCCTTCTTCAGTTCTTAACCCAAATAATTTGGAAATCAATGAAATTATTTTAACTGGCTTTTAAATTAAAGAACTGTGAGATATTTTGATTAATATGATCAATATACAAATGTGAACTATTGAAACAAAAAATCATGTTCCTGATTAATAAAAAAAAGGAAACTGAACATTATTATCTATCTCCTGAAATAATAACTCTTAATATTTTGGTGTATACTTTTTATGTACAAGTATATGTTTATGTGCATAGGTGTTTGTATCATAGTACACAAACCTTTGTAACTTGTATATATTATAGAAGTCATTGCAAGTCAATAACTTCACAATTTGGGAAGTAATACTCTATTTGCGCCAAATTTTTCTGCTCAATTTAGGAGAGCCACTTTATTTCGACATCCTCAATTTTCACAAATCAATCCACATCTACTCATTGCCAGTTAAGGTCTCATTGACATTCTTAATATTTTTTTCCTGGAACTTGCACAGACAGATGCCCTTGAAATTGGGGCCCATTTCTCCCCTGTCAATAGTTCCTTCTACTTATTTTTTATTGCTAAACCCCTCACATTTGGATAATGGGAGAATGTGAAGCTCCTTTTAGCTATCATCATGCTGTCATTTGTGCAGAGTTTTAGATATTCATCACATTAGTCACGCTATTGTCGGTATGACTTTAAGCTTCATCCTATATTCTAAGGTTTTGCTCCTGTTTGTGAAAGGTTTGTGAACTTTCTAGAGTCAAGAGAGGATTCTTTATCCTTCAAAGAAATAAAAGAGGAACGTGCAACAAACTTTGGCATAATCGAGAGCAGATGTAGAGTCACATGGAGAAACTGGGAGCTAAAACAAGAAGAGCTCTGCGGGAGGCCTCACACATTCCATAGAGGTACAGCCATTTGGCAAGGTAGAAACCTGAGGTCTGTGTTATGATTCAGGGTCATCTGGGGGCACCCATTCAGGTTAGAAGAAAGGGGAGTGGGAGAAGGTAGTGGTTTGATCCTGGGTAGGCTTTAGAAAAAGACTGGTTCTAATTCTGACTCTGCCACTTGCCAGCTGTGGGATGTTGGGCAACTCATTTAGCCTTTCTGAATTTCAATTTCCTCATTTGTAAAATGGGAATAACAGTGACTACTAGCCAGGTGTGGTGGTTTATGCCCACAATCCTAGCACTTTGGGAAGCAGAGGCTGGAGGATTGCTTGAGGCCAGGAGCTCGAGACCAACCTGAGAAACATGGTGAGACCTCATCTCTACAAATAAAAATAAAAATGAAAAAATTGGTAGGGTATGGTGGCATACAGCTGTGGTCCCAGCTACCAGGAGGCTGAGGTGGGAGGATTGCTTGAGCCCACAAGGTTGAGGCTGCAGTTAGTTGTGATCATGCCACTACACTCCAGCCTAGGTGACAAAGGGAGACCTTGTCTCAAAACAACAATAAAACAAACAGTAACTACTTAACAGAGCTTGAAAATTGCTTAAGATAATGTATAAAGGGATCATGGTGGGTCTTGAGATAGAATGTTTGCTTAATAAACTGGGAATGTGATTGTTATCAGCAGCAACTATTCCTTAAAATATTATTGATAGGACCGACCATTAATTTTGAAACCCTTCCTCCTTATGTAATAGGTTGAAGTATGCTTATGTTAGAGAAATAAGAAGTTCACTAATGGACCATGCAGATTTGTAAGAAGTGTTTACGAGTGAGGTTGAGGAACTTAATGATTGGAGTCTGATGGGTTAATTGAAAGTCTGTTTTGAATATTGTCATCAGGAGGGAGAAATTTTGTATTTAAGGATGAGATTTCCCAGTCCCAGAAACAGAAAGTGGAGCTGGACAAATTGAAACAAAAGGAAAAGCATATGTAGAGTTTTTTTCCCACATATGGATGCCCTGCAGCTTATTTTAGAACATTAGAGAGAAGGTATCTTAAGGATTGTATGGAGTGCTTTATGGCATGGAACTCTGTCATGAAGAGGTGCTTCTTCCCTTGAGAGGGAAAGGAAGTTTTATTCACTCTTGCAGCAAACTTGGGGAGCCTGGACTCCCTACAATTCTATGATATAATCAACACCAGGTATAATCAACACCAGGTCTATTTTACAGAGCTGAAGAGGAAGAGTCTGAGAGGCTCAGTGACCTCATTAGACTCATAGATGCAGTTCCAGCATCTTTGTGAACTACACTATCCTTGACTGACACGGGAAGATAATAATACAGTAAAACCAAGCACCTAGCACAGACCTTTGCACATAGAAGATACTGGATAATTGATGGGGACTCGTAGAGTTGATTTATGATTCTGTTCATTTTCCATCAAATATATCTGGAAGAAGTGTTAAACTTTGTAACAAAATTTGCCTCATTTGAGCTTCACAGACACAGTTTGTGATGGAGGAAAACATGGAATGATAAGGACCTCAGCCAAATTGTGGAGTTGGAGGTGTTCTGTGATTTCCCCGCCAATCCTGATCTGGTGTCCTTCACTTCATAATGCCATTTTCCTCTCATCCCTGCCAGTGCCTGGTGCCCTCAAGATACTGCTCTTCCAGGTCTTTCTTTTATCTGAATGTACAAATGATTGATGAAATGAGGAGTTCCTCTCAATGTAAGGTGACAATGCTAAAGGGGTCAAGACTTTAATTCAAGAATTAAGATTCAGATGGTATCATTCATAGCATTAGTGAGAAAAGAGAAGGAGAGTTTTGGAGTTTAGAGGCCTCTGCAGTGTTTGGAAAATCTGCTGTGTAAAGTGTGTCTGGATTACAGGCCTTCTAAATTACTTTTTGGATTGCTTACTAATAATTGAGGCTGTGTGTAAGGGCATAGAAGTTCCTTCAGAAATGTCATTCCCTTTTAATCATCTTGGTAGTTGCAAGGGCTCAAATGTACTTCAGGAAGCTCATCACGGGAGCAGTAGAGAAGAACCAATATTGGGCTGTGATTTCAGAATCAGGCTCTTAAATGCCTCACTCAGATTATCACGGTGAGCAAATTTCCCTCCTTAGAGTAACCTTGGTTTTTGAAAAGATTGGTTTCATATTTGTTCTACCTTAGCATCTAATAGTATGCTGGGTTTACTGTTCACAAAATTTGTAATGAACAATTAATGCATTTATAAAGCTAATAATTCATCATGATTTTCTGAAGACTTAAAAAAAATGCTACTGAACATTTAATAGTCAACTGATTACCAGTTGAAGAGAACATGTGTCTCTTTTAGCTCTCTTTTAGTAATATGTCCCATTTAAGACAATATAGAATAGTGTATTAGGCCGTTTTTCAGGACTACCTGAGGCTGGATAATTTATAAAGAAAAGAGGTTTAATTGGCTCACAGTTCGGCAGACAGTACAAGAAGTGTGGCGCTGGCATCTGCTTCTGGTGAGGGCTGCAGGAAGCTATAATCACGGCGGAAGGTGAAGGGGGAGTAGACATCTCATATGGTGAGAGCAGATGCAAGAGAGAGAGAGCAACAGAAAGGGGCCAGGCTCTTTAAACAACCAGCTGTTGCCTGAATTCACTAATCACCAAGGGGATAGCACTACCCCATTCATGAAGGATCCGCCCCATGGGCCAATCACCTCCTACCAGGCCCCGCCTCCAACAATGGGGATTACATTTCAACATGAGATTTGGAGGGAAGAAACACTCAAACTATATCAAACAGGGTCCAGCTTATCGTATACAACAATTAATAAAACACTGCACTGGGAAAATTATTCAACTGATAAATCAAGAGCATAGAATTATCTGAGACAGACAACAAACTTGTATGTAAATCCTAAATTTCTGCATGTTATCTGGAATTTCAATTTTGAATTGGAGAAAGCTCAAATATGAAAAGAATAATGTACATTTAAAAAACTTTGGCAAAAAAATCTGTAAATTCAAAGTTTCCATATTCTACTTAAGTACTTAAATGACAGCAGAGAATGCTTGAAAACAAAATAGTATACAGCAGACTTCTTGAAAAGTATAGTACCGAAAATAAATGAGCTATCAAGCCATGAAAAGACATGGAGGAAACTTACGTGCATATTACTAAGTGAAATAAATTAACCTGAAAGGCTACGTAGGGTATGATTCCACCTATAAGACATATTGGAAAAAGCAAAACTATGGAGACAGTAAAAAGATCAGTAGTTGCTAGGGGTCAGGGAGAGGGAAGGGTGAACAGGGAGAGCACAGAGGGTTTTTAGGACAGTGAAGCTACTATGGATGATCCTATAACAGTGGATACATGTCATCATACATTTGCCCAAACCCACGGAATACACAACACTAAGAATGAACCCAAATGTTAACTATGGATTTTGGGTGATAATAATTTGCCAATGTAGGTTCATTGATTGTAACAATGTACCACTGTGGTGGGGGAGATTGATCATGGAGGAGGCTATGCATGTGTAGGAGTAAAAGGATAAATAGGAAATCTCTGGTCAATATTGCCGTGACTCTACAATTGCTCTAAAAAATAAGGTCTATTTTTTAAAAAGTACAAAAAAAGATTTGGCTGAATTTGAGGAAAGACAAATAGCATTGAGAGGTGCAGGGAGAAAAACTAAAAGTCAAAGAACTTATTGGTTACCTATATGGGCTTGTGGATATAGGGAATTCTATCATGTGAGATTAATATGGGCATGAAGACAAAGAGCAAACTGCACTTACCCTGTTGCTCCTGCTCTGTCTGCCCTTTAGCTGATACCTGTTTTGAGTTGTTCTGCTTTGGAAGGAGTTTAATTGGGTTTCAGTGGCTGCTTCCAATTACCAAAGTGCTAATGAGTTTGGAGAGAGCTTGCGGCTGGTTTTTTCATCAAGGATCAAAATATCCTCTTGGTGCATAGAAGGTGTGCTTTGGGGCAGAGTAAAGGAAGAAAAAGATATATAAAGAAAGGATGGAGGTTGTAATCTTTAAGAAGCTCTTCTGGCATCAGCTAATATCTGCATTTAGGGTCATTTTGAGAAAATGTTCAAAGCTGGGGTTGGGGGTAAATTGGGGAGAGGTTTTTTTCTTCTGTCCTTGGAGATGTTTCATTATATTTGCTCCTGAGGGTCTTTTTGAAAGGGAGGAATGTATCACCCGAACTTCACAGCTTTATGATTAATTGCTCTCTGGGGTTGTCTAGAACGCAAACTCTAAAAGCTCCAAAACTGATGCTTATTAAACTCCATCCCAGTGGCTAGGGCCTCCAATCCCCCAAGGCCAATCAAGATATTTTCTGGTAGTACCTGACGAAAAAACTCAGGATAGCAGTGGAACATAAGGATAGGTTAAACACCACTCCACAAAATAAAGCAAAATTGCCTATCTATAAATACATATTTATTGACTCTATTCCATTACTTAGTAGAACCTATTTGGCCAGAAGTATGCTAAAAGGATGGGACCTTAACCTTCCTGAGCTCCTCTTATGTGCTAAGCACTATACTATGTGCCTTATGTGTGTTAACTCACTAAGTTCTCCCCAATTCCCCGTGCAGAGGAGGAAACCGAAATTCAGAGAAGCTAAATAAATTGATCGAAATTTTATGCTAGTAAGGGATTGATCTGATATTTGAACTCTGTGTAATACCAAACACTGCATATAAATATATGACACATGCACTTATTTTGAAACTCACATAAATGTGTTGATATGGTCAATCATACCCCTCAATTCATAAATCCATTTTCTTTCCACAGAAACCTACTATCTTCCTCCAGGAAAGAGACATTAGAAATAGGGCATTTTTTTCTTAAAACATTTTAAAAAACTTATTCTGCTATGGAATATAAAGGTGTAATATAAAGATGTAGAACTTTTATTCTATGGAGAGCTACATACAAATAAAAAGTAATATGGGGCCACACATTTAACAAAATCAAGCCATTAGTACATGTGCTTTCAGGTGGAGGGGAAAAAGTAAAATATTTGATTCTCTTGTTTCTTAAGCTGAGAACATGGAACTTCGGTCTTTTCAAAGTAGCTACAATAAACAGTGGATGACTGATCTCAATTCCATGACTACTTAAAGGAGAGAAAGCTATCCAACCAGGCAGAGAAAAAAATGGTTGGAGAGTAGAATTCAAAGGAAAAACATGGATAAGGGAGAAATTATTCGTTCGTGCATTCCTTAAGTATGTATGTATTTATTTATTGAGAGTTAGGTCTCTTTGTTTATTTATTTATTTAAATTGACAAATGCCAAATTGTATATATTTATGTTATATAACATAATGTTTTGATATATGTATACATAGAAGAATTATTAAATCAAGCAAATTAACATATCCATCAGCTCACCTACTTATGATTTTTCTGATGACAACATTTTAAAATCTACTTTTTCAGTGATTTTCAAGTATACTACACACATTATCATTAATTATAGTCACCATGCTGTACAACAAATCTCCAAAATTTATTTCTCCTGTCTAACTGAAACTTTGTACCTTTTAAGTGACATCTCCCTGCTCCCCCTACCCCTGCCCCTGAGAGCCACCATTCTACTCTCTGCTTCTATGAGTTCAGTTTTTTTTAGATTTCACATAATTGAGGGCATACAGTATTTGTCTTTCTGTGCCAGGTTTATTTCACTTGCCATAATGCCCTCCAGGTTTATTCATGTTGTAGCAAAGGACAAGATTTTCTTTTCTTTGAAGGCAGAATAGTGTATATATACTATATATTCTTTAGCCATTCATCCATTAATGGACATTTAGCTTGATTTCATATTATGGCTATGCTCAATAGTGCTGCAATAAACATGAGAGTGCAGTTATCTCTTTGACATATTGATTTCATTATTTTTGGATATATACCCAGTAGTGGGATTGCTGGGTCATATAGCAGTTCTAAGTTTAGTTTTTTGAGGCATATCTATACTGTTTTCCAGAATGGCTACACTTACTATATGCTACTTGTTTTTTATTTTTATTTTTTGCCATTCTAATAGATACAAGTGGGGTTTAGTTTTGATTTTAATTTCTATTTTGTTAATGAATAGTGGTGTTGAGTATCATATGTCCATCCATGTATCTATTTTGCTGAATTATATGTTCACATATATTTTGCCCATTTAAAAAATTTCTGAAATGTAAAACTTAGTTTTGAAAGTTCTTTATATATGCTACATACAATTCCTTTATCAAATATATAATTTGAAAATATTTTTTCCAATCTGTAACTTGTCTTTTCATTCCACTAATATTTTTTGAGAGCAGAATCCTCAATTTTTGCAATGTCTCATTTATCATTTTTCCTTTTATTAATTGTGTGTTTGGTGTAACACCTAGGAAATCTTTGCATAATGCAAAGTCATAATGATTTTTTTCTATGTTTTCCTCTAGAAATTTTATAATTTATATTTTACATTTAGTTGTATGATTTAATTACTTGTGTATGGTGTGAAGTAAAAACTGTTTCATATTTTGGCACAGTGGCATCTAATTGTCCTAGCATTATTCGTGGAAAAGTATATTCTTTCTCATTTGAGCTGTTTTTTGCATATTGATGAAAGTCATTTGATTGTAAGTATGTGGGTCTATTTCTGTTCTTCAGAACAGAACTGTCTATTCTGTTTCATTGATATATGTATTCTTTTCTTTCTCCAATATCATACTTTCTTAATTATTGTAGCTGTATGCGTATCTTTTTAAAGCAAGTAATGTGTGTCCCTCAACTTTGTTCTTCTATTTCAAAACTATTTTGGCTCTTCTAGTTCCTTTATCTTTCCATAAATATTTTATTTTATTATTTTTATTTTTTCAAAATGATCAGCATCAACATAAAAATTTTTAGAATCAATTTGAAAATATCTACAGAAAATCCTGTTGATATTTGATTTAAAATGTATTGAATATAGGATCTATTTTGGGGGAATTGATATTTATTATGGCACTACATTGAGTCTTCTAATCCATACACATGCTATATATCTCCACATATTTAGATAATTGGTTTCTTTCATCAGTGTTTTATAGTTTGCTGCACACAGATCTTGTACTTATTTCATTAGGTTTATACCTAAGTATTTCATGTTTTTAAAAATGCTATTGTATTGTAAATGATACACTTGAAAATTTCAATTACCAATTATTTACTAATAGTGTTCAATTACTAATTGTTAATTACTAGCTCAATTACCAATTGTTTACTACAGTTAATTTTTATAATTTGACTGTTTATTGGGGCACTGCTTAACTTACTTATTAGTTCTTGAACCTATGCTATAGATTCTTTGGGATTTTCTACACTCATATTATTTGTGGATGATATGGTTAGGCTTTGTGTCCCCACCCAAATCTCATCTTGAATTGTAATCCTCAAGTGTTGAGGGAAAGACCTGACGGTAGGTAACTGAATCATTGCGGTAGTTTCCCCCATTCTGTTCTCATGATAGCGAGTGAGCTCTCATGAGATCTGATGGTTTTATAAGGGGCTCTTCCCGCTTCGCTGTCTCACTCTCTCTCTCCTACTGCCATGTGAAGGAGGTCCTTGCTTCCCCTTCACCTTCCACCATGACTGTAAGTTTCCTGAGGCCTCCCCAGCCATGTAGAACTGAGTCAATTAACCTTTTTCCTTTATATATTACCCAGTCTTGGGAAGTTCTTTATAGCTATGTGAAAACAGACTAATACATTGTATAAAGGAAGTTTTATATTTTTCTTTGCAATCTATGTAACTTTTACTTATTTTTCCTGCTTTATTGATAAGAACTCCAGTACAATGTATAAAATGAATGGTGAGAGCAGACATCATTGCCTTTTTCCTGATCTTAGGAGAAAAACATTTAGTTTTTTACTAGTAAGTGTCATAATAGCTGTAGGGTATTTTTGTTATTAACCTATGAACTATATCAGATTGCAGGTGTTCTTTCTAATCCTAGTTTGCCAAGAGTCTTTATCATAAATGGATGCTGGATTTTTTAAAAGACATATACTGAATTGATTGATTTTATATATTTTCTCCTTGATTTTCACTTTATTGATAAAGAGAGATTCATTGACTGATTTTAAAATGTCGAACCAGACTTACATATTTTTGAGGATAAATCCAACTTGGAAATATGTATATAATGTATATCCCTAACCAGGTAGTTGGATTTGAGAGAAGGTAATTCCCAAAGAACCTAATTCTAAGAGAGAGAAGAGAACAAGAGCCATGCAGTCGATCTTCAGGAGTGGAATCCTAAAGCAGAAGCAGTTGCAATTTTCAATTCTAAAAGCCAGGGTAGCCATGGGAGGCAGTTCAATAAAGACATAGCCAGGAGTTACTCTGGTACCAAGGAGGAGTCACCAGCTGCATTTGTTTATTGTTTTCTTGCCTTCAGCCCTCACAGTTGTAGGTGAAAATATGTTATGTATGTATGTGTATGTGTGTGTGTGTGTGTTGGGGTAACAGAATGGACATGAGAGATGGTAGGCTCGTTGTAATCGTCAAAGATTCTCTCTCCCTCTATACCCTTACATGTGGGAATAATCCTCAAAGTCTTGTCTGTGGTCTGTTTTTCATCTTCTACACATTTTACCTAGGCTCTTTCCTCTTATCTCAGAGTTTAAATTAATAATGCTATGTATAACCACTGTTCTTGCCCACATCAGCTGGAAGACTGAAACATGATCACAATAATAGTTATCAGACAAAGTTTCCAGGGTGTCTTACTACCCCAGATTCCTTTGAATTCCTTCTATACCCACATAGTCCTCAAAATTCCTCCTAGTTCTGGAAGCCATCAGGGAGTGGCTCACATACTCTTTGTATAATAATCTACTATTGTGTTATCTATTGTTTTCCTTCTTTCCTGTTATGGATCAGGATGGTATTTCCTGCAGATAGTCACCATGTCACTAGCTCTGATGCACAACAGTGTCTCATGGCTAAGATGCTGGCATTGAAGACACAGGTATCTGCATTGAGAGCATCATACCCTGATGCTACCCAAACTGCTGGCATTAGTACTACTTGCACGTCAATACTCTTTTCAGTTTCTTTTTTCCAGCATTCTTTTCCCAGTCCCTTTGGGCCAGGACTCAGGAATGTGTCTTTGGGCTGGGCTGAAGGATAATTTAAGTGATAGAAAACTGGTTCTTTCCAGAACCTCCTTTCTCTTCTGAGCTCAGGTCATTGTTCTGAAAGTAGATGAGTACCTTGTGATTCTTTTCTTTTGAGATGCTCCCTTTAAGAGTTCCTGAGGGAAATTCATTTCAATGGATGTTTAGTCAGTGCAATGTTCAAAGCCTTCTTGGAAAATTTATACTCATGATGTTGTCAATTCATATGAGTCCTCAAATACCCTGATAAGTAGAGAAAATTGTGCTTTATTTTTTGCATTAACATTATTTAAAATCTTCACTGCAACTTTCACTATATCAATGATTAAGCATATTTTCATTTGATTTGGAATTAACACTTAAAATTTCCTAATGATTCATTTTTTAGTTTAAGTTTTACCTAGCAATTTAATGAGAGTTTAATATTTTCAAGTGTTTTTCAGGGGCATAAAATTTACATTATTTACAAATAATTAGGGCTATGATAATACTAAGTACATGAATAATAAAAATGACCCTGAAACCTAAGGTAATTGTTTATTAAAAAATACTGTGCCAAGATTGACTAAAAATGAAAGTTTTTGAAAACCATATCCAAATTAGATGACATTTTAATGAAAACATATAGCTAACTGGTATTTAATAAAAACATATAGTTAGCCAGGGACAACAATAATATAGATTCTCATGCTATTTCTAATAAACTAATTATCAGAATATTACAGCTGGAGATGTTTCTTCTGAGACAAATGGGCAATTTAAAAATCAACATGATAACCCCTCATGTTTGAATAGATTATATAATGGTTTTCATATAGATTGTATATTATATGCTCTTCACACAAACATACAATGTTGATATATTTGGTGCACTTTCAGAGATAAAGGAAAAGCTTATGTAAGATCAACTGAGGCATCCAAGACCACACACTGGCAATCGGATGGATTTCAGCCCATGACGTGTGGTCCCCACTACCAATTATTTTTACTTCTGATGCCTACTCTTCTCATTTGCTCTCTTGTTATGTCATTGTATCTCTTTTTAAATATTTAAAAATCTGCTTTAAAAAAATTATACCATGAATGTAAACTTATGACATACCTGTTTTCAGTTACGTCACCCTTATCCAAACATATTTGCTTATTATTGTTATTTACCATTTACATTATGCTTAGTATGTTGCCCCTCTCCCTGATCTAGTTTATTTCTCAGAATTGAACTTCATGATAATATTGAGTTCAGGTGCTTGAGAAGCACATGGTACAGTGCTTGGATCACAGTGAGGATGTAATGTGTTTGAGGATGATCAATCACTATTGCAACTGACCCTACAATTTAGGCATATTTCCACTAGGTGGCAGCAACATTCCATACGGATAAAAACCAATAGGTGCTTGGTTTTGACAGACAATGGTTTAGTAATTAAGTTATCTTAGCAGTAATCATGCTGTTTGAGTTTTTAGAGGTTTTCTATTCTAGCTCTTTGGTTTCAGAATAAAAAAAGTTGAGGTCCAGAGAGGGGTCAAGAGAGATCAACAGCGCAATCTGCCATAGTAGAATGGGAATTATAATTCAGGTCCTATGATGCCTTTGCGCTTTCCCTCTTGTATAAATTGTTAAAGACCTCTAAAACTTTTCAATATACCTTCACTTTGGGTTTGTTAGAGATGTCTTGTGAAAACACTTTGGATCCATATCAGGTTGAAATTTTTCCTAGTCGCTAGTGGAAGAAATGCACCCTGAGATAACTTTTCAAATTCCAATTTGAGAGTTAAGATGTTTTACTACTAAGGATATTTGGATTTTTCTCTGGGTTTTCTTTGAAATGATTCAAGTAAACTCATTAAAATAGCTATGCTAAAATGTTAAGCTAAAATGAAAGTAAATCATATTTCAGGAGATGCTGTCAGAGAACAAACTCTAAGATGCATAGAATCCTAGGGAGATAAATTTTGAGTTGAACATCAAAGCACTTCCAATTCTAAACACTTATAATTCGATATGGAGTTTATTTGCCTTTATGTGCTATTTGCTTTCATACTTTTTTATTGTGGTAAAAAGCATATGACATTAAGTTTACCATCTTTATTAGTTGGGGTTCTCTAGAGAGACAGAACCAGGAGGATGTATGAATAGATAGACAGATAGATGAATAGATGGACAGATATTAACAGATGGGTAGGTGAGAGTGGGTTTATCAGGAGAACTGGCTCATGAGATTATGGAGGCTGAGAAGTCCCATAATGTGACATCTGCAAGCTCAACAATCACAGAATCCTGACTTCCTGAGCATGGTTCAGTCTAAGTCCAAAGGCCTCCAAACCAAGAAAGCCAACGGTGTAACTCTCAACATGAGGCCAAGCACCTGATAAATTAAGGGGCTACTAATGCAAATCCCAGACTCCAAAGGAGACCCTGGAGATGTGATGTCAAAGGAAGAGAGAAAGATATCTCAACTTCAGAGGAGAGAGGGGGAATTTACTTTTCCACTGCTTTTTTGTTCTTTCCAGGCCCTCAACTGATTGGAGGGTGCCCATCAACATTGAGTGAGGGTGGATCTTCCTTACTCAGTCCACTGGTTCAAAACATCCTCTGTCTTACAGACATACCCAGAAATAGTGCTTTACCAGCTATCTGGATATCTCTTAATCCAGTCCGGTTGACACCTAAAATTCACCATCACATCATCTTAATTATTTTTAAGTGTAAACGAGTAATATTAAATATATTCATATTGTCCCGTAACATATTTCCTTTGCTACTTTCTGATGTTCACTGAAACTTCTGCTATTTTGATCAAATTTGATTTTTTAAAGTAAGGGCATGAAGAGTTTATGGTTTTATCCAGATGGATTTAATAGGATGACTTTCTTCCTCATTCTCAGATTTCTTATAGACTAGGTTAATAAATACATTCTGAGTCCTCATTCTGCATTTTTCTGTCCAATGCAGACATTGTTAATTTATAATTTGTTCTTTTTTTATTTCAATAGCTTTAGGGGTACAAGTGGTTTTTGATTACATGGATGAATTCTATTAGTGATGAATTCTGAGATTTTAGCGTACCTGTCACTCAAACAGTGCACACTATACCCAATATGTAGTCTTTTATTCCTCATCCCACTTCCACCCTTCCCCCTGAGGCCCCAAAGTCCATATCACTCTGTATGTCTCTGTGTTCTCACAGCTTTGCTCCTACTTATAAGTGAGAACATACAGTATTTGGTTTTCCATTCCTGAGTTACTTCATGTAGAATAATGGCCTCCAGCTCCATCCAAACTGGTGCAAAAGAAATTATTGCTCTTTATTCTTAAGATTCTCAATCTTACTTTGTAGATAGTCATTATCACTATAATCAGAGTTGCCATGACAGATGAAATCTATCACTACCCTATCTTATCAGCCTTTTCTTTTTCTTTTTCTTTTTTTTTTTGAGACGGAGTCTCTCTCTGTCGTCCAGGCTGGAGTGCAGTGGCGCGATCTCGGCTCACTGCAAGCTCTGCCTCCCGGGTTCATGCCATTCTCCTGCCTCAGCCTCCTGAGTAGCTGGGACTACAGGTGCCCGCCACCACGCCTGGCTAATTTTTTTTTTGTTTGTATTTTTAGTAGAGACGGGGTTTCACCGTGTTAACTAGGATAGTCTCAATTTCCTGACCTCGTGATCTGCCCGCCTCGGCCTCCCAAAGTGCTGGGATTACAGGCATGAGCCACCGCGCCCGGCCCTTATCAGCCTTTTCTAATCCTAGAAAAATGTATCCTTCATAACTGTGAGATCTACCTTTTAAATTTCCCAGATCTTAACTCAGTATCAAACTCTTTCATAGTTAGTTGGGGTTTACTCTTTCAGCATCAGAATTTCCTAGGACAGTTTATCTTCAAACTTAGATAAGAATGTTTCTTTTGAGGATGGACTTCCTTGCCTTTTCATGTTCACAGTTGATTCTTGAAGACATTTACCTCCGTTTCTGTCAACAGTCTTAGTTGCTAAATTTCTTCCCTAAATTAAGCCTGTTACCTTGTAAGTCAAGAGTCTCAGTAATTATACCCCTTTATATAGAAGACATTTCTCTCATTTAATTTTTTTTCTTTTGAGACTGAGGATTGCTGACTTAGTCTCCATGAAATAGATGAATTCATTTTTTATAAACTTTATTTCTGAAGAAAACATTTAAAAAAACAGGAAATCAATGTTTTGAAACATCAGACTTTCAGGGCTGGAGGAATTCTTGGAGAGTGAGCCCAATTCACTCAGGCTGGAGGGGTTAATTGACTTGCCCACAGTGACTCATCCAGGTAGTGGCATTGCTGGTAGTAGCACCCAAAATATTAAAAAGAGAAAAGAAGAGCCCCATCAAGCCCTTCATCCCATCCAGCCTCATTAAAAAAAATAAAGAGAAAAGAAATCTTTTCATCGTGATGCAAATAAGTCACAATAAAAAGATAGAAAGGAAAGACATATTTTTGGCCATGACCCAAGAAACAGAGTTAATGACATCATTAGTTTACATTCATTGAGTGATTTCTGTTTGTTAGGCACTGTGCTAAGCCTTTCTTATTCACAGCTTATTTAATTATCACAACTCTGTTGAGGTAGGTATTCTTGTTACACCAGTTTTACAAATGAGGGAGTTGATAAGTTTAAGACATTAAACAACATTGAACATGTTTATATTGATAAAAGGGCAGAGCCAGAATTTAAACCCAATTCTCAGAGTTGGAAACATGTGTTTCTAACCAGTATATTTCAGCACAAGGCTTGGTGTGTTTATGTGTGATTTACTTCTGATGAAATTTCTTTTAAGCAAAAGGCATCTACTAACCCAGCAGGGAGTCTTCCTGGACTCAAATCAGGGAAAGCTCAGAGAAGAATAGGTAGGGGGATGGAAAGAGGCTCCCGTGATGAGCGGTTGGCTCTTTTCGCCACCACTCCAGGGAACAATTAGTGCTCAGAAATGTTTAGCTCTAATGATTGCTGGGCTTTTTATGTTGGACCCTGGAGTGAGTGGCAGAGGGCAGCCTCTTGGGGAAAGAATGTGGCTACCTCTGCCCATTAAAATAATGAACTCCCACAGCCCATTTATTTGGAAGACTTGTTAACAAAGGAGCGGAGATTCCAGAAGCATGGTTTACTATTTACATGAGGCCAAAGCATAAGAAATTGATGGAACGAGAAACCAGCCATGGAGCAGTGGGAAATGCAGATGATCTGGTTTGCAAAAGATGTTATGGCAACAAAGCAATCAATATTTCTTCTCTTGTAGCACAAGATTGCAGGACCCTTCTGCCCAATGCAATCCAGTAAGTCCAGCTCATTCCCTCCTACCTCATCCATTCAGCAGCAAATCACAACTATGCATTTACAGCCTATTCTACCTTTTATTTGTAAAATGGGGCGAGAAACGCTGCCACTTCTTGAGTCTATTAGGAGAATTAAATGGGTTTATAAAAATCAAGTCTTTCAAACAGTACCTCGCACACAATAAGTACTAAATAAGTGTTTGATTATATTATTATATTATGATCGTTATATGATTATTGTTTGTGATTAATTATATATTATGTGTTTTGTTCTTATAATAGTAACACACCAAATATAGTAAGTCATAGGCCAAACCCTTCTGGTAAACTCTGAGGATAAGTGGTGGAAAAAAATCTATTTATTCAGCAAAATATTTAGTGGGCACCTATGTCCCAGGCCCTGTTCTTTGTACTTATGATAAAACTGTCTTTGCAAAATTATAACTGAGGAAATTATGACAGTCAAAGAAATCATATCTACCTGACTCCATCTTGCTTCTAATCTTTAAGCTGTCTTTGTCCATTCTTGGGCATAAGCTGAAGTAACTTTGGGAAGGAATTCAGTTCATGGTTTGACTCTGAAACAAAATTAATAGCAGCTCTTTCCTGAAGAGACCCCCCTTTTGCCTAGGGACCAGTCTGTCTTTGCAGGACTAACAAATTAGCTGCAAGATTAGAAATTACTGTTTAGGGGTCATGCAGCCTCTGACTCCAAGAGTATAAACCTTCCCAAATTGGCCCCGGGGATAACATCACTACTGTAAAACCTAAGATCAGTGCTTGAGATATTTTGCAGACCCTGCACTAGATGGATCAGCTGACACCACCCAGACCCGTTAACTGGCTCAACCAGTTCTGCCATCCCACCCAGGAACAGAAGACAGCAAGAAAAACTCACTTCGACCCATTTGATTCCATCTCCAGCCTAACCAATCAGCATTCCCCACTTCCCAAGCCCCTACTCGCCAAATTATCTTTAAAAACTCTGATCCCTGATGCTCAGGGAGACTAATTTGAGTAATAATAAAACTCCAGTCCTCCTGCACAACCAGCTCTGCCTGAATTACTCTTTCTCCATTGCAATTCCCCTGTCTTGATAAATGAGCTCTGTCTAGGCAGTGGGCAAGGTGAACCCATTGGGTGGTTACAAGGATAGATCAGGAAACAGAATGGGCAAAACTCCCTGCCTGTCTTTGAGTAACTTACATTCTGGTAGGGAAGATTTCACCAAGATAAGAGATACCAAATTCCTCTTACTTCCTTTTTGATAGGATTAAATAGATTGATGTTTTAGTGAAGATCAATCTAGGCTCGTCTTGGTTTTGACTGCTTGACCAGTGATTTGAGGGGAGATTAGAAATTTGTAAAAAACACAAAGCTAGGAGCAGTTTTTAATATGATAAGTGACACAGAACCACAGTTACCATTGGGTGCAAACATGCATGGGCAAACAAATTCCATACAAATAATAAAATACAGCAACCTTAATTTCACCACTGAGTCTTTCTCAGGGCATTTCTGCCTCTTTATACGCATTTGTATTTCCTAATTTTTAAAAAAAATTTCCTTTTTTTTTTGAGACAGGGTCTCACTCTGTCATCCAGGCTTGAGTGCAGTGGCACAGTCATGGTCATGGCTCACTGCAGCCTAGACCTCCTGGGCTCAAGTGATCCCCCTCACCTCAGCCTTCCAAGTAGCTGGAACTACAGGCATGTGCCACCACACCCTGCTAAGTTTTGTATTATTATTATTGTTATTATTTTTTGAGACGGAGTCTCGCTCGGTCACCAGGTTGGAGTGCAGTGGCATGCGATCTCAGCTCACTGCAACCTCCGCCTCATGGGTTCAAGCGATTCTCCTGCCTCAGCCTCCCCAGTAACTGGAACTACAGGCACATGCCACCATGCCCAGCTAATTTTTGTATTTTTAGTAGAGACAGGGTTTTGCCATATTTTCCAGGCTGTTCTCAAATTCTTGAGCTCAAGCAATTGGGCTGCCTCCACCTCCCAAAGTGCTGGGAGTGAGCCACTGTTCCTGGCCTGTTTCCTCATTTTGATCTTACATCAGTGCCAGTCTGTCTTTCTTAACTGCCAGATATGTATGGGCTTACCTCTTGTCTTCATAGTCATCGTCTGTTCTGGCCTGATGACATCAAAGTTGTCCCTTGCTTATCACTGTCTTTAAATATTGAATGAACCCTCTTCTCCCTGCTGCTTTTCTTGCCCAGGAAATATTGATTGCTGTTTGTTCTTGACCACAATGGCTCAGCCCATCTCAGTCAGCTTAGGTACGGCTCCCCTTTCCCCTTTATGGAAACCTGTTCATATCCCTTCTTTCCTATAATTGTGCTGACCGTGCTAGTCCAAATTTTTGTCATTCTATGAATTTTGTGCAATGACTTTTCTTAAGAGCATTATATAATTAGAATAAATGTTCTGGTCTTAAGCATGCTAAGTGTGTGTGTGCATATATATGCACAAACATACACATATATACAATTATCCCTGCACACACACATATAACATATATATATATACAAATATACATATACACACAAATATGTATACACACACACACACACAAATTTTTTTCCCACTTAGTTTTACTACCTAGAAGAATAGATTGTTAGACCATTGCCTGGATTTCCTCCACCAAAATGGAATATGTCAAAAATTGTAGCCCACTAAATTCAGTTCCCTTCTTTTGAGTTCTCATACTAAAGATCTATAATGCTTAAAAATGCCTAACTTTATTATACTTTATTTATTTACACTTTATTTTCAAGTCAGAAAGTCTAAAAAAGCCATAGGGAACCCAAATCCAAAGGGACACTTCAAACTCATCTGATTCAACCCTCTCCTTTCCCATTTGGGAAAATGAGAATCTGGAGAAATGACTTTTCCAAAGTCCTCAGCAAGTTATGAATGGAGCTGAAGACAAAACTCAGGCTTCTGACTCCCAATCAGTTTCTACTTTATTATTAGATGGATTCTCTTTTGGTCAACAAGCATAGAGCATATGGATTATCCTAGGCTGACTTCCTCTGAAAAGTCTTTGCCTAGCAGGTGGCTGGGCTTTAACTGGGTGTAGTTTAACTTGTTGCTGACTGTTTGTATGATCTTCTAGGAAATACCCACTCTTACAATAACAAACAAAATCTAGCTGACCACAGGATTCTTAAAGAAGAAAGTAAAGACTTTATGCAGGAAGCAGGCCTATGGCTGTAGGAAGGAACAACACAATTGTGACAAAATTCATTCTCCTGGGACTTTCAGACCATCCTCAAATGAAGATTTTCCTTTTCATGTTATTTCTGGGGCTCTACCTCCTGACGTTGGCCTGGAACTTAAGCCTCATTGCCCTCATTAAGATGGACTCTCACCTGCACATGCCCATGTACTTCTTCCTCAGTAACCTGTCCTTCCTGGACATCTGCTATGTGTCCTCCACCGCCCCTAAGATGCTGTCTGACATCATCACAGAGCAGAAAACCATTTCCTTTGTTGGCTGTGCCACTCAGTACTTTGTCTTCTGTGGGATGGGGCTGACTGAATGCTTTCTCCTGGCAGCTATGGCCTATGACCGGTATGCTGCAATCTGCAACCCCTTGCTTTACACAGTCCTCATATCCCATACACTTTGTTTAAAGATGGTGGTTGGCGCCTATGTGGGTGGATTCCTTAGTTCTTTCATTGAAACATACTCTGTCTATCAGCATGATTTCTGTGGGCCCTATATGATCAACCACTTTTTCTGTGACCTCCCTCCAGTCCTGGCTCTGTCCTGCTCTGATACCTTCACCAGCGAGGTGGTGACCTTCATAGTCAGTGTTGTCGTTGGAATAGTGTCTGTGCTAGTGGTCCTCATCTCTTATGGTTACATTGTTGCTGCTGTTGTGAAGATCAGCTCAGCTACAGGTAGGACAAAGGCCTTCAGCACTTGTGCCTCTCACCTGACTGCTGTGACCCTCTTCTATGGTTCTGGATTCTTCATGTACATGCGACCCAGTTCCAGCTACTCCCTAAACAGGGACAAGGTGGTGTCCATATTCTATGCCTTGGTGATCCCCGTGGTGAATCCCATCATCTACAGTTTTAGGAATAAGGAGATTAAAAATGCCATGAGGAAAGCCATGGAAAGGGACCCCGGGATTTCTCACGGTGGACCATTCATTTTTATGACCTTGGGCTAATGTTTACAATGAAGCTGTGAGCTAGGTGAATTGTGCAGACATTTACATAATTTTAAACTAGTTGATCTATAGAATGAATTGTGGGAATCAGGCTTTTTTCCCTCCTGCTTAAGATTTCACTAATAGTTTGCCTGTTGGCTATTAGAAAACATTTTGGCCATTGTTGCTTGTAAAATGAATAGCATTGTATAGTTTGAGATTTTAAATGCTCTGCCTAGCAGAAAACTTCATCATGACAAAAAACATCCTGGAATGTTAAAACAGAGTTTGTATGTATAGGAGGAAAGTCATCGAAAAAATGTTAGTCCAGCATTTAGTGTGGTGATATTTAAGGTACAACATGGTATAATGACCTGAAGAGGATGATGTTTTTTCTAAACACAGTTGCCTTTCCCTCTTCTGAGATTCTCAAATGGTTTCCTTAGAGCTCATGAAAACCACAGGGCAGATACCTTCCCATGTTTCAGAATCATGGCCATAGGAGCCCCTGTGACTGATGGGAGAGTTTTCATACTCTTTAGAGGCATTAAGGCAATAATTCTGATTTGGGCCTTGATAGAATTTGGATATTTGTCCCCATTCACATCTCATGTTTAATTGCAATCTCCAGTGCTGGAGGTGGGGCCTGGTGGGAGGTGTTTGAATCTATGGGGGTGGATCTCTCATGGGTTGGTGTTGTATTCATGATAGTGAGTTCTTGTGAGATCTGGTCATTTAAAAGTGTGTAGCACTCCCACCAATCCCCTGCCACTTTCTCTCTCCTCTCACTCTGCCTCTCTCTCTTGCTCCTGCTTTTGTCATGTGATGTACCTGCTCCCCCTTTGCCTTCTGCCATGATTGTAAGTTTCCTGAGGCCTCCCTAGAAGCTAAGCTGATGCCAGCACCATGCTTCCTGTAAAGCCTGAAGAACTGTGAGCCAATTAAATCTCTTTATGAATTACCTAGCCTAAGGAATATTTTTATAGCAGTGCAAGAACAGTAGGCCTTAATGACTGAACAAAAAACCTCTCGGCCAATTCAATCAACTACAAAAAGAGGCCACTAAAACAATTTGAATAAAACCAAGGAATTATTGCTTAAGCCCAAAGTGACAGCTTTCTAACTGACAATTAAAGTTTCTTAGGAATCTAAAGAGAAGCATACGCTCATTTGGGATGAAAAGTTCTCTATTTTTACCAGGGCTGTGATTAATTCTGGAAGAGAACTTAGCCAAAGAATTGAAGAAAATGATTTTTCTCCTCTACATTTTCTTAGAACTTGTTATGTATCCTTGAACTGGCATTAAAGAACTAGAATAAATTCATTCAGCTGTGGCCTTTCTTGGGTAGGCTATAAATAAGTGAGTAAATAATATCTGCCTGTGTGTCTTTAGGCAAGTTGCTTGGACTCTAGGTGCCTCAGATCCTAACCATAAAATGGAAATTATAATAGTAATTTTATCCTAGGACTATTGTGAAGAATTAAATGAGTCAGTACATGTAAATACTTAGAATACTGCATTGTGAATAGAAAATGTCCCAGAGGTGCTATTACTATTATTATTATTATATAATGCTTAATCATTATCCAAATAGAAGAAATAGAAGAGATTTCCTTAGTTTGGTAGGAAATGTAATTTTTGCAATGGCTTTATTGCATTAGAAAGAGGATATGGAGGGACTTTTGCAAAGAGGGTTAAGAATATTCACTTTTAAGTCATTGGATCTGAGATTATTAATTTCATCTCTGCCATTTTGTAGGTACATAGCCTGATCCAAGTTATTTAGAAACTCTGTTTTCCTCATCTGTAGCTACCTGAGGACTAAGCTCTGATTTTTTTTATCTTGCCCAAATTCCTTTCTAAGGGGTCTGGGGAGTCATGCCCTGCAAACCATAAATTCTCATTAGATGGGTTTTATTTAACACCATATACAGTGACTTACTTTACAATCTGACTGTAGCATAACAAGGAAGAAAATCAAAATGTTTTACACAAAAATATATTTCCTTGACATACCTTGAAATTGCCTTGCAAAGTCTCTTGTGGGAAAAATCCACATTCTATAGAGAATCCCCTCTCCACTTTGTTTTCCTTCCTTCCTTCCCTGATCTAGGAGATAATCAACTAAGAGCCAGGCACCCTTTTAAGTCTGATAAGAAACAATTTACAACCTGCTCTCTCTGAAGTCTGCTGTCTGAGAGCTTCTTCTGCACAATAAAACTTGGTCTCCACAATCCTTTACCTTAACCTGAACATTTCTTTCCATTAATCCCAGGTCTTCAGACGAACTCAACCAATTGTCTGCCAGAAAATGTTTAAATTTACCCATAGCCTGGAAGTCTCCAATTTGAGTTGTCCCGCCTTTCTGAACGAAACCAATGTATTTCTTAAATGTATTTGATTGATGTATCATGCTTCCCTAAAATATATAAAACCAAGCTGTACCCCGACCACCTTGGGCGAATATTCTCAGGACCTTCTGACGGCTGTGTTGCGGGCCATGGTTACTCATATTTGGCTCAGAATAAATCTCTTCAAATATTTTACAGAGTTTGACTCTTTTTGTCAACATACCCCATAAAATTGATACAACAATTAAGTGAGAATATGCATAAAGAGGGCTTAGCCCAGTGCCTGGCATATGGTAATACTTAGTACAGGTTAGCTTACATTATTAGTCAATATTTTTACTCAGTTTTATATAAGTCAAGGAAAATCCGGGTAATGTGTTAAAAAGAGACCAAAGAAATAAGTTTAGGGTATCCACTCCAATTGAGACATATCAGTCTCAGCCAACAGGTGCACCCATATTACTATCTCTATGATTTCTCTTGCATATCAGAAGCAGTTCTTAGGGAACTAGAGCGGGCTCAGGTTCACAGCTGTGGCCATTTTGCCAACTCTATCAGCTACCTGGATGCCTCTCCCCCTTTTCCTTATAGCTATTTTTTTTCCTCCACCATTCTTGACCTGTACTCTAACTCACCAAGCTCCTATCCTTCAGTTTATCAATTTTCAAAATGGTAGTCATTGAAGCGACACAATTAACTAATGAAAATGTCTCATGCTTTGGATTTACATGGAGCTATTATCAATCTTTACCATCTCTAAACTTTTTTGATGAACAGAGATTCTGAATAAAAAGTCTTCATAAAAATTTTTCTTGTTCAATCACATATATATCTACGAGTAATGGTAAATTTCTCATTGCACTGAGAAGATATAAGGTATTTTTGCAGTTTGCCCAACTACCAAGAAGAATGTAAGTCTTATTAATAGAATTAATATGCATTAATTGTAATACATAAGATGGAGATTGGTTGTAAGACTTGAATGTTTGGGGGTATACAGTAAGCCACATGTTAAATATTTCCTAAACAAGTGTATTTATTATGGGGCATATAATCAGACACACATTAAACAGAATATTTTGGGCCCTTAAGGAATCAGGCATTTTATAGCCATTTGAAGGAGGAGGAGGTGAAACTCTTTCCTGGGAGGGCTAGCTAGCTGGAGATAGAATTCACTTTAGTAAAATTACCATCATCTAGGGTGTGGCACTCATGTTTGCAACTTCCAAAAATCTTTTCCAGATGGACTGAAGTTAACCAAGCTCAGAATAGCTATCTGCATAAGCCAGAATGACAGATTTAATTTTCAGTGAAGAACAAAGCTGCCAAGCTTGAACTTACGCCAGTGGCACAATTATCCATCTGTCAGGAAGCCATATAGAAAGACAAATTACAATGAAAAGTCTATTTGGAGAGAAAGGGATCACAGCAAAGCTGATAAAGTGGATCAGTTCCTGATACACCCAGCTAGAGGGTCCAGATCGGCTGAGGCCCTGGGCAAGGGCACTACCAATTTTTCTCCCCAAGCATTCCTTTTCCTTTCTTCCAAGATGACTGTCCTCCCTTCTAATCAATATTTATAGATTGATGAACTTACAGCTTTTCCTACTTTTGGTCTAAGAAATATATATTTTTTTCTCTAAAATGCTTCTGTGACACAATTTACACACAGAGAGTGCGTAGTGAAACCACGGGCTGATTTTATGGTTTAAGTGTTAGAGTTTTGTAGACACCTTGTTGTTGTCCTATGCACCATCAACATTCACTTACTTTTTTTCTTTGTAGGTACATGTAATTATGCACACTCATGAATTAATGAGTGATGCATTAAAGGAGCTCTGATGAGATGCTTAACATTTTTCTAAAGATGAATAGTCTTATGTTTCTAGTCTTAAACCTTCACAAACCTAGAGCTTGCCTACTCTGTGATCATCCACAGAAATGAGGAATCATTTGTATTTCACTTGCTTGTGTCTAGATAATGAATCTGGATCTCCCTGACATAAAAGCAAGCAGGGGCAACCTGACTATCTTGCATGTAAGGTGATACGCCATGTATGCCAGCACGTTCTTCCATCAGCTTGATCCGTGACTACCTCCCTGATTTCCTGGTGACTTGTCCTCATGTCTATAACATTTTCAAACCCCCTGGGGATGATAAGCCAGGTGTTTATATTGACCTTTGCTGCCTTTATTCTACCCTCTCTCTTCTTGTGTTTCTCTCTCCCCTTATGCTGGTTAAGACCTCCTATATGTAATACTGCTTGTGGGCCTGGCCAGGGATAAGAGTTCACTCTTTTGTACAGGCAAATAAATAGCCACACCGGTCTCTTGCATTCATGGCTTGGAACTTTTACAAACTAGATATAGCAGCATCTCTCTTCAGAATTGCCAGACCAAATGGCTGGCAGTATCTAGTTGAAGAGACTAACCGCACACTTTGGGTGGGACCACATTCTATAAATAAACCGGCAGCTGGGACCCGGGGAGACCTCATAGAAAAACAGAGAATTCATCTTGTGTTCAAAGCCACGTTCTTCTGAGATGGAACTATGATGTCAAACTAGACTTAAATGTCAGCATGCATAGAAAAATTGGCATGCATAAAGTATCACTTTGATATTGTATGGTATATTCTTGTTTGTTCTAATAAAACATCTTTCTTATGCAAAAAGAGGCTGGGTTGCTTTGATCTTAAGAAATTCTTAAGAAGGAAAATTGCTCCGCATGGTTTAGAAGGAGAAAAGCCTATAAGTCAGACACAACACTGAAACTCATAGCTCATTTCCTAACAACTGAAAGCTATGTATGTAGCCTGGCAGAATTGGCAGTGAGACTCCATCTGGGGCTGAGCTGCAGCGGGAGGTGTCCTGGGAGAATCATCAAGATGTGGGTTTTCTCAGAAGTCCTGCACCAATCTAGTCTTCCCTCTCCACATTTCATGTGCCCTGTGAGAGATAGTACTGACAATTACTTACGTTGTCTGTACTACGCGTATAAATGCCACTTTTTTTTTTTCTTGCAGACCTTCTTTTTTACCAGAAGGCAAAGTAGGTATTCCTTCCCTGTTTAACACCTTCAATGTCTGTGGCTTTCAGATCTTGAAAGGTTCTGGAATTATTTTTCATCATACATGCCATCCCTGGTGGTTTTCCAACAGAAGGTGATAGATGAGATTTTCTTGCTTTAGCAACTTAAGCATCTTTTTATTAGGACTTTGGTCTTCTTTACTCATTTGATTTACCTTTTTTTAACCTCTTCCTATGTTTTAACATTACAAACTATTTGTAATAACATTTCAAAAACAAATAACTTTATCATGTGATTTTACGTTTCTTTTTTAAAACTTTACATACATTTTACTTTTGTGGTTGATTTCATACCTCCGCCTTCAGCTCCTCCTCCACCTCCCGCCCCCAAGCAGCAGGAATAACCTGAAGGCTCCCAAGAACCCTCTCCCATTCAATCCTACCTGAAACTAGTTACCTACTTGGAGAGTCCTCCTCATCACTTTTTTGTTTCAGTTTTTATTTTAAGTTCCAGGATACATGTGCAGGTTTGTTATGTAGGTAAACATGTGCCATGGTGGCTTGCTGCACCGATCATCCCATCCTCTAGGTATTAAGCCCAGCAGCCATTAGTTATTCTTCCTGATGCTCTCCCTCCCCACCCCAACAGGCCCCAGTGTGTGTTGTTTCCCTCCATGTGTTCATGTCTTCTCATCATTCAGCTCCCATTTGTAAGTGAGAATATGCAGTGTTTGGTTTTCTGTTCCTGCATTAGTTTGCTGAGGATAATGGCTTCCAACTCCATCCATGTCCTTGCAAAAGACATGATTTTGTTCCTTTTTATGGCTGATGTTGATTTACTTTTATTTTACAATTACAATGAGCTGTAACTCACCATTACACTTAAAAAAATTATTTTAATTGACATCATAATTATATGTATTTATGGGGTACAATGTGATGTTTTGATATGTATTTACAATGTGGAATGATAAAGTCAAGCTAATTAAAACAATCATTTTTATCCTTTTTTTCCCCCTTCTTTTTTGTATTTGGCATGCGTCCCTAAAGCTGAGTTTGATGGTACCTTTTCTCTATCCTCGAAAGGTAGCTTTTGTCTTGTAGGAGTTCTTAGTGGGAGTGGGATGGGGAGGAGTCCCACTGTATTAGTCTGTTTTCACGCTGCTGATAAAGACATACCCAAGACTAGGCAATCTACAGAAGAAAGAGGTTTAATGCACTCAGTTCCACTTGGCTGGGGGAAGTCTCACAACCCTGGTGGAAGGTGAAAATCATGTCTTACATGGCAGCAGACAAGAGAAGAATGAGAGCCAAGCAAAAGGGGAAGCCCCTTATAAAGCCACCAGATCTTGTGACACTTATTCACTACCATGAGAACAGTATGGGGGAAACTGCTCCCATGATTCAATTATCTCCCACCAGGTCCCTGCCACAGAATGAGATAACTATGGGAGCTACAATTTAAGATTAGATTTGGATGGGTACACAGCCAAACCATGTCATTCACTTCAGCAAATTTTTCTCTGACATTATTAACTACCTGTCTTTGCTGGGTTCTAAAGAGGAAGGGAAGATGTACCATACGCTGTACACTCTCAGTCACCTTGGCTTCTGTCATTGATAATAGGACTGTTGAGGTCCCAGCATCTGAACAGTGCCTGGCACATTAGGTATGCATTTGATCAAGATTTGTTGAATGAATGAATAAACATTAGTATTTTAGAGCAAATCTTAGTATTTGGGCTCCTACTGAGTCAAAATTATCCTATCACTTACATTCAGCAAAGTTCCTAAAAGTGCTTGATTAAAAAATAAAACAAATAATCTATGTGACAGGTAAGTTCTCAGTAGACTTCTTCTGGGGGAAATATGGTTATCAAGACTATCTAATTTTTATGCTATATTATATTGTAACAACATATATTCTTTTTTGTTTTTGAATTAGCTTTTTATAGAGCAGATCAAAATTGTGTATTGATTGGCCTTGTTTTTTAGATCAATTAATGTATGTTAATAAAGTTACTTATTTTGGATTCTATGTTGAGGATACAGAATTTCTCAGTTTTTCAGTCAAATTTGACAGATTGCAATTTAATTTTTAAAACTATGATTTAATTATACTTTTAGAATGAAAGCAAAATGTGTTTTCCTCATATCTTTAATCTACACACATATATGTATATATGTTTATTACTCAGGAATAAGGCCTTAGGAATATTAAAACATGTTTTTATGAGCAATCATTAGGCTACAGAAATTGGTATAATAACAGTGTAAGCTAATTACATTTTAATAAGCAGAGGAAATAGAAATTAGAATTAAATGAATCTGCTTAAAAATATAAACATATGAACAAAAAGTTCTGTTCCAAAGGTAACAAAGGAAAATTGAAGTAATTCTTCTACCTAATAAAATATCAGCCCAAAACAAATATTAAAATAATTTAAAAATTGCATTATCTGAATATGGGGGAAAATACAGTGAGTGATAGTATATAGTCACTTATTTCTAGGAAAAATATAAAATGATTTAAACATTTTGAAAATATAGTTGTAGCGATATTTGGTTAAACATTTAGGCTAAAGCCATACTTTTGTCTTTACTCCTTCCTGGAGCCCACCACAAATGACAATAAAAGTTTTTTTTAAAATTACAAAACCACCAGGATGTAGAGAATAAGAGAAGTGGTGACAAGAGTCGGAAGGTAGAAAGCAGATGTATGAGAGGCAACCAACTCAGAATAAATAAATCAGAAAGCTTTGGGTTTTGGACGAGCTAGGGTGGAAGAATAGGGAAGAAGCCATTTGATTGCACAATCTCAGAAAGGATCAGAAATGAAAACCACTAGGAACCTGTACAGGGTGTGTGAGGCTTAGAACTGGCAGTTTGGTTGAAAATCTATTGAGAAACAACTGGATTCCTGGACCATCCCCTCCCTTCTTCTTGCATACAGCAACCTTCCCCCAACCATCCCTCCCCAGCTCTGTCAGAAGACTGGAAGTTTATTCTCTGGAGAACTGAACCAGAGACTGTGGGCTCAGAGCTATCAGACATAGCTAAGGAGGAATGCTAAAAAAAAGAGGCATTACAATAGTGTCTACATCGCGAAAAGGGAGATTTCCCCAGTTTGAGCTTCTCTGTCCACCATGCACTTACTCCATTCACGCATTCAATGCTTGGAACACTCCTAACTGGGTTGATATCTTCTAGGCAAAAGACTGAATTTCTATGTAGAGAAAATCCTGCCCAAGGGAACGTAACTACTGATGCTTACAGAGGGGTCTATCTCAGCAATTGTGAAGTTGCTGCCAGATAACCTAGCAGAAAGTCTGCCAGAAGACTATCTCTGACCATGAACACCAAGCTTCAGAACTTGTTTTTTAAATGCTCATTCTGCAATTTGAAAGCATACTCAAGGACTACCAGACAGAGCCCTAAAACAAACCCAATGTTTGTTTTAGGAAAAGGAACCCAATGACAAACGACAATTCAAGAGCTATAAGAATAGGAAAAAAATTCAAAAATTAATACGCTCAGATTAAAGAAGATATTATGTCCTTCAAACAAGAACAGAGTGCTACATCAGGAGCAAGAATGAGGATAGAACCAGAACTGTTTTCCATATTAAGTATTAAAATTAACTTGACTTTTAAAACTATGTGTAATTTACATTTATTACATTGAGAGTTAAGTTTCAAAAGTCAGTGATTATTTATTTATTTATTTATATGTCACCTAGCATCAATAATCAGTCTTTCTCAGAGGAGTATCTTGAATTTTTTTTTTTTTTACAGTGGGGAGAGATGTCCTTTTCTGTTCTCAGCTGTCATTGAGTAAGTTTGGTTCGAACTCTGGGTTCAGAGATAAATCCTGATTGGTTTAAGCCAATCAGCAATCAGCAAATATCATCCAAAAGCTGTAACAAATAGCTTGGAGTAGAAGTGGGCAATATAGCCCAATCAAAGACAGAAAAACGCAAGGAGATGCTTTCTAGGCATCTGGGAAGAAACCTTTCATCTGTGGTATCTATCAGAAGAGATGATCTCTTCTTTAGGATGATTTGAGGTGAGACCATGAGATCTGGAACTTGTACAAGAATTATGCTACTACTGAGACAATGGGGTTTTCTATAAATCATGCTGCTATAAAGATACATGCACACATATGTTTATTGCAGCACTATTCACAATAGCAAAGACTTGGAACCAATCCAAATGTCCAACAATGATAGACTGGATTAAGAAAATGTGGCACATATACACCATGGAATACTATGCAGCCATAAAAAATGATGAGTTCATGTCCTTTGTAGGGACATGGATGAAATTGGAAATCATCATTCTCAGTAAACTATCGCAAGAACAAAAAACCAAACACCACATATTCTCACTCATAGGTGGGAACTGAACAATGAGAACACATGGACACAGGAAGGGGAACATCACACTCTGGGGACTGTTGTGGGGTGGGGGTAAGGGGGAGGGATAGCATTAGGAGATATACCTAATGCTAAATGATGAGTTAATGGGTGCAGCACACCAGCATGGCACGTGTATACATATGTAACTAACTTGCACATTGTGCGCATGTACCCTGAAACTTAAAGTATAATAATAATAATAATAATAATAATAATAAAAGAAAATAATTATGCTACTACTAGGAAAATTTGCCACAGGATGGCACAATTCCTGCATAAGGCATACTAAACAGAATAAAGGAAATTGGATATTTAGTAATAGTGTTTGAGCCAGTGATCAAATTTTCTCTGAATACCTCTGTTTTATGAACTAAAAGATTCACTTTAATGCTTCATCCAGTTTAAGTTCTTTTTTTCTGCCATTAAAATAAAAGATTCCTGTGTCTAAAATTAATTTTGTAATATATACCAAGAATCACAAAAATAAGACTCATTTTGAATAAGTTGTCGAAATTCTTGGGATGTTAATTGCCTATTACTGTACAAGGAATTACTACAAAACACTGTGGCTTAAAACAAAAATAGAAGAAAATGGTTAAATAAATTGAGGTATAGTCAGTTGGTCTATTATAATGCACCTGGAAGATGATAATACTTATATAAACAGTCAAGGGATTTAGACAACCTACAAATTCTGGTATTCAAGAAATGCAATTTTCATCATCATCCCATAACTATTTTTACTTTATGCTCTCCTTTTTTCTCCACTGAGGGAAAAAAATCAATTCAAGTTCCTTTTCTTCCCCAACCTCCAGGTTTATGTCTAAGTTCTATAGAACTTGAATGATGTCAGAGTACTGGGGGCATCTGATCCTTGATCTTACTGTACTAGCAACTCTGAAAATATCTATTGTTTCATCAGATCCCAGCTGTTAAATCACAAACGAGTTGTTGCTGATTTCTGTTTATTCCTATCCTCAAGATCGATTAGGTCCGATGACCTGATAAGCTACCCTTGGTTAGATGGAGATTGTTCCGTTTCTCCCATCCTGAATATTGCACGGGAAGCTGCAGCACTCAAATGTCTACTTGGAAGCCCCCACAACTCTATTTTCTTAAGTTTCTGCCTGCCATCCAAGACCTTGAACAAAACATAGTTATAGGCTCTCTGCTTTTGGTGTCTCCAAACCTGGGTGAAGGTTGTGATGTATCTCAGGCTTTGTCTGTAAGCCATTCTGAAGACTCACTCATGATTTTGGTCTTATCACTTCTAATTCAACTTTCTTTTGCTGTCACATTTTTTTTCTGAGGCTTGAGAACCTAACAACCTACCTGCCTGGGAGAAAGAAATGATTAGAGATATGGGGAAAAGAATACTAGGTAAAAAACTAGATGATATTTCAAACATATTATCTCATTATATACAGCTAAGTAAAATTTCTAACAGGAAGGTTGGATGGGAATAAAACAAAGACTAAATTTATGTTAGAAGTAAGAGAATTTATTTGCTAATATATTGTAGCAGACTCTTTGGTCTTCTCCACAGCCCAGTCTCTAAGTGTTATTCCCATATAATGTCCAGTGTGTTTCTGAAAGAAAACCCAGACTTTGAAGAGCAAATGACATAGGCTTAATCCCGCTTAGTGTCTTGGGCTGAAAAATAAGGATTTCTTCTCTTCTTATTCAATCTGGAGAGAGAAGATAAAGAGCTAGTAAGGCAGGGAGGAAGGAGGTGAAACTGTTCATGCTTGGCAAGTGGGGGTGGCTGAATATTATTTATCTTTCCAAACTTTCCTGCACACTTTACTCACTTCTTCCTCTTTGACTCCCGATAAAACAAAAACTTCAGCCAAATTAAATTTAAAGCAGTTTAATTGAGCAATGAAAAATTCATGAATTGAGCTGCTTCTTGAACCAGAGTAGGCTCAGAGACTTCAGCACAGTTACGTGGTGGAAGAAGATTTATGAACAGAGAAAGGAAAGTGACCTACAGAAAACAAAAGTGAAATACAGAAACAACTGGATTGGTTACATATCAGCGTTTGCCTTATTTGAACACGGTTCGAACAGTTGGCTATACTTGATTGGCCAAAACTCGGTGATCAGCACAAGTGTAGGCTACGGTCTATTTACACCTCCACTCTTTATAGTTCACAATTTACAGAAAAACCTTTAGGATGAACCTAAAATCTGTAAGGAGGCAGCTTTATGCTAAAATTGATTTAACAATTCCCCCCTTTGGTTATCCTCTCAATTTTGAGAGATTAACTGAAACTTTAGTTGTTGATGTCACTACCACCATTGTAAAGATACTTATTTGGTATTGAAACCCACTGGGAAACAGTAAAAGAGTGGGTTTTATAAAGTAGGAACAAGGATTCAGTAGAAGGTTCCTCCTTATGCTGGAATGTCCTGTTTACATGAAAAAACCCCTTGTCTGTTGTAGGATCTAGGTGTTTCCTTAAAGTCTTAGTTTGATTATGTCACATTTAGCATGAGTGACTCCATTTTGGTTTGGTCTGGTTTCTTGGGGCCTACTGCATGAGCTCAGTCCAAAACAATGGCCTCCCATAATTTTGTTTAAAAATTCCCCTTTTTTGGTCAGGTTCTCATGTAGGTGAGAGTGTGACAAAACTTAGGGCCTTAGCTCCACTCTCAGTTACCGTCGTTTTTGGTTTCTGGTCTCAGCATGTCATTCATAGGTTACAGTGTCCTCATGGTCACACATTTCTGTCAGCTCTTATCATTCCAGTTGAAGAGACATTCCAGAGACGGCTGCATGCAAACCTTTAAAACTTTTGAGAGAACATAGCCCACCAAGAAGACTGCTATTATGACTATCAGGAGGATAATACCAAGATTTTGGATTATGCTTCTTACTCAGAGTCCCCATAAACCAAACTACCTGAAATCAAATAGATCAAAGAACTAGCTAGAGTTCACTCACTTAAGTAAGCAGTCTCTTCATTAACCCCCTACAACTGAATCTCTATAATCTACATTTGATGTATTTCACCATAGGCCACAAATGGCAGTGGCTGCACAGATATTTCTGTTTAGCCAGTAAGTAATCTAGAGCAATTCTATTATTTAGCATAACTTTCACAAGAGAATGTAAAGTCTGTTGTGTAATGATAGCCTTTACAGTAGAATCTTTTATAGAGCCTATCATGAGAGACACATTTCTAATCATTTCCTTTATCACTCCAAACCATGGGAAAGAGGACTTAACAATTGATGCCCTTCTAGAAGAGTGAAGGCCTCCTGGCAATGTTCTCTTTAAGCCATGATGTAGGTTAGGAGGAGTGAACCACTGTTCCCTTTCTGATTATGGGGCAATGTATGTACCATTAAAATTTCTCACCTACATTGGGGCCTTTATCTTTTATCTGTGTAAGGTTATCCATGTAAAAGACTGGCTGCAAAATCCTTCACAAATAAAAATATACCCCATGAGTGCACACAACAGACCCCCTTTTCACTTCTATTGTTCATGGAGGCATAAGCAAGGGAAAATATTCAAAAATAAGCATCATTATAGTACAGATGTCTTGATCCATGATCTCAGGAGAAGCTGTTCACATCAAGGATGCCATCTTCTTCTGAGGAGAAGCTTCCCAGTTAGCTTTACCTTAAGGGTTCCAATGCATGTGAGGTTCTAAGAGTGTGGAGGGGCCTTTCTCAGTTGTAAGATTATTAACCCAAAGTTCAAGGTTTCAAAGTTTGCTGCAATATGGATGGCAAGGGCAGTCTTTTTCTGATGTTTTCAGAAGATCCAATCTTCAGGTTCTAGATTGTGAAGGGGTTGATTGTCCCCAGTCAGTGAACCATAAAAATCTTTCTTTACCTGGTGAGAATATACTGTGACATCATAATATACTGTTATAACATCAGACCTCTTGCATGGGAAAGCTTTTATACAACTGGAAAACATGCATTGAAAATGATAATCAAATGAAGTCTCTCTATACATGTTTAAATGGCCCATTAGGTAGCCAAATGTACCTGAAGCTTTGATTATCTTCCCAGGAATATGGGTTTGACAAACCAAACATTGGTCATAAACTATTTTAGCAATTTAAAAGTCACCACACCAATATGTATTTAATTTGGGTTATTTTATCTTTTTCAGGATGAGTCATGGCATGCAGAACTCTTTTTTTTTATTATTATACTTTAAGTTTTAGGGTACATGTGCACAATGTGCATGTTAGTTACATATGTATACATGGGCCATGCTGGTGCGCTGCACCCACTAACTCGTCATCTAGCATTAGGTATATCTCCCAATGCTATCCCTCCCCTCTCCCCCCAGCCCACAACAGTCCACAGAGTGTGATGTTCCCCTTCCTGTGTCCATATGTTCTCATTGTTCAATTCCCACCTATGAGTGAGAATATGCGGTGTTTGGTTTTTTGTTCTTGCAATAGTTTACTGAGAATGATGATTTCCAATTTCATCCATGTCCCTACAAAGGACATGAACTCATCATTTTTTATGGCTGCATAGTATTCCATGGTGTATATGTGCCACATTTTCTTAATCCAGTCTGTCATTGTTGGACATTTGGGTTGGTTCCAAGTCTTTGCTTTTGTGAATAGTGCCACAATAAACATACGTGTGCATGTGTCTTTATAACAGCATGATTTATAGTCCTTTGGGTATATACCCAGTAATGGGATGGCTGGATCAAATGGTATTTCTAGTTCTAGATCCCTGAATAACCACCACACTGACTTCCACAATGGTTGAACTAGTTTACAGTCCCACCAACAGTGTAAAAGTGTTCCTATTTCTCCACATCCTCTCCAGCACCTGTTGTTTCCTGACTTTTTAATGATTGCCATTCTAACTGACGTGAGATGATATCTCATTGTGGTTTTGATTTGCATTTCTCTGATGGCCAGTGATGGTGAGCATTTTTTCATGTGTTTTTTGGCTGCATAAATGTCTTCTTTTGAGAGGTGTCTGTTCATGTCCTTTGCCCACTTTTTGATGGGGTTGTTTGTTTTTTCTTGTAAATTTGTTTGAGTTCATTGTATATTCTGGATATTAGCCCTTTGTCAGATGAGTAGGTTGCGAAAATTTTCTCCCATTTTGTAGGTTGCCTGTTCAGTCTGATGGTAGTTTCTTTTGCTGTGCAGAAGCTCTTTAGTTTAATTAGATCCCATTTATCAATTTTGTCTTTTGTTGCCATTGCTTTTGGTGTTTTAGACATGAAGTCCTTGCCCATGCCTATGTCCTGAATGGTAATGCCTAGGTTTTCTTCTAGGGTTTTTATGGTTTTAGGTCTAACGTTTAAGTCTTTAATCCATCTTGAATTGATTTTTGTATAAGGTGTAAGGAAGGGATCCAGTTTCAGCTTTCTACATATGGCTAGCTAGTTTTTCCAGCACCATTTATTAAATAGGGAATCCTTTCCCCATTGCTTGTCTTTCTCAGGTTTGTCAAAGATCAGATGGTTGTAGATATTTGGTGTTATTTCTGAAGGCTCTGTTCTGTTCCATTGATCAATATTTCTGTTTTGGTACCAGTACCATGCTGTTTTGGTGACTGTAGCCTTGTAGTATAGTTTGAAGTCAGGTAGTGTGATGCCTCCAGCTTTGTTCTTTTGGCTTAGGATTGACTTGGCGATGCGGGCTCTTTTTTGGTTCCATATGAACTTTAAAGTAGTTTTTTCCAATTCTGTGAAGAAAGTCATCGGTAGCTTGATGGGGATGGCATTGAATCTATAAATTACCTTGGGCAGTATGGCCATTTTCATGATATTGATTCTTCCAATCCATGAGCATGGAATGTTCTTCCATTTGTTTGTATCCTCTTTTATTTCATTGAGCAGTGGTTTGTAGTTCGCCTAGTTCTCCTTGCAGAGGTCCTTCACATCCCTTGTAAGTTGGATTCCTAGGTATTTGATTCTCTTTGAAGCAATTGTGAATGGGAATTCACTCATGATTTGGTTCTCTGTTTGTCTGTTATTGGTATATAAGAATGCTTGTGATTTTTGTACATTGATTTTGTATTCTGAGACTTTGCTGAAGTTGCTTATCAGCTTAAGGTGATTTTGGACTGAGACAATGGGGTTTTCTAGATATACAATCATGTCGTCTGCAAACAGGGACAATTTGACTTCCTCTTTTCCTAGTTGAATACCTTTTATTTCCTTCTCCTGCCTAATTGCCCTGGCCAGAAATTCCAACACTATGTTGAATAGGAGTGGTGAGAGAGGGCATCCCTGTCTTGTGCCAGTTTTCAAAGGGAATGCTTCCAGTTTTTGCCCATTCAGTATGATATTGGCTGTGGGATTGTCATAGATAGCTCTTATTATTTTGGGATACATCCCATCAATACCTAATTTATTGAGAGTTTTTAGCATGAAGGGTTGTTGAATTTTGTCAAAGGCTTTTTCTGCATCTATTGAGATAATCATGAGATTTTTGTCTTTGGTTCTGTTTATATGCTGGATTACATTTATTGATTTGTGTATATTGAACCAGCCTTGCATCCCAGGGATGAAGCCCACTTGATCATGGTGGATAAGCTTTTTGATGTGCTGCTGGATTCATTTTGCCAGTATTTTATTGAGGATTTTTGCATCAATGTTCAGCAAGGTTATTGGTCTAAAATTCTCTCTTTTGGCTGTGTCTCTGGAATGCAGAACTCTTAATAACAAAAGCTTTAAGGACTCAGGAAGGACAAGGTGACATCCTTGTTCTCCATAAGTCCAAGCTTATCATTGAATTTATGTCCTCTTGAATACAAATTGTTTCTCAAATTTAGGTGCATAGCACTGATAACTGATGGGTTATTGTAGGTAATTTGACATAGATCATGGAGTTTGTTCAAATTGTATGTCTAAACAATTTCAGTACTGGCTGATTTAGCATGAAAATCTGGCAAAGTATTTTCTTGGTATTCAATTAATTTTTGTTCTACTTGGGTTAGCAGCCAGAAATCTGTATTCGATAGTGCTTTTCAGGGTCCTTTCCATCTTTTCATGAATCTCCTAAAAGACACCATATTCTAGGATTTTGCACGCTGGTGAAGTTTTCAAAAACTGCATCAGCATCAAGCAATTAAGTATGGTAATGACTTTAAATAGCCATAGTGAAAGACACAATTGACAAAGAAATTAGGTTATTTCTTGGTCTTCAATAACTACACTTAATAACCATAATTATGATTAATAGCATATATTCAGACACATTAGAATTTTAGAAATACCATACCATTTTGGAACATATATTAATATCATTCACTAAAATATAACCCAAAGGAAGTTAAACATTATTTTTTATTTTGACAATGCTTCCCATGTAACTTAACATGTCAAGTAATTCTTTTTACCTTTCTTTTGGATTCTTCAGGTGTCCTCTGTAACATCACAAAGTTAGAGATTAAAAAAACTTAATTTTGAAGCAGAAAATTGATTTTGGGACACTTATCAAATATTTTAAAGGTTTACAATGTTTGATATTATGAAATAGAATTCCAGATCACCATAAGTCATTCATTTTTGAGCTACCAAAATGATAACTCAAAAATTTTAAAAAGGCAACAACCATTACTCATTGATAGAAGGAAGGCTTAGCTTTCAAAACAATCTGTTTCTTGTTTTTTCCATCTTTTTCCTGTAGTTTACTCAAAAGGCAAACAAAAATCTTTCATTATTCTTTTATTAATATTACATGAAACTTTGAGAGAGAAAGCCAAATTTCACCCTTGCATTAGTGTACTATTAATGTCAGTTTTAATAAAAGTTTATAAACAAATCTATTTAATCTTAATTAGTTTCACCATAAGGTGAGATTCTGATAAATACTTTATGACTGTTTACAAATTGGTTAAAGAGCAGCTCAGTGCTCTAAGAAAAGCTGGTTGTGCTTTTATTCCAATGTTCAATTTACAAAAAAACTGAATAATACCCCTTTAACTTTATCCAATATGTTCACACACAGAATCTCTTTTACAATTAATTTTTTATAAACCTTTCACAACTTGTTCAAACCTTTAGGTTTTTCCTATCTCACTTTAAACAATCTTTTACCCTCTAAACTTAGGCAAGAAATCCATACTCCCACACCTTCTTATCTTTTACCAAAAGTATATTCTACTTTCCTTACACCCATTGTGTATAGAATTATTTGTTCAGTAGTCTCAAATATATGTTATATTGTTAACTCTTAGCAACTTTTACTTGTGGTAAAAAACCTTGTTAGTAATCAATTTTAATTATGCAGTGGGTATGAAGCCTGAAACACCAGTCAGAAGTGCAGATAAAGGCTGACTCTTTCCAGCATAGCTAGGGGGCATGGCTAACACCCCATGTCCCCAGGCCTTACTTGGCTGTAAAGCAGGAAATTTGTATAGTTAAGAGTCATAGTGGTATTTTATGAAGTATTTAGGAGGCCTAATAAACTTTGAATTGTACAACATTTCTGGAATAAATTCCTTTTCATGACTTATACAGATCATCTATGACATGCTTGGACTTTCTGACTTGTCCTAAACATCCCTCCTTTTAAAGAAACAGTCATTTTACTTTAGGACAATAATTTACCATACAAGATCCTTTCTTACCTAAAATCTCTTTTGTTTATAACCTTCTTTGCATAGCTAGGTGGCATGGCTAATTCCACACATCCCCAGGCCTTATCTAGAATCTAATAGCTCCAAGGTAGGTAAATTAAACAATTTCCAAATGTCAGAGAAGCAGTTTATGACCTTAAGGCATTTAGCAAACCTAATACCTGATCTACTTTAGATCAAATGTCTAAATTTTGAAGACATTTTAATTGTACCAATAATCTTTAAAACTGTCTTTATTTCTCAAAGATTACTAAAGTCACATGAACTAAAAGGCATTAGTTTTAATTTTTCTGACAAAATATTTGATTTAAGTGCTTATTTTTCTTTAAGCCAATTAATTTGAGCTCTTTTGTGTAAACATCACCCACACAACACAAATAAATACAGAGAAAGATGATCTAGTAGTTGTAACATTTTTCATTTGTCAGCATTTAAGTTTCTTAGTTGGATTACTGGCTTCAGGGTGGAGTCCATGGAGGAACATGGCTAGGAAAATATGCAATTTCTAGGGCCTAATAAGCAGGCACAGCTGGAAGGCAAAAACAGATTTCCAAAATTAAGGGTCTCATTTTTATACCAGATCCTGGATCCCAAAAAAGAGGGAATCAGCCCATCTCCCATGGAAGTCTTATTTCTCAGTGGGGGTAGGGATATTTCTATACCTTTTAGGTGACCAAGAGCATGCTTCTCTAATCCAAACATGCAAAGAGTTGAGTATCTCTCCCATAACTGCCATTAGACATCCCTAAAATTACATTTCCTACTTAGTTATTACACATCAATGTTCTCTCATAATGCAAAGTAATACCTGATACTCCCAAAAGTAAAAAAAAGTCAGGTAACAGAATGTAAAATCAAACTGAGCCTTAGATTTTGAGAGACCTCTATCTGCTTTCAATTCCCAGGGTTCCATGAGGAAAACAGAGGTTTTTTTTCTCAGAATGGAAACTGTTAGCAATTATCTCAAGCTCTCTCATGTGAGCATCAAGAACAGCAAGAAGGCAAAATGTAGAAATAATTAAGTCAACTGAGAAGAAAAAAGCTATTTTTCCAGGAAAATAAGATTCAAAAAGAGAAAAAACATAAAGACCTTTTAAGTATATGTATATATAGCTTGGATATCTGCCTTTAATTAAGCTGATTTTAACCATAGTTTTCTTAAAAATAAAAGTCCTTTTACATTTCTTAATACCCTACTTTAGCCAGGCCAAATGGCCAATATTTCTGGCTTTTAAACCCTACCAAAAGTGACTTCACAGGTGAAACCCACAAGTCTCAACAAAGGTTATGACTTAACCATGAATGTGTGAGGTATTTTCAAAGGAGTGGTTAGCAGTTTCTACAAGATCTAGAATCTCCAAAGGTGCTCAGAGAAAGGAAAATTTAAGAGGGAATGCCAGAAATTTTTCATTGAGACAAAGAGAATCAACAAATGGTAAAAGTCACACAGATATCAAATCAGAAAGGACTCATTTCCTAAGACAGGATTAAACCAGGGCTGCATTGTAAAATGGCAAAGCCTTAGCTGCTAAGCTACAGCACTGGGCACTTTCCATTGCTCTTCCCAGAAGGAGGCTAGCCAATTTTGAGCTCGCAAAGGCTTTTAACTGCTCAAGATAATTTCTAGAGCTAATTATGACATCAGCCCCAAAATTCCTGTTCCCTAGATGGCAGAGATCAAGAGAAAGTACCACCATGTGGTTATAAGGTCAAGCTCTCAAGGACATAAAACAAGATAGAGACCTCATCCACTTTTTGTTTGTTTCAGGGACCTGCTGCAAAGTTTGTTATTGATCAGTTTGCTGGGCTGATTTGAACAGTGAGATTATGGAGTCCTAAACCCATCTTCCATCCTATGGTATCCCTTTTTATGATAGAATGATGCAGAAAGACAAATTCACACAAAACAAAATCAAAGCACAAAGGACACGAGGTTTGCTACAGCTAAAGACTAGCCTGACAAAATTTTTCTCATTAATTAAAACTTTGCAATAGATAGTGATTTTTACTGTTCCCACAATTGGTTTTCATTGAGTGAGAGCAAGAGAGAGAGAGAGGGAGAAAAGCATTGCCCACAGCGGGGTGGGGAAGGTGAGGAGCTCAGAGAGGCCAGAGAAAGATCCACTCATTGCAGCAATACTGAATCAGAAGTTCAGGCAGCCGCTAGTAGGTCATGAAGGGATCTTTTCCAGCAGCCCCATCAGCTCTTAACTTTCCCTGTTTAGGAAGAAAAAGTTTCCCCATGTCCCATGATCCTGCACATGCCTAATCCTGTCACCCATAGATGTCAGCAAAGAGTCCAAGGCAGATTTAATTTTTTTTTTTTTTTAGTTAGTTGCTTAAGTTTTTTATTTGCCTTCAAATTTCCAAAAGCCAAATTTTACACCTCCTGTAACACTGCCATTTGCTACCAGTTTCTTTCTAACCCAGTCAGATGCAAGAGGCCTCTGACTGGATCCAAGCCAGTTGATTACCAGATCCAATCCTATCCTGGACCTGGCGTAGTTTCTGTTACTACTTCCAAACCCAGTTTGAATCAGAAATTTTCTCAAAGAAACCCCAAATTGCTCAAAACACAAATTTGTGGAGCTTTGGAATCCCAGAGAGAACTTACCACAATCTCCAGCTGCTCTGAGAGATCAAAGGACACAATTGGGTCATTCAGTGCTTCTGGGAATCGTTAGAAGCCCTACTTCAGATCCCACTACTGAAACCATCTAATACAAGAAAATTTCAGCTGCATTAACTTTAAAGGAGCTTAATTGAGCACAAATCAGGCAGCCTCTTGAGCCAGGGTAGGCTCAGAGACTTCAGCACAGCCTCATGGTGGAAAAAGAATTATGGACAGAAAAAGGAAAGTGACATACAGAAAACACAAATGAGGTACAGAAACAGCTGGATTAGTTACAACTTGGCATTTGCTTTATTTGAACATGGTTAGAAAAGTTGACTATATTTGATTGGCCAATACTCGGTGATTGGCACAAGTGTAGGCTATGGTCTATTTACACCTCCACTTGTTATAGTTCATGATGCACAGAAAAACCTTTAGACCAAACTTAAAATATGCAAGGAGGCAGCTTTAGACTAAACTTGATTTAACACTCCTCATCTCTGCCTTTATTTGTATAATCATTCTCCCCTCCCATTCTTCATCTGCTACTCTTTTATTCCTTCTAAGCTTGTCCAACCCATGGCCCATGGGCAGCATGCAGCCCAGGATGGCTTTGAATGTGGCCCAATTCAAATTAATAAACTTCTTAAAACATTATGAGTTTTTTTGAGAGTTTTCTTAGCTCATCATCTATTGTTAGTGTAGTTTATATGTGGCCCAAGACAATTCTTCTTTCAGTGTGTCTCAGGGAAGCCAAAAGATTGGACACCTCTGTGTGGGAAGTTAAACCAAGCTGTTGGAGCTATGAGGGAGAAAAATTAACCTGTTTATGTTTCTTCTTCCCTACGCCAAATCTCTGTAAGGTCTTTTTGAATATGATCCATCCAGGGAGTCCAATGTAAAAATTAAAAAATTGGTCCAGAATAAGAAAGTAAAGAATTGAGAATCCATCCACTGCAGAGAGTCTGACTCAGAATAGCTGAGAGTTTGCTTGCTACTTCCTGGTATTTTTCCCAGACAGAGGTCTCTGATGAAAGATTGTTCCTATGCTATGGTGACACAGTTAGTTTATGGATGACAAGGTTGAAAGTGACCTCTAAATCAGCCTCATGATTCTTTCAAGGTGTAAGGAGGGACCCTTGGTGTCCAAATGTGTAAAAAAATTAACACCCTCAAGGGAGAGCTTAGAGTCTAAGCAAGGGACCAATTAATAGAGTTGGGCTCCCTTCTATCACCCAGGAGGGAGGTTATTTGCAGCTTGCACCTTTTTAATTGCTCCTTCTTTGTTAATGAGTTGTGCTCTCAGATCCTTTCTTAGATATATTGAAGAATGCTCATAAGCATTTAGGGCCTTTTCCACAGCTGGATCATTTTTGAAGGAGGTTGAGTGAATGAAACATTGCTAGCAATAGACTATGTGCTCATCTCTCTCTGGATGAGCTGGAAATCAAATATCTATTGGCCATTTCTGAATATCTGGCTACACCACAAAGTAAAAGGAGATGGATCACAAGAGAGGAAACCTTTCTTAGAGCTCTTAGGTGAGCCACTTACCGACTCTTCTCTAAGGACTGTCAAGGGCCTAGGATCCAGGTAGAATTTCTGAGTTACAAATAGCTTGTATCAATGTCCTTGAAGTCTCATTAAGTCCTTGAAGTTTCACCAGAAGTTCTCTTTCATGGCGTCTCTTTTAGCCTGAGAAACAAATCTATAGAAGGATTATTTAAAGATATAAGCTGTGTTAATACACTTTAGTACAAAGTAGGGGGATGAGGGAGAGGCTAAAAATCTTTGACGGGTACCGATCTTTGATTGGTACTAAAAATGAGAGAACATAGGCCCAGAAGAATTATGGGCTATTTTGAATGGCCTGTAATATCTGATTCACTCCATTTCAAAAGTTAAATTTGAACAGTCTATAGAAGACTAAGGAGGGTATTATTACTGAATTGAGTGGATCCAATGTGGCTCTTATGAGGATGGTAGGTTCTGGAGAAACCTTAGTCATTAGTTTGGAGACTCTTGAGAACCAGTTGTCAAGAATAAGTGTAATACTCGGTCTTTTGAGGCAAATCCTGTCCACATTGTTCCTGATAGAGACAAAAATCTTCAGATTTTGTTTTCTAGCCAACAGACATGTTGAACTTTTTCAAAGTCAACTAAGTGAATATTAGAAAGAGCTGCTGATGAGATGGCTCAAAGAAAAGAAGCATGTCAAAGAAGCCACTCTTTAATGTTTCTTGTAATTTTTTCTTTTAATTTGCTAAGCAAGGCTAAATGGAGGTAAGCATGGGGAGGAGGAATACCTTATGTGAGGAATGGTATGAGAAAAAGCTAAAGAAAGAGAGCAGAGATAAATTTTATCCCAAAATAGACTTTTTCCAAAACAAAAAAAGAAAGCTTAGGGGTCCTTGATAAATAAGAGGCGACTAGAAGCAAGGTTTAATTAGAAGTGGTAAAATCTAAGGTGGATGAGAAAAGCAATGTGGCAAATCTTCATAGAGGTGGTAATTTTATCTCTTAGGTATCTGTAGACAGAAGCTTTGCAGTGGTCACCATCTAAAACCCAAGATTTTCCTGTTACTCATTCACACCAGCAAAATTTGCCAAACATTTTAATACTTTATTATTTTTTCTTCCTGAAAGAAGATACATTCTTTTCCAGTTTCTCTCACTTCCTTGGCAAGCAGTCAGCATTACCACTTCTCTGTTCATTTCCTGAAATAATATCTATGTGAAGTGATATAGTGATTGTGTTATTGATCGCACATTCAATTATGTTGTCATTGCCCTGTCCATTTGTACAATAACTTCTCCAAAATAGGCTCTGCCATTGTAGAGACCATGGGAAATCCTCATAAAGTATATGCAGGAGCTTTCTCTGGCTCCTTAACTTCCTGCCTATATCCAGCAGGTGTTTACCCACAGGTTCTTATCTCTGTCTTTTTCGTGCCACAAATCATCTCTTGCTGGCAGTATGCCTCCATGGACACAATTCTCAACTCACTGGGCTGTAGGCCGCTTATGAAATCTTTTGCCTCATCCAAAGTATAGTGCTTTACACTCCGTGGTGGTTAGAAATAAGATTAATGGATCAATTAATGCATTTAATCAATCAATGCACTGATGTTTTAGTGAGGCGGTGGATTGCAGTCTGTTAAGATGCTCTGGAGCTGGATTGCCTGGATTTGAATCCCAGTTCTGATTTGTCTGATTTGGGGCTATATTTACCATTTTGGACCTGTCACAGTCTCCTTCTCTACAAAATGAGAATTACAAGAGCACAGATCTCATGGGGCTGTTGGACAAATTAAAATGAGACAAATCATAAAAGGATTTATAATAGCACCTGGGATAGAGTATGCCCTCAGTAACATTAACTATCTATCGTGCCTTGCTTTTAAGGAAAATTTAGCCATATTAGGAAAAAAAATATAAGAAAATCAAAGAGCTTGGGGCTTTTAGAAAAACTGGCCAGTGATAAGTTGAAGTTACCAAGGTTTTCATAAAAATATTGTTTGTAGACATGTTTCTGGGAATAGAGTGGGTTATACATTCACAGAAACTACTAAGAACGCTAGATAAAATCTAAAACACATTTTTTCCATGGCTTAGCCAGTGAGAAAGAACATAAATTCCTAAAGGTACAGAGATAATAAGAAAGCAAAAACCTAAGAAGATAGTAGGCTGGGGCCAGCATTTTCCTAGGAGGGATCTACTAAACCCTGGTGGCCTAAGGCTGAGTTTAATGGGCCTGTATAAAGGGTAGGAGAAAAAGACAGTGAAGGAGGTTGGGTAAGAGACAATCCTCATGACACTGAAACAGGGCCTCCCAAAGGGTACCATTCTCTCAGGGCAAAATAGAAAAACCTGATCCCACAAAGTGAAACCGTGATATGCATAATTCTCTCAGCCTTAGTTTTGGAGGAAGAGAAAAGGTTTCCCCTGATGATTTTTAGCCTCAAACTCCTGCTTACTTAGCTATGTAGCCTAAATCTTATGACTTTTGTGGCCCCGAGAAACCCCCAAGTCAAAATTATTGCTTATATGGATTCTGGGTTGGTATCATCCCCAAGGTACCTGACAGAAGTAATAGAAATCATTTCTGGAGGAACACATGTTATACTCAAGCCTCAATGGTTTCTGCAGATAAATTTAAAGTAACATGAACTTCTGATTAAAATTCACTAAACACACAAGTAAATAGCTCACATCTTGAATACGAGTCAGCAATAACACCAAACTAGGTATTTAAGTTATTATGTAATAATTTAATAATTATGTTTAATATGTTTAAAGAGTGCTATTGAAAGTGTGATTAAAGAACAATAAATTGACTATTTGGAAAAGAACAAAATAGAACTTGTAGAAAAGAAAACAACATATTATGATTGAAATATGAAACACAATGAATGTATCAAACAACCAATTAATATAATTTATCATAAAATTAATTTATTAAAAAAATCTGTAAAAAGAAAACAGAACACAGTGGAGAAATATAAATAATGAATGTTTTATTGATGTGGAGGGTAGAGCAAGAAGATCCAACAAACATCTACCTGGGATTCCAGAGACATATGGTAGAAATATAGAGGCAATTTTCAGAACACAAATATTGTGCTTAGTAAATAGTATACCAGATTTAAGGTTCTTATATTGAATGAGCATAAATTAGAGAAAATTGTACATATCTTTATAGTTACAAGGAGAAGATCGGTATGTATTGTAGCTACGCAATAAATCTTTGTTCTTCTGTTGGTGACGACGATGATGAAAAAGGTAATGAATACAACTTTCTGTTCTCTTCCCACAAGATTCTTTCTCTATTCAGTCTTACTGTGGACAGAGCAACCCCTAAGTCTGGGATGCCAAATGCGTTGTCTGTCTGCTACCATCCTCCCCTTTCATATTAATGACAAACATATAAATGTTCTTTTCCAATTAAACACCTCATTTCTTGAAAATTTTTTTCAATGCAGTGCAACAGGAAGCCATGACTGATCTCATTTTGGGAAAAAAATCACTTAGAGTGTGCTTCTCTAAGAATAGTGTGATGCTTCTGTGGAGATTTTCTTTTCCTTTTTGGAACTAGGAGACTGGAAAATGGTTAGGGAGAAGGAAGAGATTTTGGATGGCTAATGTTCACAAATACTTGTAGTTCATACACAGTTTATTCCATTAATATCACAGCAATGGAAATGTTTGAGATTTCGACTTCTACCCTTAGACACAACTCCCAGGCTATATTTGACAGCTATTTTCTGCCGTCAAGGTTCCCCATGACTTTCTTTCTAACGTGAATACATTTGAATAAACATGTGTTTTGGTTGGGGGATGTTCTAATGATCTAGAAAGAATGATAGCTATAGAATCGTGAAGAGAGCATACAGTGCCTGAGGCAAAAAATTCTATTGGTTATTTACCATTTGGCTGAAGACTTAATGCTTTGCTTTCCCTGAACTGGCCTACTGTTAACTGGAAGCCTTACCAATAATATAAGTAGTCAACACATTTTAAATATTACATGTATTTTATACTGTATTTTTACAACAAAAATAAGCTAGAGGAAAATGTTATTAAGAAACTCGTAAGGAAAATAAAGTATTTACTATTCATTGGGTGGAAATAGATCCTCATAATGACCTTCATCCTCATTGTCTTCATGTTGCATAGGGGTGTTTAGAAATACTGGCTTGTGTAGGCTGAGGAGGAAGAGTAAGAGGAGGGATTGGACTTGCTGTCTCAGGGGTAGCAGAAGTAGAAGAGGTGGAGGAAATGGAGGGGGAGACAGGATTGACAGGCTCACTCAGTGTAACTTTATGAAAACAAATCATAATTTCTGTCTGACTTTTTCCCCTCTTCATTTCTCTAAAAATGTTTCTATATGGTGTCAAACCTTATACCATTTGCTTTAGTTTCAGTGCTTGTATCATAGAAGGGTCCATGTCATAAAAGAAGTCAAAAGCAGTCATGAGTAACTGGAATCCTTCTTTCCTATTGTCTAATGCCAATATGTCTTCTGGCAATGCTTCTTCTATGTCTTCTTCTTCATTATCTGGCACTTGTCTGGAAGCACTCATCTCCATCAAGCTGTTTTCTGTTAATTCCTCTGATGTTGTGTTCACTAACTTTTGAATTTCTCTGAGATCCATATCTTGAAACCCCCCTCACTATTATTAGATGCCCACAATCTCTTTCATGATTTTCTTGGTTGGCTCTGTCATAAATCCTGTGAAGTAAAGCACAATGGCTGGACACTGTTTTCTCCAGCAGGAATGTATTGTTTGGGGCCTGATGGCTTCCACAGTTTTTTTCTGTAACAGTGACAGCATCTTCAATGATGTAATTCTTCCAGACTTTTATAATGTCCTCTCTGTTAGCACCCTTTTCCATAGTGTTGACAATCTTTTCATAGAGTATCATGTGTAATGAGACTTAAAGGTCACTGTGACCCCCTGATCTAGAGGCTAAATTAGAGACATTGTTTTTGAATGCAAGTAGACCACTTTGATGCTTTTGGTGTTGAACTCATGGGGTTCTGGGTTGTCAGGGGCATTGTCCAATATCAAAATACTTTTTTTAAAGGAAGTCCCTTACTGGCAAGGTACTTCCTGACTTCACAAAGCATCCATTCTGGAACTAATCCAGAAAAAGCATTCCCATTATCCACACCTTCTTGTTGTACAACTGAAAGACTGGCAGCTGGTGTTTATCCTTTCCCTTTGAGGCTTGGGAGTTAGCAGCTTTATAGATAAAGGCAGTCCTGATCATAAACTCAACTGCATTTGCACAAAACAGTCAAGTTAGCCTATCCTGATACTTGCTTCTCTTCTGTATTAATAAATGTCCTTCGTGGCATTCTCCAATGCCCCAGAATAGGGCACTTTTGTCTTCATCAAAAATCTCTTCAGGCAGATATCTTTTCTGTTTAATGATTTTTTTCTTAATGGTGTCTGGGAATTCATCTGCTTCTCTTGGTCAGAAGAAGTTGCTTTTCCTGTTATCTTGACATTTTAAAAGCCAAACCTCTTTTGAAAATTATCCAGTCATTCTTTACTAGCATTAAATTCTCCAGCTTTAGATTCTTTACCTTTCTTTGGTTTTAAGCTGTCATATAATGACTTCAGTTTTTCTGGAATAATATTAGAGTCTACAGGTATGCCTTTTGTATAGCAATCCTGCACCCACTTAAAAGTTGCATTTTCAGTATGAGATAAAAAGCTATTTCCCAGAAAGTATAAGGGTTTTGTACCTGCTGGAGTAGCTGCAGTGACAGCTTCATGAATTTCCTTTTCTTTTGTTCAAAGTGGTCCTTGTGCTGGATTCACTTATCTTATAATGGCAGGCAACTGTAGCTGCAGACCTCAATCTGTGTTATATATCAAACAATTCAACTTTTTCTTGTGATGTTGTGACTATTTTTCTGCTTCTTGGGAGCACTTCCAGCATCACTAGTAGCACTTTGTATTGGTTCCATGGTGTTATTCAAGGTTTATGATACTGTACTAAGCACAATGAAAAATATCTGAGAACCATGAGAGATAACTTTTTACTGCTGTACACATTTTTTTGGAGAGATGAATTTCCCACATGAGGATAACTAGCCTCGCAAAGCACTTTAAGCAGATAATTTCAACTCTTGAGCTCACTGCAATAGCAACAGGAGGTAGTTTCAACATTATTACAGCAGTACAGTATATACCACAGTTAATGATATGCAGTTATGATTTAATATAGAATCTTTATGTTTGTTTATATTTCTCTCATTTGTGAATGGCACCATGAATGGTTAAGTGTCTGTGTATGTAAGTTTTGATAAATTTTAACTTTTTACAACAGTGTTAGGAGATGAGGCCCAATGAAATGTGATTAGGCTATGAAGGTGGAGAGAATGGATTAATGCCATTATAAAGGGAGAGAGTTCATTATAAAAGGGGGAAGTTGACCCTCTTTTACTCTCTCTCTTGCCCTCTTTTTGCCCTTCTGTCATGGTATGACACAGCAAGAAGGCCCTTGCTAGATGTTAGCCCCTTGATCTTAGAATTCCCAGCCTCCAGAACTGTAAGCCAATAAATTTCTATTCATTATAAATATTTTAGAAATTAACTTTTTATAATAGATCTTTGTATATTTTGTGATAACAAATGATAAAATAGACTAATATCTGTATATATTTTGTGTGGTTGTGACATACCTAACTTTGTCTTAATATTTTTGATATTTCTAGGTTATGTAGTTTATTTGTGAATTGTTCTCAAATTGTTACAGATCTCTAAAATATTTTCCACTGTACTTATTGAAAAGAAATTCATGTATAAGTGGAGCTGCATAGTTCAAAACCATGTTGTTCAAGGGTCAACTGTACAGAGAAATGACAGAATTTTCTTAATTTAGCATATCTTCAAATCCCATGTATTTGTAAAACAGTAACACAAGAAATTAAGACATTTTAGGTGGTATCATACTAATTATGCTTATTTACTGTCTTTGTCCCCAAAGACAGCACGATAGTTATCTAAAAAATTTTCAGTAAAGTTTCATGATTGTATATATGAAAGACACAAATTAACTCAACATTGATGATTCAAGGTTTTATATTTAGCCAGCTTCATGACTGAAAATAATAGTGTTTCTTTTTCTTTTCTGGGAATAAACCCATTTCCTTCTCATTCCTTTTTCTCAGCAGATGGCACCAAGCAGATCCATGGAAGTGAGTGGGAACCACACCTCTGTGGCCATGTTTGTTCTCCTAGGACTCTCAGATGAAAAAGAGCTGCAGCTCATCCTCTTTCCAGTCTTCCTGGTGATCTACCTTGTGACCCTGATTTGGAACATGGGTCTTATCATCCTCATCAGAATAGACTCTCATCTGAACACACCCATGTACTTTTTTCTCAGTTTCCTCTCATTTACAGACATCTGCTATTCTTCTACCATCAGCCCAAGGATGCTTTCAGACTTCTTAAAAGATAAGAAGACAATTTCCTTCCTTGCCTGTGCCACTCAGTATTTTCTTGGGGCCTGGATGAGTCTGGCTGAGTGCTGCCTCTTGGTCATCATGGCCTGTGACAGATATGTGGCCATTGGCAGCCCCCTGCAGTACTCAGCAATCATGGTCCCTAGTATCTGTTGGAAGATGGTAGCTGGAGTCTGTGGGGGTGGATTCCTTAGTAGCTTAGTTCATACAGTCCCTTGCTTTAATCTCTACTACTGTGGGCCAAATATCATTCAACATTTCTTCTGTAACACACTTCAGATTATTTCCTTGTCTTGCTCCAACCCCTTTATCAGCCAAATGATTCTTTTTCTGGAAGCTATTTTTGTTGGGTTGGGCTCTTTGCTTGTTATCCTTTTGTCTTATGGTTTCATTGTAGCTTCCATACTGAAAATATCATCAACCAAATGTTGTGCCAAGGCCTTCAATACCTGTGCCTCCCACCTGGCAGCTGTGGCTCTCTTCTATGGCACAGCCCTTTCTGTGTACATGCATCCTAGCTCTAGCCACTCCATGAAGTAGGACAAGGTGCTCTCAGTGTTCTATGTTATACTTATCCCCATGTTAAACACTCTGATCTATAGTTTGAGGAACAAGGAAATCAAAGAGGCCCTCAAGAGGGTGACAAATGGAGCAACATATTTACATTAGTAAGAACAACATTTGGGTAGATATTGTTATTTCTATAACGAAGATAGAAACAAGAATATGTAAGTGACTCTTTGTATGTCACAAGAATAGCTAGGTAGAGAGAAGAAGTACAAACTTTACTTCCTGGATTTCTGGTGCCATTGTAGTCAGCCACCACCAAGTGATCTGTTTGAGACAGTGTCACTGAGATTGAATACAGTTTAAAAAGTCAGTTTCCATGATGAGAACCCGGGTAGATTAAACCTTAAAAGGTGATTATGTTTTTGAGGACAAACGGCTGGTAAATATTATGTGTAGAGAAATGACAAGAACTTAGGATGCCATACTGTGTTTTCTTCATTTATTTTCTTTTCTTTTTTAACTTTTATTTTAGGTTCAGAGAACATGTGCAGGTTTGTTACATAGGTAAACTCATGTCATGGGGGTGTGTTGTATAGATTATTTTGTCACCCAGATACTAAACCTGGTACCCATTAGTTATTTTTTCTGTTCCTCTCCTTCCTCTCACCCTACACCCTCATTAGGACCTGGTGTCTGTTGTTCCCTTGTTAGTGTTCATGAATTCTCATCATTTAGCTCCCACTTATAGGTGAGAACATGTGGCATTTGGTTTTCTCTTTCTGTGTTACTTTGCTAAACATAATGGCCTCCAGCTTCATCCATGTTCCCACAAAAGCCATAATCTCATTCTTTTTTCATGGTTACATAGTATTCCATGGTGTATATGTACCACATTTTCTTTATCCAGTCTGTCTTTGATGGGCATTTAGATTTCATGTCTTTGCTATTGCGAGTAGTGCTGCAATGAACATTCGTGTGCATGTGTCTTTATGGTAGAATGACTTATGTTCCTCTAAGGATATACTCAGTAATGGGATTGCTGGGTCAAATGGTAGTTCTGTTTTCAGCTCTTTGGGGAATCACCATACTGCTTTCCATAATGGTTAAACCAATGTATGCTCCCACCAACAGTGTATAAGTGCTCCATTTTCTCTGCAACCTTGCCAGCATCTGTTATTTTTTTTACTTTTTACTAGTAGCCATTTTTCTGACTGGTGTGAGATGGTATCTCATTGTGGTTCTGATGTGCATTTCTCTGATGATCAGTGATGATGAACGCCTTTTCATATACCTGTTGGCCATTTTTATTTTCTTTGGATAAATGTATACTCAGGTCTTATGTCCATTTTAAAAATCAGGTTGTATTTTTTTTTGCTATTAAATATTATGACTTATAAATATTAGGTATTAACTCTTATATGCTATATAGTTTGCAACATTTTCCCCCAATTTATGGGTTGCTTTTTAATTTTGTTGACTGCTTCTTTTGCTGTGCAGAAGCTTTTTAGTTTGATGTAGTTCCATTTGTTTCTTTTTGCTTTTGTATTTTGAGCTTTTGGTTTGCTATTCAGAAAAATAATTGCAAAGGCCAATGTCAAAGAGCTTTTCCCCTATATTTTCTTATAAGAGTTTCAGGTCTTACATCTAGGTCTTTAATCCATTTTCAATTGATTTTTGTATATGATGTAACATAGAGGTCCAAATTCATGTTTTGCATGAGAAAATCTGGTTTTCTCAGCACTATTTATTAAAGAGACCGTCCTTTCCTCATTGTACCTTTTGGTGCCCTTGTAAAAAATTAGATGACCATAGAGCCAATGAGGAGGCAGCTAGTAAGCATTTCAGCTCCACAGAATCTAAACTTGATTTTTGAATTTAAGTGAAGTAACAAGATTATTTGAGAGACCTCTAAAAGGCATTAACACAATGAAAATACCTATGCACACATCCTTATGTACATGTATAATCGTCTTCATATAGAGTCTCAGAAGAAAAATTGTTGGGTCAAATGATGGCTTATTAGAAGCATTTTCAGCATGCCTCACCTATCTTGGAGAACCAAAACAACAATGACAACATAAATATATTATCCAAGAAGGAACATGGGAGTTCAACAGAAGTGAAACAGGCAGCCTGCATGGCCAGGACTGGTCAAAAACTGGGAGTGAATCTCCAGTATGGGAGAGGGTGAGTGAATGTTTTTCTGTGGGTCTATTTTCCCACTGATGAAACTATACAATCCAGGACATGGGCAAGCACTTTGGCGCACCAAATCCTTGAATCTAACTTAGGGAGCAGCTGGGATATTGTGAGAAGGAACTTCTGCAGGGAGTGTCTCTCTCTTCCTCAGACTTATGCAGCCACAGTAAGGCACCATTTTTGATCCTATCTCTTAAAAAAATTGTGCATGATCCTGGGAACCAAAAACAGCAGTCTTCAGCATTAGGGAGACTTGGACTGTAGCTTGGGGAACCACCGCTTGAGTGGGAAAGTGCTCTCACAACCAGAACTGAGAACCAAGCATGGCAAGAACTTCAGCTGCTGGTTCTGGAACTGGGCAAATATCTCAGACATGAGCAGGATAAGAATTGATGTAGAGACTTGGTACTGAGCTCACAGCAGCTCCTATGGCTTGGGGTTGAATTACAGGGTGAGTGAGAACTGCTGGGACTGACTAAACATCTGGGTCAGCTACCACAGCCAGGACAGGGGAAGAGGCCCTTTTGGGACTGGGGCATGAGAGGGCACAAGCCCCCAACTCACTGGTCAAAGCAGTAATTACGGGGACCAGCACCATCTCCCAGTGGCAGAACATCAACACAACAGTGATCACCTTTCACCCAAGCATTTCACCAGATGACTGAGGACCATCCCACTCCCTAGTCACAGCTGGTGCATGCACACCCTGTTAGGGAACCTCAGAGCAAGATTGCCTGGTCTGGGTCCACCCAGTTTTAATACCCCCTGAGATTGTAGGATCTAGGCTTCTGGATGTTTCACAGCTCAGTCCACCACTTGAGACACCTGAGTACTTTTCCCAGGGCACAATTTTGGAACACTGCTACCAGCTTGGCTGGCTCCAACTTGCAACTGTCATCTATTGGCCTGGAGGCTGGCTTGAGCAGTCCATTTCAACCACTTCCAATAAAAAAGTACAGTGTGTGGAAACTAGAAGGACATCTTACTACCACTGACTGCCACCACCATCACCCACTATACCCAAGCAACCCAGGAGCAAAATAACCCACTCCCTTACCCAGTACACTGCTATTACAACCAGCATCCAGAAACATCATTCAGAGGCCACAGAATTGATCTTCCTGGATCCACCAACACAGGTGTTAGCATATGCTTCCCCACATCACAAGGATAGACTTGCTTAATTCACCATCGCTTAATCTGAAGATGGATGAATCTGGTATTCAAACTGGAGCACAAGTTCACCACTACTCCCATAAATAACTGTACCCTAACACACTGAGGCTAGCCAAATATCATACAGCATCTTCACTGTTGCATACACCCAGGAGTAAAGCCAGAAGTCTACACCCAATCAACAGAGTTGTCACATCTTTAAGAAAAAAGTTCTCCCCTAAGTAAAGTAAATTCAAAAATAAAAAGAACTGTTACATCAGGTATGCAGAAACCAACCTAAAAACACGGGATACATGAAAAAGCTAGGTAACCCTCTCACCCTCAAAACCACACCCTCAGGGGTGGAGCCAAGATGGTCAAATAGGAACAGCTCCAGTCTACAGCTCCCAGCATGAGCGATGCAGAAGACAGGTGATTTCTGCATTTCTAACTGAGGTACTGGGTTCATCTCACTGGGGAATGTAGGAAAGTGGGTGCAGGACAGTGGGTGCAGTGCACTGAGCATGAGCTGAAGCAGGGTGAAGCATCAACTCACCTGGGAAGCACAAGAGGTCAGGGATTTCCCTTTCCTAGTCAAAGAAAGGGGTGACAGATGGTAGCTGGAAAATCAGGTCACTCCCACCCTAATACTGCACTTTTCCAATGGTCTTAGCAAATGGCACACCAGGAGATTATATCCCGTGCCTGGCTCAGAGGGTCCTACACCCACGGAGCCTCACTCATTGCTAGCACAGCAGTCTGAGATCAAACTGCAAGGCGGCAGTGAGGCTGGGGGAGGGGTGCTCACCATTGCCAAGGCTTGAGTAGGTAAACAAAGTGGCCAGGAAGCTCAAACTGGGTGGAGCCCACCACAGCTCAAGGAGGCCTGCCTGCCTCTGTAGACTCCAACTCTGGGGGCAGGGCATAGCCAAACAAAAGACAGCAGAATCCTCTGCAGACTTCAATGTCCCTGCCTGACAGCTTTGAAGAGAGTAGTGGTTCTCCCAGCACACAGTTGGAGATCTGAGAACAGGCAGACTGCCTCCTCAAGTGGGTCCCTGACCCTTGAGTAGCCTAACTGGGAGGCACCCCCCAGTAGGGGCAGACTGACACATCACACACCTGGGTACTCCTCTGAGACAAAACTTCCAGAGGAACGATCAGGCAGCAACATTTGCTGCTCACCAATATCTGCTGTTCTGCAGCCTCTGCTGCTGATACCCAGGCAAACAGGGTCTGGATTGGACCTCCAGCAAACTCCAACATACCTGCAGCTGAGGGTCCTGACTCTTAGAAGGAAAACTAACAAACAGAAAGGACATCCACACCAAAACCCCATCTGTACATCACCATCATCAAAGACCAAAGGTAGATAAAACCACAAAGATGGGGAAAAAACAGAGCAGAAAAACTGGGAACTCTAAAAATCAGAGTGCCTCTCCTCCTCCAAAGGAAGACAGCTCCTCACCAGCAATGGAACAAAGCTGGATGGAGAATGAGTTTAATGAGTTGAGAGAAGAAGGCTTCAGATGATCAAACTACTCCAAGCTAAAGGAGGAAGTTCGAACCCATGGCAAAGAAGTTAAAAACCTTGAAAAAAAATTAGGTGAATGGTTAACTAGAATAACCAATGGAGACTAGTCCTTAAAGGACCTGACGGAGCTGAAAACCAAGGCACAAGAACTATGTGACAAATGCACAAGCCTCAGTAGCTGATTCAATCAACTGGAAGAAAGGGTATCAGTGATGGAAGATCAAATGAATGAAATGAAGTGAGAAGAGCAGTTTAGAGAAAAAAGAATAAAAAGAAACAAAGCCTCCAAGAAATATGGGACTATGTGAAAAGACCAAATCTATGTGTGATTGGTGTACCTGAAAGTGACAGGGAGAATGGAACCAAGTTGGAAAACACTCAGCAGGATATTATCCAAGAGAACTTCCCCAATCTAGCAAGGCAGGCCAACATTCAAATTCAGGAAATACAGAGAATGCCACAAAGATACTCCTTGAGAAGAGCAACTCCAAGACACATAACTGTCAGATTCACCAAAGTTGAAATGAAGGAAAAATGTTAAGGGCAGCCAGAGAGAAAGTTCGGGTTACCCACAAAGGGAAGCCCATCAGACTAACAGCTGATCTCTCAGCAGAAACTCTACAAGCCAGAAGAAAGTGGGGGCCAATACTCAACATTCTTCAAGAAAAGAATTTTCAAACCAGAATTTCATATCCAGCCAAACTAAGCTTCATAAGTGAAGCAGAAATAAAATATTTTACAGACAAGCAAATGCTGAGAGATTTTGTCACCGCCAGGCCTGCCCTAAAAGAGCTCCTGAAGGAAGTGCTAAACATGGAAAGGAAGAACCGATACCAGCTACTGCAAAAACATGCCAAATTGTAAAGACCATCGAGACTAGGAAGAAACTGCATCAACCAACGAGCAAAATAACCAGCTAACATCATAATGCCAGGATTAAATTCACACATAACAATATTAACCTTAAATGCAAATGGGGTAAATGTCCCAATTAAAAGACACAGACTGGCAAATTAGATAAAGAGTGAAGACCCATCAGTGTGCTGTATTCAGGAAACCCATCTCACGTGCAGAGACACACATAGGCTCAAAATAAAGGGATGGAGGAAGATCTACCAAGCAAATGGAAAACAAAAAAAGGCAGGGGTTGCAATCCTAGTCTCTGATAAAACAGACTTTAAACCAACAAAGATCAAAAGAGACAAAGAAGGCCATTACATAATGGTAAAGGGATCAATTCAACAAGAAGAGCTAACTATCCTAAATATATATGCACCCAATACAGGAGCACCCAGATTCATAAACCAAGTCCTTAGAGACTTACAAAGAGACTTAGACTCCCACACAATAATAGCGGGAGACTTTGACACCCCACTGTCAACATTAGACAGATCAACAAGACAGAAAGTTAACAAGGATATCCAGCAATTGAACTCAGCTCTGCACCAAGTGGACCTAATAGACATCTACAGAACTCTCCACCCCAAATCAACAAAATATAAATTCTTCTCAGCAGCACACCACACTTATTCCAAAATTGACCACATAGTTGGAAGTAAAGCACTCCTCAGCAAATCTAAAAGAACAGAAATTATAACAAACTGTCTCTCAGACCACAGTGCAATCAAACTAGAACTCAGGATTAAGAAACTCACTTAAAACTACTCAACTATATGGAAACTGAACAACTTGCTCCTGAATGACTACTGGGTAAATAACAAAATGAAGGCAGGAATAAAGATGTTCTTTGAAACCAATGAGAACAAAGACACAACATACCAGAACCTCTGGGACACATTCAAAGCAGTGTGCAGAGGGAAATTTATAGCACTAAATGCCCACAAGAGAAAGTAGGAAAGATCTAAACCTAAAATTGACACCCTAACATCACAAATAAAAGAACTAGAGAAGCAAGACCAAACACATTCAAAAGCTAGCAGAAGGCAAGAAATAACTAAGATCAGAGCAGAACTGAAGGAAATAGAGACACAAAAAACCGTTCAAAAAATCAATGAATCCAGGAGCTGGTTTTTTGAAAAGGTCAACAAAATTGATAGACTGTTAGCAAAACTAATAAAGAAGAAAACAGAGAAGAATCAAACAGATGCAATAAAAAATGATAAAGGGGATATCACCACTGATCCCACAGAAATACAAACAAACATCAGAGAATAGTATAAACACCTCTATGCAAATAAACCAGAAAACCTAGAAGAAATGGATAAATTCCTGGACACATACAACCTCCCAAGACTAAACAAGGAAGGAGTTGAATCTCTGAATAGACCAATAACAGGCTCTGAAATTGAGGCAATAATTAATAGCTTACCAACCAAAAAAAGTACAGGACCAGATGGATTCACAGCCGAATTCTACCAGAGGTACAAGGAGGAGCTGGTACCATTCTTTCTGAAACTATTCCAATCAGTAGAAAAAGAGAGAATCCTCCCTAACTCATTTTACGAAGCCAGCATCATCATGATCCCAAAGCCTGGCATAGACACAATAAAAAAAGAGAATTTTAGACTGATATCCCTGATGAACATCGATGTAAAAATCCTCAATAAAATACTGGCAAACCGAATCCAGCAGCACATCAAAAAGCTTATCCACCATGATCAAGTGGACTTCATCCCTGGGGTGCAAAGCTGTTCAACATATGAAAATCAATAAACGTAACCCAGCATATAAAAAGAACCAATGACAAAAACCGTATGATTATCTCAATAGATGCAGAAATGGCCTTTGACAAAATTCAACAACCTTCATGCTAAAAACTCTCAATAAATTAGGTATTGATGGGATGTATCTCAAAATAATAAGAGCTATCTATGACAAACCCACAGCCAATATCATACTGAATGGGCAAAAACTGGAAGCATTCCCTTTGAAAACTGGCACAAGACAGGGATGCCCTCTCTCACCACTCCTATTCAACATAGTGTTGGAAGTTCTGGCCAGGGCAATCAGGCAGGAGAAGGAAATAAAGGGTATTCAATTAGGAAAAGAGGAAGTCAAACTGTCCCTGTTTGCAGATGACATAATTGTATATCTAGAAAACCACATCGTCTCAGCCCAAAATCTCCTTAAGCTGATAGGTAATTTCAGCAAAGTCTCAGGATACAAAACCAATGTGCAAAAATCACAAGCATTCTTATACACCAATAACAGACAAACAGACAGCCAAATCATGATTGAACTCCCATTCACAATTGCTTCAAAGAGAGTAAAATACCTAGGAATCCAACTTACAAGGGACATGAAGGACCTCTTCAAGGAGAACTACAAACCACTACTCAATGAAATAAAAGAGGATACAAACAAATGGAAGAACTTTCCATGCTCATGGGTAGGAAGAATCAATATTGTGAAAATGGCCATACTGCCCAAGGTAATTTATAGATTCAATGCCATCCCCATCAAGCTACCAATGACTTTCTTCACAGAATTGGAAAAAACTACTTTAAAGTTCATATGGAACCAAAAAAGAGCCCACATCGCCAAGTCAATCCTAAGCCAAAAGAACAAAGCTGGAGGCATCACACTACCTGACTTCAAACTATACTACAGGGCTACAATAAACAAAACAGCATGGTACTGGTACCAAAACAGAGATATAGACCAATGGAACAGAACAGAGCCCTCAGAAATAATGCCACATATCTACTACCATCTGATCTTTGACAAAGCTGACAAAAACAAGAACTGGGGAAAGGATTCCCTATTTAATAAATGGTGCTGGGAAAACTGGCTAGCCATATGTAGAAAGCTGAAACTGGATCCCTTCCTTACACCTTATACAAAAATTAATTCAAGATGGATTAAAGACTTAAATGTGAGACCTGAAACCATAAAAACCCTACAAGAAAACCTAGCCAATACCATTCAGGACATAGGCATGGGCAAGGACTTCATGACTGAAACACCAAAAGGAATGGCAACAAAAGCCAAAATTGACAAATGGGATCTAATTAAACTAAAGAGCTTCTGCACAGCAAAAGAAACTACCATCAGAGTCAATAGCAACCTACAGAATGGGAGAAAATTTTGCAATCTACTCATCTGACAAAGGGCTAATATCCAGAATCTACAATGAACTCAAACAAATTTATAAGAAAAAACAAACAACCCCATCAAAAAGTGGGTGAAGTATATGAACAGACACTTCTCAAAAGAAGACATTTATGCAGCCAAAAGACACATGAAAAAATGCCCATTATCACTGGCCATAGAGAAATGCAAATCAAAACCACAATGAGATACCATCTCACACCAGTTAGAATGGCAATCATTAAAAAGTCAGGAAACCACAGGTGCCGGAGAGGATGTGGAGAAATAGGAACAATTTTACATTGTTGGTAGGACTGTAAACTAGTTCAACCATTGTGGAAGTCAGTGTGGCGATTCCTCAGGGATCTAGAACTAGAAATACCATTTGACCCAGTAAACCCATTACTGGGTATATACCCAAAGGATTATAAATCCTGCTGCTGTAAAGACACATGCACATGTATGTTTATTGTGGCACTATTCACAATAGCAAAGACTTGGAAACAACCCAAATGTCCAACAATGATAGACGGGATTAAGAAAATGTGGCACATATACACCATTGATTACTATGCAGCCATAAAAAATGATGAGTTCATGTCCTTTGTAGGGACATGGATGAAGCTGGAAACCATCATTCTCAGCAAACTATCACAAGGACAAAAAATCAAACACTGCATGTTCTTACTCATAGGTGGGAATTGAACAATGAGAACACATGGACACAGGAAGGGGAACATCACACACCGGGACCTGTTGTGGGGTGGGGGGAGGGGGGAGGGATAGCATTAGGAGATATACCTAATGTTGAATGACAAGTTAATGGGTGCAGCACACCAACATGGCACATGTATACATATGTAACAAACCTGCACATTGTGCACTTGTACCCTAAAACTTCAAGTATAATAAAAAACCACACCCTCAAAAAACCACAATAATTCTCCAGCAATAAGTGCTGAACACAAATAAATTCTAAAATTTCCAGATAAAAATTCAAAATATTGATTTTAAAGAAGCTCAATGAACTTCAAGAGAAATCTGAAAATCAATACAAAGAAATCAGAAAATCATTTTAAGATATGAATGAGTAATTTACCAAGGAGATAGATATCTTAAAAAAAAACAGTAATTCTAGAACTGAAAATTTTATTGCAAGAATTACAAAATACATTTGAAGCCTTCAAGAATAGACTAGATTAAGCACAAGGAAGAATCAGAACTTGAAGATAGGTTTTAAAAATATAATACAGTCAGATAAAAATAAAATAGAATAAACAAAGCCTTCAAGACTTTTAAGACTATCTAAAATGACCTAAATAATAAATTATTGGTATTCCTGAGGAAAAAAGGTTAAGAAATTTATTAATGAAATAATGTATAAAAACCTCCCAAGTGTATCAAGAAATTCAGACATCTGAATAAAAGAAGCTCAGTGATCCCCAGAAAATTACAATGCCTAAATGAGTTTGCCATAGCATATTATTAGACTATCTAAAATCATATGAATGAACAAATTCTAAAATTGGCAAGAGAAAAACATCTAGTCATCTACAAAGGAAACTACTTCAGAATAACAGCAGACTTATCAGCAGAAACTTTGCTGGTAAGAAGGTAGTGAAATGACGTATTCCAAGTGTTGAAAGAAAAAAAGCAAACTAGTAGCCAAGAATTCTGTATACAGCAAGAATTAAGCTTTAGGAGAAATACTCTTTTCCAGATAAGCAAATGCTGATAGAATTTGCCACGACTAGATTGGAAATAGAAGAAATGATCAAAGGATTCCTAAACTTGAAAGTGAAAGAATGGTATTCACCATCATGAAAACACACAAACATAAAACTCATTGTTAATGCAATAATACAAAAGGGGAAGTGAAAGGAACACAATGACACCACTACAGAATTCCACAAAACCAAAAATGAACAATGAGAAAAACAGAGAAAAGAGAATGTATAAAATAACTAGACAACAATTAATAATATGACAGGAACAAAACCTCACCTATCAATACTAACCTTGAACATAAAAGAATTAAACACTGCTTTTAAAAGGTATACATTGGTAAGATGGGTTAAAAAACATGACTTAACCATAAGCTGTCTACAACAAACTCATCTTATCTGTAAAGGCACATACAGACTGAAAGTAAAGCAGTGGAAAAAGGTATTTCACACAAATGGAAACCAAGAGCAAGCAGAATTAGCTATAATTAGATAAAACAGGCTTTAAATTAAAAACAATAAAAGGATAAAGAAGATGATCATATAATGATAAAGGAAACAACTCAGCAAGAGAAAATAACAATTCTAAATAAGGAACTAGAAAAGTGAGATCAAACCAAATTCAAAATTAGCAGAAATAAAGAAATAACAATGATTACAGCAGAACTAAATGAAATAGAGACCAAAAATGATATAAAGGATAAATGAAACAAAAATTTGGTTTTTAAAATAATAAACAAAAATTGATAAGCCATTAGTGAGAATAACCAAGAGAGGACTCAAATAAAGACAATCACAAATGAAAAAGGAGATATTATAAGTAATACCACAGAAATACAAATATGTACATGAATTTAACTTATTGTTATCAAGCTGTATTACCAGCAAGCTGTGCTATCTTGGGACAATCCCTTAGCTTCTCTGGCCTCAGGTTCTCCACCTGAAATGGATAGTTTGGACTATAAGATCCCTAGGTTCCTATATCCTTTCCAGCTCAAATGACTCCAAAGTTAGTAAAGAAAATCTACAGTCACGAGACCATCATATAGACCATTGGGAAGTAGGGAATGAATCCAGTGGGGACATGGCAAAGTGGGGCATGAAATCTGTAGGGACAAAAGCTCCATGACAATGATGACACCAGAGAGCAAGTACCTGGAATGTTTTCTCCCTTGAATTGGCTTTTCCCCTTTATTCTCTGCTCTCAACGGCACGTTTAAGAAGATCTGAAGTTGTGGTCATCGCTTTTGCTGTGAGTGAACAGCAAGTTTTGTGGCCAAAATCATCCATCTTAGAGTGCAATGGGGCCCACATGGAAAATTCCTTTGTACGAGAAATAATTAATTTTAACCTTTGGCAAGAATTGTGTCTTTTTGAGGGATCTGGGTCAAGTTCACAGGGCAAGACTTAGATGGAATGGTTGCTTCTCTGCTATCTAATTATCTCTGATTCTTTCAGTAAACAAGGTTTATGGTCCTCAGTCTCTCCCATTATTCAACTCTTCTCACTTCTTTGCTTCCATTTCCCCCACCTAGGGCTTTTCCTTGAGTTCTCTTTCGCCTTACAGAAATTTTCTGACCTCAATGAAAATAATAATCTCAACATAAAATTTCAAGTTATTACTCTGGGATGAAAAATAGGTGTTGAATTCCAGTTCTGCAATTTCTTAAGGATATGATTTGACCTCTGTTACTTTCTGTTTTTTTTTCACCTGTTAAAAAATGAATTCTGTTTTGAAATATTATTGATTTAATTTTTATTTAAATACACAGCTTTGATTAATAATTTCTGAGTAGTAAGAGCCCAGTTGCATCACTGCAAGATGATATGAGAAAGTACTCATGTACAATTCCATTAGACCTTTTGAAATACTTCAAATGGCTCTCCATTGTTGTTTTTGGAGAACTTGGAGGTCTGGAGACAGTAGCCTACATAATGTAGAAATCAGAAATACCCACTCTAAACACGGGTAGTTGGTCTTAGTTGGTCTAAGTATTCCTTTTCACCTTCTTTTATTTACAGTGCTCTTCATTCAACAACATTCCTGGTTTTACCCGATTTCGTATTCTGCACAATGCCACAAACTGACCATCTTCTTATTAGATCAGAATTGGAAAAGATTTGGATTGCCTACGACTAATATTTGTAGCAAAATCCCCAACCAATATTTACATTAGTCACTTTTTCTCCTGCAAATTTTCTAGGGAGATGGTGAACACATGCAAGAAATGTAATGAAAAAGAATGAGTGCATTTATCCTTTTTCTTTAGTTTACCAAACTTTAAAAAGATAAATTTTCAGGACAAATTTTATAATAAATAAGAAAAACAATCTATAAGGTTTTGCTCTTTTCTGGAAATGGTGGATTAAATAGAATATATTTAATTATGGCCTGTGTCACTGGAATGTAATAAAAATGTGAGGAATTACAAATTACAAATTACAAATAATTGATCAACAGTTTGACTTTTTTCATTGAACTGTCCAATTACCTTTGTGTTTGGGGGATGTTGTCAATGACAGCTTATATTTTCAAAGTATTTTTATTAAATATAACTCATCTTGGATAAAATACCTGAGAAATTTTATTGACAACACTTTATTCTAATAGTAAACAGAAAGATTTCCAAGTTCATAAAACCACAATGAAAACAAAATAAACATAAGATCTTCTTAGTTATACGTCTAAATCTGGGTGAAAGAACCATTTATTAATGTGTTAGTATCAGTAACCATGATGCTTAGCATTAAGTAGTAAAACATCTCCACTAGTCCATGTGCTGTATGTAGTTACTGTTGTCATCTTAAGGGCACTTGGTGATGGTGCAACTTAAAAAGAATTTACAATTCAGCTGAGTGTGAGATAACACAATAATAAAAGATAGAAACAAATACAATCATTTATTAATCATATTCTTGAGTGTAGGCTTGGAGACAGTCTAATTTGGGAAGTAATTTTATTAAGAATTCTTTGACACTTGGGCATTAATTTCTCCCTTTTCCTTTTTTGCAGAGAGAAGTGGTGATGGGAATGATCATTGCTGACATTTATTAAATCCTTCCTGTTTTAAGCCCTTCATGTCATTCAACACTTGCAACAACCCTACAAGGCAGTAACTATTAGCAGATTCATTTGTAAATGAGGCAACTGAGGTATAGAGAGGTAAATAACTGGCTAAACATCACAGAGCTAGCAAGCAAAATTCAGGAAAGTCTCTCTCTCATTCTCTCCACCCTCTACTAAATATTAAGGATTTATGTATCTTAATAACTAATTATAAATAAAGGAGTTGTAGAAAATTGAGAAAATACAGGTAATTATAAAGAAGAAAATAAAAATTATACCATTCATTACTTTTAACATTTGGCATTATAGCTGGCTCATATAGGGGTGGGTGTGTGTGTAAGAAAGAAAGTGAGAGAGATAATATAAACCAATTTTTTTCCAGAAAGATAGAACCATTTGGTGCATGAATCACTGGTAATTTTAAAGTTATTTTTAAACCATAAAGGCCTTACTACACTGTCTTTTAAAATATTTTGTGATTATTATTTCCCAGTTCATTAATTGAATTTCAAATGTGTTTCATACAAGTGAATTTTTCTGTCATAACCAAATTTTAAATTGTTTTATTGTATATTTTTCCTATCATTTCTATTTGGTGTTATGTTTCAGAGATATCTTTCTCATCTCAAGATTATATAGACACTTATCTATTATCCCTCTAATACCTTTTACCCATAGTCAGTCAGCTCTTGCAACTTGCAAAGAACACACAAGTGCATGTGTCTTTTTGTAGAACCATTTGTTTTCTTTTGAATGTGTAACCAGTGATGGGATTGCTGGGTTGAATGGTAACTGTTTTAGGTTCTTTGAGAAATCTCAGAACTGCTTTCCACAGTGGCTGAACTAATTTACATTCCCACCAACACTGTATAAGCAGTCCCTTTGCTTTGAAGCTTTGCCAGCATCTGTGTTCTTTTTAATTTAATTTAATTTTTTTATTATTATACTTTAAGTTTCAGGTATATGTGCACAATGTGCAGGTTAGTTACATATGTATACATGTGCCATGCTGGTGTGCTGCACCCATTAACTCGTCATTTAACATTAGGTATATCTCCTAAAGCTATCCCTCCCCCATCCCACCACCCCACAACAGTCCCCAGAGTGTGATGTTCCCCTTCCTGTGTCCATGTGTTCTCATTGTTCAATTCCCACCTATGAGTGAGAACATGCGGTGTTTGGTTTTTTGTTCTTGTGCTAGTTTACTGAGAATGATGATTTCCAATTTCATCCATGTCCCTACAAAGGACATGAACTCATCATTTTTTATGGCTGCATAGTATTTCATGGTGCATATGTGCCACATTTTCTTAATCCAGTCTATCATTGTTGGACATTTGGGTTGGTTCCAAGTCTTTGCTATTGTGAATAGTGCCACAATAAACATACGTGTGCATGTGTCTTTATAGCAGCATGATTTATAGTCCTTTGGGTATATACCCAGTAATGGGATGGCTGGGTCAAATGGTATTTCTAGTTCTAGATCCCTGAGGAATCGCCACACTGACTTCTACAAGGGTTGAACTAGTTTACAGTCCCACCAACAGTGTAAAAGTGTTCCTATTTCTCCACATACTCTCCAGCACCTGTTGTTTCCTGACTTTTTAATGATTGCCATTCTAACTGGTGTGAGATGGTATCTCATTGTGGTTTTGATTTGCATTTCTCTGATGGCCAGTGATGGTGAGCATTTTTTCATGTGTTTTTTGGCTGCATAAATGTCTTCTTTTAAGAAGTGTCTGTTCATGTCCTTTGCCCACTTTTTGATGGGGTTGTTTGTTTTTTTCTTGTAAATTTGTTTGAGTTCATTGTAGATTCTGGATATTAGCCCTTTGTCAGATGAGTAGATTGCGAAAATTTTCTCCCATTTTGTAGGTTGCCTGTTCACTCTGATGGTAGTTTCTTTTGCTGTGCAGAAGCTCTTCAGTTTAATTAGATCCCATTTGTCAGTTTTGGCTTTTGTTGCCATTGCTTTTGGTGTTTTAGACATGAAGTCCTTGCCCATGCCTATGTCCTGAATGGTAATGCCCAGGTTTTCTTCTAGGGTTTTTACGGTTTTAGGTCTAAGGTTTAAGTCTTTAATCCATCTTGAATTGATTTTTGTATAAGGTGTAAGGAAGGGACCCAGTTTCAGCTTTCTACATATGGCTAGCCAGTTTTCCCAGCACCATTTATTAAATAGGGAATCTTTTCCCCATTGCTTGTTTTTCTCAGGTTTGTCAAAGATCTAATAGTTGTAGATATGTGGTGTTATTTCTGAGGGCTCTGTTCTGTTCCATTGATCTATATCTCTGTTTTGGTACCAGTACCATGCTGTTTTGGTTATTCTTCTAGATTTTCCAGTTTATTTGCATAGAGGTGTTTGTAGTATTCTCTGATGGTAGTTTGTATTTCTGTGGGATCCGTGGTGATAACCCCTTTATCATTTTTTATTGCATCTATTTGATTCTTCTCTCTTTTCTTCTTTATTAGTCTTGCTAGCGGTCTATCAATTTTGTTGATCCTTTCAAAAAACCAGCTCCTGGATTCATTAATTTTTTGAAGTGTTTTTTGTGTCTCTATCTCCTTCAGTTGTGCTCTGATCTTAGTTATTTCTTACCTTCTGCTAGCTTTTGAATGTGTTTGCTCTTGCTTCTCTAATTCTTTTATTTGTGATGTTAGGGTGTCAATTTTTGATCTTTGCTGCTTTCTCTTGTGGGCATTTAGTGCTATAAATTTCCCTCTACACCCTGCTTTAAATGTGTCCTAGGGATTCTGGTACTTTGTGTCTTTGTTCTTATTGGTTTCAAAGAACATCTTTATTTCTTCCTTCATTTCATTATTTACCCAGTAGTCCTTCAGGGATAGGTTGTTCAGTTTCCATGTAGTTGTGTGGTTTTGAGTGAGTTTCTTAATCCTGAGTTCTAATTTGATTGCACTGTGGTCTGAGAGACAGTTTGTTGTGATTTCTGTTCTTTTACATTTGCTTAGGAGTGCTTTACTTCCAACTATGTGGTCAATTTTGGAATAGGTGTGGTGTGGTGCTGAAAAGAATGTATATTCTGTTGATTTTGGGTGGAGAGTTCCATAGATGTCTATTAGGTCTGCTTGGTGCAGAGCTGGGTTCAAGTCTTACGTATTCTTCTTAACCTTCTGTCTCATTGATCTGTCTAATATTGACATTGGGGTTTTAAAGTCTCCCAATATTGTTGTGTGGGGGTGTAAGCCTCCTTGTGGTTCTCTAAGGACTTGGTTTATGAATCTGGGTGCTCTTGTATTGGGTGCATATATATTTAGGATAGTTAGCTCTTCTTGTTGAATTGATCCCTTTGCCATTATATAATGGTCTTCTTTGTCTCTTTTGATCTTTGTTGGTTTAAAGTCTGTTATATCAGAGACTAGGATTGCAGCCCCTGGCTTTTTTTTTGTTTTTGTTTCGATTTACTTGGTAGATTTTCCTCCATCCCTTTATTTTCAGCCTATGTGTGTCTGTGCATGTGAGATGGGTGTCCTGAATACAGCACACTTGTGGGTCTTGACTCCTTATCCAATTTGCCAGCCTGTGTCTTTTAATTGGGGCATTTAGCCCATTTACATTTAAGGTTAATATTGTTATGTGTGAAATTCATCCTGTCATTATGATGTTAGCTGGTTATTTTGCCCATTAGCTGATGCAGTTTCTTCCTAGCATCGATGGTCTTTACAATTTGGCATGTTTTTGCAGTGGCTGACACCCATTGTTCCTTTCCATGTTTAATGCTTCCTTCAGGAGCTCTTGTAAGGCAGGTCTGGTGGTGAAAAAACCTCTCAGCATTTGCTCATCTGTAAAGGATTTTATTTCTCCTTCACTTATGAAACTTAGTTTGGCTGCATATGAAATGCTGGGTTGAAAATTCTTTTCTTTAAGAATGTTGAATATTGGCCCCCACTCTCTACTGGCTTGTAGAGTTTCTGGTGAGAGATCCACTGTTAGTCTGGTGGGCTTCCCTTTGTGGGTAATCTGACCTTTCTCTCTGGCTGCCCTTAACATTTTTTCCTTCATTTCCACCTTGGTGAATCTAACAATTATGTGTCTTGGGGTTGCCCTTCTGGAGGGGTTTCTTTGTGGCATTCTCTGTATTTCCTGAATTTGATTGTTGGCCTGCCTTCTAGGTTGGGGAATTTCTCCTGGATCATATCCTGAAGAGTGTTTTTCAACTTGGTTCCATTCTCCCCATCAGTTTTGGGTGCACCAATCAAATG